>NC_000011.10:101414848-101717879 GCF_000001405.40 Homo sapiens | reverse complement strand
ATTCCCACAATGCATTTTGTTGGGAATGTGTCACAACTTTCATCGCATTGTCTTATAGTCATTCATGTGTTTGTCTTCCTAGTTACACACAATTTCTTGAGGGCAAACACCATGTCCTATTCATCTTTGCATTCTTAGTGTTTTGCTTTGTCCCTAGCATGGCATGGTGCTTCAATAATGTCTGTCAAATAAACTGATTATAAAAGGCATTGAGTATAAACTGCACTCATTATAAGTGTTAATGTACTTAAACTTGCCTTGGTATCTCTTACTTAATCTTGTTTAATGACATTGCTTCTGCCATGTATTTTGCCCTGGAAAACTGTGGTTTTGAGTCTCTATCTTTACAAATAGTGATTCTTAATTTATTATTGAGTTTTATTTGTAGTTAGATGATTAAAATTTAGATCATAAATTCATTTCAATTTTTTACTTTTATGACTGTGCTTAAAATGTATATCTTAAAGAATTTATTAGCTCACTGATATTTTTGAGAATCAACTCCATTGTCTTTAGGGAGAGCTTTCTTAACATCAATGTTTGATATTTTATAGATGTTTAGCATAATGATTTTTAATTCTTCTTCATATATCCCTACCATCTGACTGAATATAGAGTGGAAGGCTGTTTTCCTATGATTTTAGATTGTGAATTTTCTGAAAATAACTCCAATCATTACTTTCTAAAACATTATTTTTTTGTTTCATGGTTCAAATTTTATTAATGTTCTTTATATCAGTTCTCTTTTCATATTAAATTGAACAAATTGAAGTTGCTCTGAATGCCACAATAGTGAAATATAATTATCTCATAAAGTGCTTTGATTCTGTAGGCTAGAAACAGTGGACAGAAAGATAATCAGAGATAAACTGAACTATTATACCATTATTATACTTGTGAAACAGTGAATCAAGCTTTGTTGGGTTCAACCAGAAAAACACAAATCACCATTACACATTTAAACCAAGAGAATGGAATAAAGCATTAGTTACCCAGGTGTGTAACAAAGAAGTTATAAAAGATATATTGAAGCAACTCAGAAATTAGCAAAAGCAGGAGCTGCTATCACTGCTTGGCTGAAGAAGGATGTTTTGGAGGCCCAAGGACAGGGTTTGGCAGCCAGCACTGGAACCACTGCAGTCTAACTACTGGGAGCTGGAGCTACACAGTGGACACAGACTAAGTCAGAGGGGGAAGGCAACAAGTACCCTGGTTTCTTCTTTCCTTCCAACCTACAGTCTCCTGACAGTGCCTCCTAGTGCACAAACCCAGTTGGATGCCTGTAAAATAGGGCCTGAAGGGGTGACCTCTATGACGCAGAGTAGAAGAGAAGGGAGAGGAATGAATATGAGATCACATAGGCCACTACTGGCACCCATATTATTTATTATTTAGTGCCCGAATCTACACGCTCCTAACATCTTATGGGTCATTTAAGCTTGGGATATTCGGAAGACCTGTGATTGGCTGAGGTATTGGATTAGCTGGTTGCTATGTCTAGACAAAACATTATTAGACCATACTGCTTACAATGTTATACTGCTATTATGTACTTTAGCCCCATTTTCTAGTGGCCATTATGAGGTTGTAAATAATGCATCTTAAAAACAGTTTCATTGTGATATAATTCACATACTGTAAAATTCACTCTTTTTTTGTTTTTTGTTTTTTTTTTGAGTCAGAGTTTTACTCTTGTTGCCCAGGCTGGAGTCCAGTGGCGTGATCTCAGCTCACTGCAACCTCCACCTCCCGGGTTCAAGGAATTCTTCGGCCTCATCCTCCCCAGTAGCTGGAATTACAGGCATGTGCCACCACACCTGGCTAATTTTGTATTTTTAGTAAAGATGGGGTTTCACTATGTTGGCCAGGCTGGTCTCGAACTCCTGACCTCAGGTGATCCGCCTACCTCAGCCTCCCAAAGTGCTGGGATTACAGGTGTGAGCCACCACACCCAGCCAAAATTCACTCATTTAAAGTGCACAATTCATGTTTTGCACATTCACACATATGTGATATTATCACCACAGTCAATGTTTAGAATATTTTTATTACCTCATAAAGAAACCCCTTACTCTTTAGTTACTGCCCCTATGCTCCCCCATTGGCCCCACCTCCTAGTCCTAAGAAATATCTAATCTACTTTCTGTTGCTTTAGATTTCCCTGTTCTGGACTTTCATATGGATAAAATCATATAACATATAGTTTTTTCTAACTCTTTCACTTAGTGTAAGGTTTTTGAGGTTCATTCATGTTGTAGCATGTCTCAACATTTCATTCCTTTTTATGACTATACTACATTTTGTTATCAGTTTGTCAGTTGATAGAGGTTATTTCCATCTTTGGCTAGTATGAATAATGTTGCTATAAACATGTATAAACGTTTCTCTGTGGATATATGTTTTCATTTCTGTTGGGTATATTACCTAAGATACAACTGGCAGGTCATGTGGTAAGTCTGTGTTTAACTGTTTGAGAAACTGACTGTTTGCCTAAGTGTCTGTAACATTTCACATTCCATTAGTGGTGTGTGAGGGTTCTGATTTCACTTCATTTTCACTAACATTTGTTATGTAGCTTTTTGATTCTAGCCATTTTAAAGGTGGAAATAATACATTTTTATATGAAAGCACAACTTTATGGCAGAAATTGTTCCTTTGACATGAACGTATTTCCCAAGCAGGGCAAAGAGCACTGTAGTGCTCTCTTTTTCAGAGATATAGTTAGTTCAAGATCTGCTATTTAAGAACTGTAGGATGAGCAAGGGTTCAATATTAGATGTGTTCTTTTTTGAGTTTTAATTGTGTTTCGTTACAGTATCTAAGAGTGATAATACTTAGAGTGGTGTTAGCAAGACTGTATGTATTTTTACATTTGTTATTATATTTGATACAAATTAATTTGTCTAGTATATTTTTAAGTTGTAAAGCATAACAATAAAGTGAACATTTCTGAAACAATTGCCTACATTGAGAGAGAAAACATTGTCAATCACTGTTGTACCCCATGTGCGTCTTCTAGATCTCAAGCTACTGACTCACTCCCCAAAATAACTAATTCCCAGTATCTTGTGTTTAAAATGTGTGCTTTTAAAAACATATTTTGCCACATATGTATGTGTCCCTAAACAATATATTGTTCAGTTTGTTTTTGAGCTTTGTAAAAGTGGTGTCATCTTATATGAAGTGTTTTGTGACTTTCCATTTTTCACTATTTCTTTTATAGGATTCATGTATATTGTGGCATATAGCTAGAGTTCCTTAATTTTTGTTTTCTACAATAATCTGGTGTGTGAATATGCCATATCATTTAGTATTCCACGTTTAAACACTTAGGTAATTTTGTTTTTGTTTGCTGCTTTTATGACCAGTGCTGATATAAACATTCTTGCATATCTACTGGGGTGTATGTGCAAGGCTTTCTCTAGAAAGTGGAGTAGTAGAATTGGTGAGTGGTAAGGTAAGTGCATATTCAAATTTACATTATAATGCCAAATTGCTTTCCAAGGAGTTTAAACCAAATTATTAGGGTTGTAGGGGCTTCTACAAGAAACCTAATTTAGCTGACAATAATATTGCTATACTAGATTTACTTGGTTTAGTGTTTGACAGTATACGATTTTATCATTGTACATTCTATATTTTCAGCATGCATATTTAAAGAAGATATAGGTGGATTTTTCTTAAATTTTATTTTAGATACAGGGGGTACATGGGCAGTTTTATTACCTGGGTATGTTATGTGATACTGAGGTTTGGGGTATAAATCCTGTCATCCAGGTAGTGAGCATTGTATCCAATAGGTAGGTTTTCAACCCATGTGATATGGTTTGGCTGTGTCCCTACTCAAATCTCATCTTGAAATGTAACTCCCACACTTCCCACATGTGGGAGGGACCTAGTGGGAGGTAATTGAATCACGAGGGCAGGTCTTTCCCGTGCTGTTCTCGTGATAGTGAATAAGTCCCATGATATCTGATGGTTTTATAAAGGTGAGTTTCCCTCCACAAGTTCTCTTCTCTTGTCTGCCACCACATGAGACGTGCCTTTCGCCTTCCACCATGATTTATGAGGCCTCCCCAGCCACGTGGAACTGTAAGTCCATTAAATCACTTTCTTTTGTAAATTGCCCAGTCTTGGGTATGTCTTTATCAGCATCGTGAAAATGGACTAATACACCATGCTTCCCTCCCTCACTCCCCCCATTTAGTAGTTTATACTGTCAATTGTTCTCATGTTTATGTCCTTGTGTGCTCAATATTTAGCTCTGACTTATAAGTGAGAACATGCAGTATTTGGTTTTCTGTATTATTTCGCTTAAGATTATAGCCTCCAGCTGCATCTATGTTGCTGCAAAGAACATGATTTCATTCTTTTTTATGGCTGTGTAGTATTTCCTGGTGTATATGTACCACATTTTCTTCCAGTCCACTGTTGATGGACACCTAGGCTGATTTCACATCTTTGCTATTGTGAATAGCACTGTGATGAACATATGAGTGCATGTGTCTTTTTTCATAATTATTTCTTTCTTTGGGGTATATATACCTAGTAATGGGATTGCTGGGTTGAATGGTAGCTCTGTTTTAAGTTCTTTGAGAAATCTCCAGACTGTTTTCCACAGTGGCTGAACTAATTTACATTCCCATCAATAGTGTATACGCATTCCCTTTTCTCCACAGCCTCACCAGGATCTGTTATTATTTGACTTTTTAATAGTTGTTCTGACTGGTGTGAGATGGTATCTCATTGTGGTTTTGATTTGCATTTCTCTGATGATTGTGATAACAGCATTTTTTTTTCATGTTTGTTGGCTGCTTGTGTATCTTATTTTGAGAAGTTCCTGTTCCTATCCTGATATGGTTTGGCTGTGTCACCACTCAAAATCTCATCTTGAATTATAATCTCCATAATCCCTATAATCCACACGTGTCAAGGGAGATACCAGGAGGAGGTAATTGAATCAGGGCGGTGGTTTCACCCATGCCGTTCTTGTGATACTGAGTGAGTTCTCCTGAGATCTGATCATTTTATAAATGTTTGGTAGTTCCTCCTGCATTCATTCTCCTTCCTGCCACCTCTTGAAAAATTTGCCTTGCTTCCCCTTTGCCTTCTGCCATGACTGTAAGTTTCCTGAGGCCTTCCCAGCCATGCTGAACTGTGAGTCAGTTAAATCCTTTTCCTTTATAAATTACCCAGTCTCAGGCAGTTCTTTACAGCAGTATGAAAATGAACTAATATATGGCCTTTGCCCATTTTTTAATGAGGTTATTTGTTTTTTGCTTGTTGATGTGTTTCAGTTCCTTATAGATTCTGGATATTAGACCTTTATCAGATGTGTAGTTTGTGAATATTTTCTCCCATTCTGTAGGTTGTCCATTTACTCTGTTGATAGTTTTTTGTTTGTTTGTTTTTGTGCTGTGCAGATCTTTAGTTTAATTAGGTCCCACTTGTCAATTTGTCTTTTTTTTTTTATACAAGTGCTCTTGAAGACTTAGTAATAAATTATTGCCCAAGGCACTTGTCCAGAATGATGTTTCTTAGGTTTTCTTCCATGATTCTTATACTTTGAGGTCTTTCACCTAAATCTTTAACCCATCTTGAGTTGGATTTTTGTAAGTGGTAAAAGGTAGGGATCCAGTTTCATTTTCTTGCATATGGCTATACAGTTATCCTAGCACCATTTATTGAATAGGGAGTCCTTTCTCTACTACTTGTTTTTGTTGGCTTTGATGAAGATCAGGTGGTCAAATGTGTGTGTCTTTATTTCTGGGTTCTCTATTCTGTTCTATTGGTCTATATGTCTGTTTTTGTACCAGTACCATGCTGTTTTGGTTAGTGTGGCCCTATGGTATTGTTTGAAGTCAGGTAGTGTGGTGCCTCTGGCTTTGTTCTTTTCACTTAGGATTGCTTTGGTGTCTATTTGGCTTGTTTTTTTGGTTCTTATAAATTTTAGATATTTTTTCTAGTTCTGTGAAAAGTGACATGGGTAATTTGATAGAAATAGCATTGAATCTGTAGATTGCTTTGGGCAGTATGGCCATTTTTAATACTGATTCTTCCGATCCATGAGCATGGAATGTTTCTCCATTTGTGTTGTCTCTGATTTTTTTCTGTAGTGTTTTGTAGTTCTCCTTATAGAAATCTTTTACACCCTTATAGAAATCTTTCACCTTCTTGATTTATGTATTACTAGGTATTTCAATTTTTTGTGGCTATTGTAAATGAGATTGTGTTCTTGATTTGACTCTCAGCTTGAGCATTATTATTGTATAGAAATGCTACTAATTTTTGTACATTGATTTTGTATCCTGAAACTTTACTTTGAAGTTGTTTATCAGTTCTAGGAGCCTTTTGGTGGAGTCTTTAGGGTTTTCCATGTATAGAATCATATGATCAGTGATGAAAGATATTTTGACTTCTTTTCTTTTTTGGATGCTTTTTATTTCTTTATCTTGCCTGATTGCTCTGGCTAGAACTTCCAGTACTTTGTTGAATAGGAGTGATGAAAGTGGACATCTTTGTCTTGTTGCAATTCTTAAGGGGAATGGTTCCAGCTTTTGCCCATTAAGCATGATGTTGGCCTTGGGTGTGTCATAGATGGTTCTCATTATTTTGAGGTATGTTCCTTCAATGCCTAGTATGTATAGGGCTTTTATCATGAAATTATGTTGGATTTTATGAAAAGCTTTTTCTGTGTTTATTGAGATGGTCCTACATTTTTTGCTTTTAATTGTTAAGTAGTAGATCACATTTATTGATTTGCTCATGCTGAACCAGTCTTGCATCCCAGGAATAAAGCCTAATTAATTGTGGTGAATTAACTTTTTGATGTGCTGCTGAATTTGTTTTTTTTTTTAGTATTTTGTTGAGGATTTTGGCATCTTTAAAATCAGGGACATTGGTCTGTAGTTTTCTTTTTTCTTTGTGTCTCTGCCAGGGTTTGGTATCAGGCTGATGCTGGCTTTAAAGAATCAGTTAGTGAGGAGCCCCTTCTCTTTGATTTTTTTGGAATAGCTTCAGTAGAATTGGTACCAGTTCTTTGGACATATGGTAGATTCCATTTGCCTGTGAATCCATCTGATCCAGGGCTTTTTTCTGCTGGTAGACTTTTTATTACTGATTCAATTTCAAAACTTGTTATTAGTCTGTTCAGGTTTTCATATTCTTCGTTGTTTAATCTTGGGGGGTTGTGTGTTTGCTGGAACTTATCCATTTCCTTTAGATTTTCTATTTTGTGTTCATAGAGGTGTTCATAATAGTCTCTGAGGATCTTTTGTATTTCTGTGGAATCAGTTGTATGCCATCTTTGTTATTTCTGATTGCACTTATTTGGATCTTCTCCTTTGTTTTCATTGTTAATCTAGCTGTGTCATTCTGTAAAAGTCATAGGTATTTTCTCCTTCAGTACTGCCTCTACTCCATTCTTTCTATTATCTCTTCTAGGGTTCTGATTAAATCTTATTTATTCTTCATTTCTTTTATCTTGTCTTTCATGATTTTATTTTCCTTGCCTTTCTTGGTAATTTCTTTTTCCATTGAATTTGCATTTTGATTACTATGTATTTTTTGTTTCTTAAGTTCTGTTTGGTTCTTTTTCACCTGGTCATTTTTATAGTTTTTTGTCCCTTATTTTCATTTCAGATTTTAATTTGTTAACATTTCATACTTAGTTTTTAATGTTACTTTTCTAATAATTTTAATTTTCATTATCTATATCATTGATGATTTTTTTTTCTGCAGTTGTTTTGTTTTGTTTTAACTAATTGTGGCTTTTTCTTTGTAGAGTTAATAATTTTGATTGGGATTTTATGTTTGGTTAAACGTAGTCTATGGAAATGAATTTTCTCCAAAGAGGATTTATGTTAGTTTCTTCTTGTTTCCAGTGAGTACTACTGACTTACTATTCCTTTCCCCCTGAGGCTGCCAAATTCCTGTGTCTCAGGTGTAGCTCCTTGACATTGCATAGAGCCTATGGATATGTCCTCCAGTCCCAGTGATTCAGTAATGGTAAGGCTATTGTCCTTGGAATCCTTAGAGCTTACCTTTCTGATTTCAGTTTACTGTTTATTATGATCTTTACTGTTGTTATTATTAATCTTACTAGCTCATAGATATTTTCTTTATTTACTTGTGGGTATAATATGTATTGGAAAATTTTTCTAAATTTACACTATATCTAATTTTTTTTTTTTTTTTTGTGGAAGAAAGACCTTTAGATCTAATCTTCCTTATTGCTAGTAGAAATCTCTAGGGTATCTTTAAACAAAATAGTCTTTTATTGCCTCAAAAGTCAGGCTCATTTCCTGACTTTTTTTTTAATCACCTTATACTGCATCAGATGGTGAAAACAATTGAAAAGTGTTTATTATGGTTATTTTATGTGTCAAATTGACTGAGCCAAAGGATGTCCAGATCGTTGGTTAAACATTATGCCTGGGTGTGCCTGTGAGGGTGTTTCTGAATAAGAAGAACATTTAACATTTGGATTGATAGACTGAGGAAAGCCGGTTGCCCTCCCCAATGTGGGTAGGCCTCACCCAATCTGTTGAAGGCCTGAATAGAAAAAGAGACTGAATAAGAAGGAATTCTGCCTTTCTTTCTAACTGTCTTTGAGGTGGGACATCAGTCTTCTCCTGCCTTTGGCCTCAAACTCAGACTGGAGTTTACACCATCAGCTCTCCTGCTTCTCAGGCCTTTGGACTCAGACTGCAACTATCCCATCAGTTTTCCTGGTTCTAGATTTAGTCTCTATAATCATGTGAACCAATTTCTTATTAATAAATAAATACCTATCTACATACTTACCATTTGGTCCTCTTTCTCTAGAGAACCCTGACTAATACAATGTTCTAGAAAATATTGGCAATAGCGGTCAATGTAAATCCTGTCCCATCTTTTACTAGTAAGCACTTGAATATGGTTGTTGTATTAGTTAATTTTTATACTACTGATAAAGACATACCCAAGACTGGGCAATTTACAAAAGAAAGAGATTTAATGGACTTACAGTTCCATGTAGCTGGGGAGGCTTCACAATCATGGTGGAAGGTGAAAGGCACCTTCTCACATGTCAGCAGACAAGAGAAGAGAGAGCTTGTAAAGGGAAACTCCTGTTTTTAAAACCATCAGATCTCGTGAGACTCACTATCACGAGAACAGCATGGGAAAGACCTGCCCCCATGATTCAATTACCTCCCACCAGGTCCCTCCCACAACACATGGCAATTCATGATGAGATTTGGGTGGGGACACAGCCAAACCACATCATTTCATCCCTGGCCCCCCCCAAATCTCGTCCTCACATTTCAAAACCAATTTTGCCTTCCCCCAAAGTCTTAGCTCTTTTCAGCATTAACTCAAAAGTCCACAGTCCAAAATCTTATCTGAGACAAGGCAAGTCCCTTCTGCCTATGAGCTAGCAAAATGAAAAGCAAGTTAGTTACTTCCTAGATACAATGGGGGACAGGCATTGCATAAAGACACCCATTCCAAATGGCAGAAATTGGCCAAAACAAAGGGGCTACAGGCCCCATGCAAATCTGAAATCCAGCAGGGCAATCAAATCTTAAAGCTCCAAAATGATCTCATTTGACTCCCTGTCTCACATCCAGGTCACACTGATGCAAGAGGTGGGTTCCCATGGTTTGGGGCAGCTCTGACCCTGTGGCTTTGCAGGGCACAGCCTCCCTCCTGGCTGCTTTCATGGGCTGGTGTTGAGTGTCTGTGGCTTTTCCAGGCATATGGTGCAAGCTGTTGGTGGATTTACCATTCTGGGGTTTGGAGGACGGAGACCCTCTTCTCACAGCTCCAATAAGTGGTGCCCCAGTAAGGACTCTGTGTGGGGGTTCCAACCCCACATTTCCCTTCTGCACTGCCCTAGCCTAGCAGAGGTTCTCCATGAGGGCCTGCCCCTGCAGCAAACTTCTCCCTGGGCATCCAGGTGTTTCCATACATCTCCTGAAACCTAGGTGGAGGTTTCCAACCCCCAATTCTTGAATTCTATGCACTTACAGGCTCAACACCACCTAGAAGCTGCCAAGGCTTGTGGCTTGCACCTTCTAAAGCGATGGCCTGAGTTGTACCTTGGCCCCTTTTAGTCATGGCTGGGGTGGCTGGAAAGCAGGGCACTAAATCCCTAGTCTGGCACAGCACTGGGACCCTGGGCCGGGCCCATGAAACCACTCTTTCCTCCTAGGCCTCCAGGCTGTGATGGGAGGGGCTGCTGTTAGCTGTTAAGACCTCAGACATGCCCTGGAGACATTTCCCTCATTGTTTTGGGGATTAACATTTGGCTCCTTGTTACTTATGCAAGTTTCTGCAGTGGGCTTGAATTTCTCTTAAGAAAATGGGATTTTCTTTTCTATCACCTTGTCAAGCTGCAAATTTTCCAAACTTTTATACTCTTTTTTCCTCGTAAAACGGAGTGCCTTTGACAGCACCCAAGTCACCTGTGAATGCTTTGTTGCCTAGAAATTTCTTCCTTCAGATACCGCAAATTATCTCTCTCAAGTTCAAAGTTCCACAGATCTCTAGAACAGGGGCAAAATATTGCCAGTCTCTTTGTGAAAACATAACAAGAGTCACCTTTGCTCCAGTTCCCAACAAGTTCCTCATCTCCATCTGAGATCACCTCAGCATGGACTTCATTGTCCATATCACTATCAGCATTTTGGGCAGAGCCATTCAACAAGTCTCTAGGAAGTTCCAAACTTTCCCACATTTTTCTTCTACTTTTGAGCCCTCCAAACTCTTCCAACCTCTGCCTGTGACCCAGTTCCAAAATCGCTTCCACATTTTTGGGTATCTTTCCAGTAACGCCCGACTCTACTGGTACCCGTTTACCGTATTAGTTAGTTTTCACACTGGTGGTAAAGACGTACCCAAGACTGGGCAATTTATGAAAGAAAAAGGTCTACTGTGAAACTGGCATTTTTTTTGTGGTCAAATTCACTGAAGAAAATCCAGGAATGTGGAAGAAGATAAATGGTAATTTAGTGTTCATTAGTTTATGTGATTCTATACTTAAATGGAGACTACCCTCAGTTTTTCCAGGGAAGCGATTTCAGTGCTTTTCTACACACGGTTCTTTAAGAGGCATTCTATTATTAACAAGTAAAATGCAGTGAATCACCAAATGCTGGAGTGTTTCTCTGTTATGCATACTAACAGAAAATAAACAATATGACTAATGACAAGAACTATGACCAAGGTCTGCTGTTTCTTAATATTTTCTCTCTCTCCCCTTTCAATCTCTCCTCCCCTGATAAATACAAATATTGTGTTAAGAATTTAAATAGCTTGTGTACTTAGAATCTTCACATAGATATTAGATTTATTAAAATTACTAATTTAATGTGTTTTAAATATTTAACATAAAAACTTTTAACACGTTAAATTTAAATCACTAAGCCAATGAATTGAAGGTGATTGTGGGGATAATTAGGTTTCAAAATTGTCCCTTAAATTAAAAAATAATCACTGTCCAGAAGAAATTCTTAGGAGATAATTTAATTAACTTGGTTCTTGCCAGGCAACCCCTTTCTACTTTTCTTGTAAATGACCTCAGCTTGATAGAACTTGACCAGCTGTTCTGTGTATTGGTTACAGGGCTCAACTTCAGCTTATTAAACTAGCCAGGTTGCTTTGATAATAGTCCCAGGTTTCATTCCTGCAAATGTTCCTGCCTCCATAACAGCTGGGCCCTGGTTTTCTAACCCCCCTGCCTTAGAAGTCATAGTGGCAAGTCTCAGCCACTTTGACCCCTTCGTCTGCTCTGCTTGGATGAATTTATTTCAGTTTAGGATCTCCTGTTACAACTCCCTTGAAATCTACAAGGAGCAAAGGCAGTCTAGCCTTGCTGCATGGAGTCTTGGCATCCAGTTATACCATTAGGATGCTTTAGGGTCCAGTGAAAGAAACCAGAATTTAAACTGGGGTGAACACAGGCATATGTTATTTTATAAGGGGAATCCTGGGGGGACAGCAAACTCCAGGATTACTTAATCAGTGAATTCCACTAGCTATTCAAGAGCCAAGGTTCTTTTGTTCCTCTGTTATGTCCTCTTGGGCAGAAGCTTTATCCTCAGGCTGATACCAAATTGCTGGTAGCAGTTCCAGGCATCATTTCCAAATATAACCATATCCCCAAGATGAAGAGAATTATTTCTTGCTTGTTTTTTTTCTCTGTCGTGCTGAACCCCTATAGACTCCAGTGGGGATGGCATCAGGTTCAAGAGGCTGAAGAAGAGACCCAAAACCAGCAAACAAGACATGGGGTTTCACTGGGGCCTTACATACAGGGGAGAGAGTCCAGTGGTGGCAGGCTAGAGAGAATAATTGCACAGCCCAGTGGGAGCAGACTGGGCAGAAGAACTACAACTACTTGCAAAAAACATGAGGTTTATGTAGTATTTTCTCATAACCCTCTTTCCCTAACAACCTCCACCTGGTAACCTTCATGCAACACAAAACGTGGGCCTTGATCCCGTGTATGGCCCATATGCCACAGGGTGGGCTAAGGGCTCAGAGTTTCCCATAGACAATGAACAAACTTGCTGGTTGGCCACTCCTGGATTCCCTAGCTCAGAACACATATTCAGGTATGTCTGCCATACAGGGAAATTCTCAGGGTATGCTTAAGTTATTGCTATCAGGCACATTTACTGTATACTGTCTAAAGAGAGAGAAAATTGGTTTTTCTTTTTTCCCCCTGAAGTGCTATCCACCATCTGTCCTTCCACCAGCAGATTTCACCTCATATGAAAGTGGCTAGAGTTAAGTTACATTTGAACCCTAAAGCCTTCATGGCAAAGGGAATGGTAATGACCATTCCATCAGGCACCCCTTGAGTAGGGGATGAGGTCTCATCCTCTGAAATACATGGTGATGTGTGGGAGGTTGGTTATCTTAACAACATATGGATTTTATTAAGATGAAATAAGGGACAAAAGATGCTGGGTAGGCACCCTATAGAACCTGCCATGTCCCTTTGCACCACTTACTCTGTTATGCATGGAAGCCTGGGCTGTGGAATCAGGCAGATATGATTCAAGCCCTAAAGAAACCTTGGTCTCTCCAGCTGACTTTGATCAAGTTACTTAACTTTTATGAGGCTCAGGATTTTTTAATCCTTAAAGTGGATATCAGTACCTTTCAGGGTTATTGAAATGATTAAATAAGAGTAGCAATAACAACCATAAAACAGAAAAGGTTTATAGAGTTCTGGACTTACTAAGTTATTTTCCCTTCCACTTCATTAACCTGTCAACTCCCCATCCCTGGCAAAATGACTTAAAATTTTACAAATTGTATTTATTGTTTTTCTGACAAAGATTTTGCTGGAGAAACACAATGTAGGGGTGGGTTGCCCCTACACACCTGTGGGTGTTTCTCGTAAGGTGGGACGAGAGATTTGGAAAAGAAAAAGACACAGAGACAAAGTATAGAGAAAGAAATAAGGGGAACCGGGGAACCAGCGTTCAGCATATGGAGGATCCCGCCAGCCTCTGAGTTCCCTTAGTATTTATTGATCATCTGTGGGTGTTTCTCAAAGAGGGGGATGTGTCAGGGTCACAAGACAATTGTGGGGAGAGGGTCAGCAGACAAACACGTGAACAAAGGTCTTTGCATCATAGACAATGTAAAGGATTAAGTGCTGTGCTTTTAGATATGCATACACATAAACATCTCAATGCTTTACAAAGCAGTATTGCTGCCCGCAGGTCCCACCTCCAGCCCTAAGGCGGTTTTTCCCTATCTCAGTAGATGGAGCATACAATCGGGTTTTATACCGAGACATTCCATTGCCCAGGGACAGGCAGGAGACAGATGCCTTCCTCTTGTCTCAACTGCAAGAGGCATTCCTTCCTCTTTTACTAATCCTCCTCAGCACAGACCCTTTACGGGTGTCGGGCTGGGGGACGGTCAGGTCTTTCCCTTCCCACGAGGCCATATTTCAGACTATCACATGGGGAGAAACCTTGGACAATACCTGGCTTTCCTAGGCAGAGGTCCCTGCGGCCTTCCGCAGTTTTTGTGTCCCTGGGTACTTGAGATTAGGGAGTGGTGATGACTCTTAAGGAGCATGCTGCCTTCAAGCATCTGTTTAACAAAGCACATCCTGCACCGCCCTTAATCCATTCAACTCTGAGTTGACACAGCACACGTTTCAGAGAGCACGGGGTTGGGGGTAAGGTTATAGATTAACAGAATCTCAAGGCAGAAGAATTTTTCTTAGTACATAACAAAATGGAGTCTCCTATGTCTACTTCTTTCTACACAGACACAGTGACAATCTGATCTCTCTTGCTTTTCCCCACATTTCCCCCTTTTCTTTTTGACAAAACCGCCATCGTCATCATGGCCCGTTCTCGATGGTTGCTGTCTCTTCAGAGCTGTTGGGTACACCTGCAGACTAACAACAGACAAAACAGGCACACAAGGATTAATATGAGATTTATAATTGTAGTACTTCCAATGGTCTTAACCCAAGTGACAGGGTTAAGATTTGCGAGGCCATCAGCAACTCCTGCAATTGCCTCAGTTCCTGGCACCAAATTTAAATGGGCTTTTGATGCTTTGAAAATTTGTTCTTTTAATTTGGAAATGTCTAAAGTGAGATTATCTTCTCTTCCCTGTAGATGGCGTCTAACCATGTCCCAGTGATGCTCAGACTCATTATAAATTTGGGGTGTAATACAAAAATCTGACGTATTCCAGTCACATTGTAACTGGAAACGATGTTCTAAGCTCATGAGTCTGTCTCCCATCCAAATGACAGTTTGTCTAAGATCATTAATTTGATTTGCCAATTTTTGATCAATACTAGATTGTGAATTCCACAATCTTGTAGAATTTTTTTGCCAATCATTAACAAAGTTTACTGACTGAACAGAAGAGTGCAATGCAACTCCTGCTACAGCACCCGTAGCTGTGACTGCAATTAATCCCATAATCACTGCAATTAAAGTAAAAATGAATCTTTTGGATCTATTTAAAACACCTTTTAATACTTCAGTCAAAATATGGATGGATGGTGAGGCCTCCCACGGTCGGTCCATGGACACAGGGATCCACACGCCCTCTCTTGCTCTCACCAGCAGAATACGGTGTTGCCAATTAAAAGTTGAATCAATGCAAGTAAGCAATCTACAATTTTCACAGGTTATAGTCTGGGAGTCTGGTTTAATAACTATATTTCCTACAACTAGCATATAAGGGGGCTTTACGCAACTTTGTAAAGGAACTGTTAGACTGGAATTTAGGTCGACAGTATAAAATGGCTTACGATCTCTTGTTTCTAAAGTTTGATTTCCAGACCAAATTCTAATGTGGTGTGAGGCCACAGTAAGCCTCCATAATTCTGGATGTTCAGGACCAGAAACAGGACTTACTATTTTTGGTCTTGGGGTAGAGATTCCTTTTTCTCCCCATTCCCAAGGGTAGAAAGACTGCAATTTTTTATGCTTATGTTTGTCTAAACTTTCTGTTAAGTCGCTATCAACAGCTGGACTCACTTGTGCACTTGGACACGACTGAGTTTGTCCTGAGCAATTGTGGTAGAATTGACCTCGAGGTGCCCAATCTATAATAGTTCCAAATTCATTGTTTTGTAATATCACCGCACTATTGGCCACACATTCTTCCCAAACTAAAACTTCTGTATTTTTTGATTCTTTGGGAATTTCCTTGGGGCAAGGTTTCCCTTTAGGTCTAAATTTTAATGATCTTTGATAAGAAAAGTCTTGTAAATAATTTACCCGTGGCCTGAGTGACATCCCGCTTACCATGTGATAAGTGAATCTACTGATGGGACTGACAATAGGTACTTCTACCAACCAGTTTTGGACTGCAGGCATTAAACATCCTGGTGCTGTCCCTAAGCAAATAGGAGGATAACGATACCCAATGGAAATATTTATCATCATCCCTTCTTCCTCAGGTTTGGCAGGGCAGCGATCATCTATGGGGCCAGGTACCCATACACTATCATTAACATATACTTCTATAGGATTATCCATCCATGTGACTGCCCGAATTAAGGGCGGGAAAGGCACATAGGCCCAGTAGGTATAGTTAGCTGCAGCTGCTCCTGCAGGCATAGGGAGACTTACCACCATTGATACAATCATCAAGGCTGCAAGCAGCATACTCTCTGGGGTTTGTGTCACCTTTGTGTTCTCTAGATATTTTGTAGCTAACTGCGTCAGCTTCTTTAGTTGTGCCCAAGTTGGCGGCTCTGCCTTCTTGGTGGATGGCAACTTCATCTGTTCTTCTGACGTCACCATTTTGTTCATCTTGTGAGTCAACGGTGCTCGATTGCGGTGTCTCCGTCTCCGCGGAGGTGCTTTTCTTTGCATCTCTGATGGGTTCATTGTAGAACTTCAAATGTCTAGTGGGTATCCAAACAGGAAGCTGATTTTCTCCTGGTGAAACACAAGCAAAACCTCTCCCCCACGTTATCACCTTCCCTATTTCCCATGTCTTATTTTTATTATCTTTCCACCAAATTAGTTTTCCTTCATGTGGGCTGTTCTTTTTACCAGTAAGATGTTGTTCTGCAGAAGTAGTAGTCTGATTTCTATAAATGTTTAAAAAATTTAAAGTATAGAGTGCTAGATTAAGTTGCATCTGAGGAGTGGTACACTCCTTACTGTCTCCCCCTTCTTTTTGTTTAACTAATTGAGTTTTGAGTGTTCTATTAGTTCTTTCAACTATGGCCTGTCCTTGGGAATTATAAGGAATTCCTGTTGTATGTGAAATTTTCCACTGACTTAAGAATTTTTGGAAAGCTTTACTACAATATCCTGGTCCATTGTCAGTTTTGATTTTTTCTGGAACTCCCATTACAGCAAAACAAGACAATAAGTGTTTTTTAACATGGGAAGTACTTTCTCCTGTGTGGCAAGTTGCCCATATGAAATGTGAATAAGTATCAACTGTTACATGAACATATGATAATCTTCCAAATGAAGGTACATGCGTGACATCCATTTGCCATAATGCATTAGGACACAGACCTCTGGGATTAACTCCTGCCTCTTGAGTGGGCAGGTGTAAGACTTGACACTGGGTGCAATGTTGTACAATATCTTTTGCCAGTTTCCATGTGACATCAAATTTGTTTTTTAATCCTGCTGCATTTACATGAGTCAAAGCATGAAGTTCTTGTGCTTTTATGAGTGCAGATGATACCAGTAAGTCAGCTTGTTTATTTGCTTTAGTCAAAGGCCCTGGTAAATTAGTGTGTGCTCGAATATGAGTAATATAGAATGGGAAATTTCTTTTTCTTACAGTTTGTTGTAATAAATTGAATAGCTGGTTTAACTGATCATCCATGCTATATTTAATTAGAGCTGTCTCAACATCCCTTGTAGCCTGTACTACATAGGCAGAATCTGATATAATATTGATATCAAAATCTTGTAACACTGTAATGACTGCAACCAACTCTGCTCTTTGAGCCGATTGATATGGAGTTTTGATTACTCGTTCTTTCGGCCCTGTGTAAGCTGCTTTTCCATTGCTGGAACCATCAGTAAATACTGTTAGAGCATTTTCTAAAGGTTCACGTCTGGTAATTTTAGGTAGAATCCAAGTAGTCAATTTTAAGAACTGGAAGATCTTTGTTTTTGGGTAATGATTATCAATAATTCCCACAAAATTAGCAAGACCAATCTGCCATGCACCAGAATTGATAAAGGCTTGTCTAACTTGTTCCTTGGTTAAAGGGACAACTATTTTGTCTGGGTCATTTCCACATAATTTTATTATTCGTAATCTTGTCTGACCAATTAATGTAGCTATTTGATCCAAGTACAGTGTAAAAGTCTTAACTGTACTGTGAGGAAGGAATGACCACTCCACAAGATCAGTATTTTGAATAATGATGCCTGTTGGAGAATGTGCAGTGGCAAAAATCAAAAGTTGGAGTGGGGCTAAGGGATCTATTCTATTTATTTGCGCTGACTGAATTTTTTCTTCCACTAATTTAATTTCTTTTGTTGCCTCTGGGGTTAACATTCTTTTACTATTTAAGTCTGAGTCTCCTCTTAAGATAGAGAACAAATTTGACATGGCATAAGTAGGAATGCCTAGAGTTGGCCGAATCCAATTAATATCTCCTAGTAATTTTTGAAAATCATTTAGTGCTTTTAATGTGTCTTTTCTTATTTCTATTTTTTGTGGCTTAATTTTTCTATTTTCTATCTGCATCCCTAAATAATGAAAAGGAGTAGAGGTTTGGATCTTATCAGATGCTATTGCCAGTCCAGCATTGGCAACCTCTGCCTGCAGAAATGTATAACAGTCAATTAATTTATCTTTCGTTTCTGCAGCACATAAAATATCATCAATATAATGAATAATATAACAGTCTGAAAACTTTTCTCTAACTGGTTGAAGAGCTCGACCTACAAAAGTCTGACAAATAGTTGGACTATTAAGCATTCCCTGAGGTAACACTTTCCACTGAAACCTGGTGGCTGGTTCTTTATTATTTATGGCTGGTATAGTAAAGGCAAATTTTTCACAATCCTGCTCTGCCAGAGGGATGGTAAAAAAGCAATCCTTTAGATCAATTATAATTAAAGGCCAATCTTTTGGGATCATGGCTGGAGATGGCAACCCAGGTTGGAGAGGCCCCATGGGTTGAATTACGGCGTTTACAGCCCTTAAGTCAGTTAACATACGCCATTTGCCTGATTTCTTCTGAATTACAAACACAGGAGAATTCCAAGGTGAGAACGAAGGCTCAATATGACCCTTTTCTAACTGTTCATTTGCTAATAAATGTAAAGCCTCCAGTTTTTGTTTTGGTAGCGGCCACTGATTTACCCACACCGGTTTTTCTGTTTTCCAAGTTAATGGTATGGGTTTAGGAGGCTCTACAGTGGCCGCCCCTAAAAAGGATACCCTATTCCTTCTCTTTTTTGATTTATTTTAGCCTCAACTGGAATTTTAATGCCATCTTCATTTTTCCCTAGTCCCTTTCCTGGTATATATCCCATCTTGGTCATGATTTTTTGACTCGTGGGGCTATATAATGGAGCGGGCATGGTGATTTCCGCACCCCATTGTTGTAATAAATCTCGACCCCACAGATTAAGAGGAATTGAAGTAATCATTGGCTGAACAGTACTTTCTTGATTATCTGGCCCTAAGCAATGTAAAATCTCAGTACTTTGATACACTTCTGAGGCTGTGCCTACGCCGACAAGTCCTGTAACAGCCTTTTGTTTAG
Organism: Homo sapiens; assembly: GCF_000001405.40. Taxonomy (NCBI): domain Eukaryota; kingdom Metazoa; phylum Chordata; class Mammalia; order Primates; family Hominidae; genus Homo; species Homo sapiens. The sequence goes on along the minus strand of NC_000011.10, from coordinate 101,698,639 downwards.
GCCAATTTTTTGGCCACTGATTTAAAGCAATGATAGAGACATCTGCTCCAGTGTCTACCAACCCTTCAAACTGTTTTCCTTGAATAATGGCCTTACACACAGGTCTGTTCTCTGAGACCTGACTTGCCCAATATGCAGCCTTTCCTGTTGGATCAGTGCTTACAAGCCCTCCTATTCTTTTTATTTCACTATTTCCACCCTTAATATATGGCAGGAGTAATAATTGAGCAATCCTGTCTCCTGGAATGGCACTCCAAGGAATTGAAGAGCTAATAACCAATTGAATTTTGCCTTTATAGTCTGAATCAACCACACTAGTATGAATTTGAACTCCTTTTAGATTTAGACTTGATCTTCCCAAGATTAGTCCTACAGTCCCCTCAGGCAGGGGGCCATATACCCCTGTGGGGATTTTTTGTGGGGGCTCCCCTGGAAGCAGAGAGACTGCTTGTATAGTACATAAATCTACTGCTGCACTGCCGCTTGTGGCGGGGGACAATTGTTGTATTGTGGTAACTGGCTTATTCCCTGAAACACTTGGGACAGTGGGGGTTGTTGTCCCTGAAAACCCTGAGGAACAAATGGCTGAATTGGGAATGCCCCAGTTTGTTGTGGGGCCTGAGGCTGGCCCCTTTGCTCGTTTCCCGACAATGGTTGCCCATTTTTATCAAATTTAGAACGACATTGACTAGCCCAATGTTTTCCTTTTTTACATCTTGGACATAAGTCAGGTGGCTCTCTACCTGTTGTAGTTGCTTGAATAGTTATATTCTGTTTGTTTAAGACTGGGCAATTCTTTTTTAAGTGACCAATTTGACCACAATTATAACATTTTCCTCCAAATGTTCTAACTTGTCCTCCTAAAACAACTCCTGTTATTGCTTGAGCCATAAGCATAGCTTTATGCATAGCTCCTCCGATTCCATCACAGGCTTTTACATATTCTGAGATTACATCTGATCCTGCAGGAACCTTTCCTTTTAATGGCTTAATGGCTGATTGACACTCAGGATTGGCGTTTTCATATGCCATCAACTCCACTATGACCTTACGGGCTTTTTCATCGGCAATTGACTTTTGAGCAACATCTTGGAGCCTTGCCACAAAATCAGGATAGGGCTCTTTTGAACCTTGTCTTACTGTATTAAATGAGGGGCAGGTACTTCCTGGGTCTTGGATTTTTTCCCAGGCTCTAAGGCAGATAGCTCTAACTTGCTCAATGGCCTCATTTTGCATTAATGCTTGTTGACTAATAGTACTCCAATTTTGACCTATTCCTAATAGTTGATCTGCATCTATGTTAACTGGAGGATTGGCAGCCCTATTTCTTCGGACCTGTTCTTGTACCCCATCAATCCACCAAGTCTTAAATTGTAAAAATTGAGAGGGTGAGAGAGACGATTTTGCCAGAATCTCCCAATCATAAGGAATGAGTCTATGTCCATGAGCAATGGAATCTAATAATGTCCTCATATAAGGGGAGTTGGGTCCATACTGTTTTACTCCTTCTTTCATATCTTTTAGCATTTTTATCGAAAAAGACTTGTATCTGGCCTCAACTGTGGGAGGCTCTCCCTCTTGGGCTCCTTCTCCAGGTGGCTTCGGTTCTAACGTTACTGGGAATTGCCATGCCTCAGTATCTCCTTCCTTTCTTGATTTATCAATAATTTCATGTAATTCACTACCCTGTCTACTAGGTGGTGCCGTAGGATTAAGTCTCCTAGTGGGTGGCTGAGGGTATGGCGCCCTGCCCTGTGGTGCTGGGGGCATTCCTGGATATCCATACTGACTTTCTGGGGGTGGCCGATACTGAAGTTCAGCCGGCGGCCAGTATTGATAAGCTACTGGCGGTTGGGTCTTATTTTCTTTAACCTGCGTTTGAGGTTGTAATCTTACGGGCACCTGACCTGCTGGAAGAGGACTTGTGCCTCATGGTTTAGACTCTGATGGCCCCACTAATTCTGGACCTTTTCCTTCTAATTTTAACGTTTCAGGATATATCACCTCCTGTAATTGATTATAGTCAACATTTTGCGTTGACTGAGCCATTACCGGCTCTGCTACATATTCACAATGTAAACCTTCCGTTTCTTTCTGGGATTTTTTCCTTGTCTTTTCATTACAATCTATTAAACAGCTTCCAGGGGCATCAGAAACTGAAATGCTATCTTCTTCTGTTTGAAATGGTTCTAAAGCTGCTTTAATAATGGCCCAATCATTCCATACTGTAAGTGGAATGATATTACCCTTCCTACCTGCTTGTTTTAGTTCCTTACCAATTCTTTTCCAATCTTTTAGATCTAAAGTTCCTTGTTCTGGAAACCATGGGCAAAATTGTTCTATTATTTGAAATAGCTTGATTAGATTTTTTGTAGATACTTTAACTCCCCCTCTTTTTAAAAGAATTTTAATAAAGCTGAGATAAGAGGCATATTTACTTTTAATTTTACTTTTAGTTTGCCCCATTATCACCCTAGCTTCTTCCGAGCACACAAGCTTACCGTAAGGCTGACTGTAGACGTACTCGGGATCTCTCGTCGACTTGTCCTCAATGACCACGCTCGAGCGTACCTTCACCCTAGAGAAAAGCCTCCACGTTGGGCACCAGATGTAGGGGTGGGTTGCCCCTACACACCTGTGGGTGTTTCTCATAAGGTGGGACGAGAGATTTGGAAAAGAAAAAGACACAGAGACAAAGTATAGAGAAAGAAATAAGGGGAACCGGGGAACCAGCGTTCAGCATATGGAGGATCCTGCCAGCCTCTGAGTTCCCTTAGTATTTATTGATCATCTGTGGGTGTTTCTCAAAGAGGGGGATGTGTCAGGGTCACAAGACAATTGTGGGGAGAGGGTCAGCAGACAAACACGTGAACAAAGGTCTTTGCATCATAGACAATGTAAAGGATTAAGTGCTGTGCTTTTAGATATGCATACACATAAACATCTCAATGCTTTACAAAGCAGTATTGCTGCCCGCAGGTCCCACCTCCAGCCCTAAGGCGGTTTTTCCCTATCTCAGTAGATGGAGCATACAATCGGGTTTTATACCGAGACATTCCATTGCCCAGGGACAGGCAGGAGACAGATGCCTTCCTCTTGTCTCAACTGCAAGAGGCATTCCTTCCTCTTTTACTAATCCTCCTCAGCACAGACCCTTTACGGGTGTCGGGCTGGGGGACGGTCAGGTCTTTCCCTTCCCACGAGGCCATATTTCAGACTATCACATGGGGAGAGACCTTGGACAATACCTGGCTTTCCTAGGCAGAGGTCCCTGCGGCCTTCCGCAGTTTTTGTGTCCCTGGGTACTTGAGATTAGGGAGTGGTGATGACTCTTAAGGAGCATGCTGCCTTCAAGCATCTGTTTAACAAAGCACATCCTGCACCGCCCTTAATCCATTCAACTCTGAGTTGACACAGCACACGTTTCAGAGAGCACGGGGTTGGGGGTAAGGTTATAGATTAACAGAATCTCAAGGCAGAAGAATTTTTCTTAGTACATAACAAAATGGAGTCTCCTATGTCTACTTCTTTCTACACAGACACAGTAACAATCTGATCTCTCTTGCTTTTCCCCACACACAATATCAAAGTTCTTCCACATCTAGTATATATTATCCTATTTTGTTTCCTTTCTGAGCATGGAAGTGTTTGTTGAGCTAGAGTGTTAGCAAAATTTTTATTTATAAAATGAAATGTTAATGGTTATATAACCTGCCTAACACAAAGACAGTGCCATGTTGTTCTAACTGAGGGAACTGTATATTATGCAGAAGGGTGAGAATCAGATACACTAGACATGAAATGTTTGTCGACTTATCAGAAAACCTAAAATCCCCAAACAGACAGGTAGACGATGACCCCACTGCCATGAAATCTCATCTAACCTAGTTTCAAACAATGTTTTGAAACAGAGCTGGTTGCAGGCCAGTGATACCCAAGTTGAAATTGAGTGGTAGCCATGCAAATAAATCCCACACCAATTTACCATTGCAAATAAATTGGATGGTTCTCCCTAAAATACTTGAATTCACCCTTGATGAGTTCAATTTCATTAGGTGGAAGGATGTAATATGCGATGAGTTATGAGAGCTGATTTAGGGGAAAACATTGACACAAGATTCAGAGCTGCATTCCCTGTGTTGATGAGTTCACCAACTGTTCATTTACAATTTGCCAGTAAATACGTGTTGAGAGTATTACTTCCCCTCCTTTCTCAGTCTATAATTTTTTACCTTTTCCTCTACGGTAGCTGAACATAGACAAAAAAATCTGACTTTCCCCATTTCCTGCCTTAGGGAGTGTGGTCTTCTTGAGGCTGTGAAGAGGAATGCATTTCACCTGCATGGGGAGCCATGGCAGAGAGGGAGCAGCAATTTGAGCTGTAGCTGATCCTTGACACTATCTCCTCACTGGTATGGGAGGTAGCTGCCTATAATGAAGTGCCATGTTCTCCAGGCCTAGGATATTCTCTAGGCTTGGCCTCATATTTCATGCTTGGAACTTCTATTCTTACCTAATTTCTCCAGATTTTGCCCTGCTCTCCACCTCTGTAGAGCCCTTCCATACCCACAACTTGATTGGATGTTCTGCCCAACTTTCAGTCGCTGGTTCTCTTAATGATGCCAGCTCTCAGTTGCTGCACTCAGGGCTGGAAGGCACAGCCATGCAAAGACACCCTACCACCAGGCTCCCCCTGGTTCCCCAGAGGGCAGCCCTATAGCCCAGACCCTGCTCCGGTGTTCCTATTGTCTTGATGTGGGGACAGGGCATAGCTAAATTGCAATCGATCATGGATATGCTGTTAGATCTAGGCTTAGTCTCAGTTCTGCTGTTTTCTGTGTGGTCGTGGATTCACACCTCTTCTATAAGCCTAGGTTTCTTCATCTGTAAAATGCTAATAAATTTATTTACCTCAAAAAGTCTGCTTTATGGAACTTTATAAATATTTTCTTATTCTCAAGTAATATGAAATTAGAATGTATTACTTGACTTATAGAATAAAGACAAAATAATACCTAAACACTTTCACTATTACCCTCTTTTATCTTAGAGTATATGGGTGAATGCTTGGAAATTTGGATATTAAAACTGTACTCTGAGCCAGGCATGGTGGCTTACGCTTGTAATCTTGGGAGGCTGAGGTGGAAGGATTGCTTGAGGCCAGGAGTTTTAAATCAGCCTGGGCGACACAGCAAAATCCCATCTCTACAAATAATAATAATAATTAGCCAGGGGAGGTGGCCTGTTCCTGTAGTCTCAGCTAGTTGTGAGGCTGAAGTGGGAGGGCCACTTGAGCCCGGGGGTTCAAGGTTACTGTGAGCTGATTGTGCCACTGCACTCCAGCCTGAGTGACAGAGTGAGGACCTGTCTCTAAAAAAAAGAAAACAACAACAAAAAAACTCTATTTTATTCTGAGTGTAAGCATCCTTACTGCTTGAAACATCCATGTTTTTATCTGTGTCAGCATTTACTGTATACAATTTTCCCTCTGTGTGAATGTACAAGGTACAGAAGAAAAAAATCATTCTAATGTATATTATAATTTGTTAGTGAATCAGCAAATTATTATCTGGAGCCAAGACACCTAAAGGCAACAGCCTTCCATTGGTTTGTGTCCCAAAAGGCTGCTTTGTTTTGTCTGTGGGAAGAAATCACTCCCAGTTCAGTAGATAAGGATGATGCTGTTCAAAGGTAATAGCAGATATACAGTATATATAGTAGAATTTGTGACTCTTGGAGGAATTACTTTTTTAAGCCATTAATTTAATCTGTTGACATATGTTTATGAACATCTATATTATGTCTAGGACTGTGGTTACAAAGACAAGGATCCCACTTTTGAGGGTCTGGAGTTCAGCCAGAAAGTTAAAGTAGCATGTTCTAAAATGGGAAGATGGATATATTAACTAGATTTTTGGCAGGTGACAATGATACAGAGGGATAGAAGGCTCAAAAATAGCATAAAGACAAGTATTTGCAGGGGCATGAAGAATAATGACCTGAGAGTTGTTGTAGACTTAGGTTTTTAGAAGTCATTTTGAAAAAGTCTGAGATGAAGGAAGCAATCAGGTCATCTTGGAGACAGAGCCAAAGTTGTACAGGACAGGGGCTTATCTTTTGATTGGACAAAAGATGACAAGTTGATGTCCCAGTAATTCAAAAGCCACTTCTGTCTCATAACTGTGTAACACTTAGGTATATTTCTGAACTTTCTACAAAACTGGATTAATCTATTGATAACTGGTACAAAGAGAGAGTGTACCTTAATGGTTAAGGATGAGGCCTCTGTGGACAGACAGCCTGGGTTTCAATCTTGGCTTTGTCGTTAGGACCTATAAACTTCAGCAAGTAGCTCTGCCTTTCTGTGTCTGAGTTGTTAATGTATTAGTACCTCAAACAACATACATTTATTATCCCATAGTTTCTGTGGGTCAGTAATTTGAGCACAGCTTAGCTTGAATCCTTTGCTCAGGATCCCACGTGGCTGAAATCAAGGGGCTGGCAAGGCTGCATTCTCATTTGGAGGTTTGATTAGGGAAGGTTTGTTTCCAGGCTCATTCAGATTATTGGCAGATTTCATTTATATTCTAAGGTCCTTATATTTTTTGCAGTTGTATGAGTTAGTACCTATTGGTCAGTATCTTAGTTTGAGCTGCTATAACAAAACACCGTAAATTGGGTATCTAATAAACAGCAGAAATTAATTTCTTCTTACATTTCTGGAAGCCAGGAAGTCCAAGATCAAGTTGCTGGCAGATTCAGTGTCTGGTGAGGCTTTTTAGTTCATAGACGGCATCTTCTCACTGTGTTCTCACATTGTGGAATGGGCGAGGGGTCTCTCTTTAACTTATTTCGTAAGGGAACTAATCTCATAAATGAGGGCTCCACCATCATGACCTAATCACCTTCTGAAGGCCCCATCTCCTAACACCAACATCTTGGGTGTTAGAATTTTAACAGAGGAATTTTAGGGGGACACAAACAGTCAGACTATAGCAGTCAGACTATAGCAGACCACTCTCAACTCCTAGAGCTGCCCTCACATCCTTGCTGTGTTGGTCTCTCATAGGCCCTCTCACATCATGTGAGCTTACATCATCAAGGCCAGCAGGACAATCCCTCTTACTTCTAGTCTCCTTCTGAAGGGTGGCCTGGGCCTTCTACAAAACACTAGCCTGATTAGGTCAGTTCTTCTAAAGATAATCCTTTTAATTAGTTCAGTCAACTGATTAGAGACCTTAATTACAGAAAAATCTCTTTATCTTTTCCAGGTAGTATAACATAGTCATGAGACTGAAATTCCATCATATTAACAAATCCTTCCTACACTCAAAGGAAGAGCAATGTGCAGCATATGTACGCTAGATGGTAGCTGTCTTGGGAGCCATCTTAGAATCCTTCCCACCACATGGGACTATAAAGAAGACTCATCCTTCTTCCTCGCCTGCCGCCACCAAAAAGATAGAAAAAGATTAAAGTAACAAAAGAAGAGATGAGGCAAATAGAAAGCAAATATCATGATAGTAGATTTAAACCTAATCATATTGATAATCATATTAATTTTAAATGGTATAAGTACCACAATTAAATGGAAGAGACTATTAGCCTGGAGAAAGAAAAAAAGGCCCAACTACATACCATCTTTAATAAACCCACTTTATATATAAAAATGCAAATAACACCAAAAGTAAAAGGATGTAAAGAAATAAACCATCCTAACACTAATCAAAGGAAAGCTAGAGTGGCTTATAACAGACAAAGTAGATTTCAGAATCTTGCCAACAACAGAGAGAGTCCTTTGATAATGAGGAAAGGGTGACTTCAACCAGAAGACATAAAAATCCTAAATGTTTATATATTAATAAGAGTTTCAAGATATGGGGGAAAAAAAGCAAATAGAACTACAAAAAAAAATAGATCTCTAATTATAGTTGAAAAACTTAACACCCATCTCTCCATAGCTGAAAGTGCAGTAAAAAGAAAATCAGTAAGCATATGGAAGCCTGAAGTAACACTACTGATCAATGTGACTGACATGGTTTAGCTGTGTCCCCACCCAAATCTCATCTTGACTTGTACTCCCATAATTCCCACGTGTTGTGGGAGGGACCCAGTGGGAGATAATTTGAATCATGAGGGCAGTTTCCCCCATACTGTTTTTGTGGTAGTGAATATGTCTCACGAGATCTGATGGTTTTATCAGGGTTTCTGCGTTTGAATCTTCCTCATTTTTTCTTGCCACCACCATATAAGAAGTGTCTTTCACCTCCCGCCATGTTTCTGAGGCCTCCCCAGCCATATGGAACTGTAAGTCCAATTAAACCTCTTTATCTTCTCAGTTTCAGGTATGTCTTTAACAGCAGTGTGAAAATGGACTAATACAGTGACCTAATTGATGTTTTAAAAACACTCTACCCAACAATAGCAGAATACATAGTCTGAACTGTTGACATTTTAGGCTGGATAATTACTCGTAGGGAGTGTCTTGTGAATTGCGGGATGATTAGCAGCATCTCTGGTCTCTATCCACTAGATGTTAGTAACATCTTTCCTCTGGCTGTGACAAACAAAAATGTCTCCAGACACTGCAAATGTTCTCTTGGAGGCAAAATCATCCCCAGTTGAAAGTACCTGGGTTTAGAAGATAGCTGTGCCATGAAGTGTGTGTTTGGAGGAAAAGGAAGACTAGCTGATTTTCTAATTAAGACAGTCCCTGGGTCACAGTGGTCACACACTGCCTATTTTTGATATAAATTTAAGGTGTACAAGTGCAGTTTTTTTTACATAGATATCTTGTATAGTAGTTAAGTCTGGGCTTTTGGTATAACTATAATCAAATAATGTGCATTGTATCCATTAAATAACTTCTCACTCCTCACTTCCTCGCACCCTCTCATCCTTCTGAGTCTTCAATGTCTATCATTCCATACTTCATGTCCACGTGTATATATTATTTAGCTCCCAGTAAGAAGCAAGAATAGCAGTATTTGATATTCTGTTTCTGAATTGTTTCACTTAATGGCCTCCAATTCCATCCATGTCACTGCAGAAGACTTTTTTATGGGTGAATAGTTTTCCATTGTGAAGATATACCAGATTTTCTTTATTCAATCATCTGTTGATGGATACTTAGGTTGCTTAGGGGGCATTTTGGAATTTACTAATAGTTTTTTAAATTTTCATTTCAAAATGTGGGCTTGGGCTGTGGTTTATTCACGGATCTTCACTGATACATTAGTTAGATATTGGCAAACGATGCATCCAACACTCCTAGTCTTGTGCCATTACTCATTAATTTCATTCAACAGGTATTTATCAAGTGCCTAGTATTACCTAGTTACTGTTCTAGCACTGAGAACTTATTAGAGAATCAAAAGCATGTACTTGCCTTAATAGAGCTCACATTCTAGTAGTAGGAATCAAACAATAAATAAGCAAATGTTTAAATGTATATGTTACAGAGTGATAGAGCTATGGAGGTAAACAAAGCAAGGTAAGAAAGGGAGTTGAGTGGGAGAAAGTATTTAGGGACCATTCCAATAATAACATAATATTTGAGCTGAGAACATGAAACAAGTGAAGGAGTGAGTAATGTAGATATCTGTGTTTCCATTTAAGGTAGAAGAAAAAACAATTGTAAAGGCCTTGAGGCAAGAGCTCTCTTGAGAATGTTCTAGAAGGAGCAATGAATCTGATATGGGAGCAGAGTGAGTGAGTTAGAGTGGTAGGAGAGGAGGTTATAGAAGTAGCAGAAGAACCAGATTATAAAGAACATCTAGGTCACTGTAAGGGTTATGCCTCTTGAGTGAAATGGAAAGTCATTATAGGGTTTTAAGAGAAGAGATATGACATTGAAAATATTGTAAGAGAATCACTTTGGCTGCTGGGTTGAACCTAGGTTGTGGGGGGCCAAGGTTAGAAGCTGGGAGAACAGTTTGAGGCTGGTGAAATATTCCAGGTGAGCCATGATGTTGGCTCTACCCTGAGTGGTAGCCGGGGAAGTGGTGAGAAGTGTCAGATTTATTATCAGATTGGATTTATTTTGGAGGTTCAGCAGACATGATTCCCTGACAGATATGATGTGGAGTGTGAGAAAAAGAGAGGCATCGAGGATAACTGAGGTTTTTGGCCCATGAAACTGGAAGAATTGAGCTGGAGCTGCCATTTACTGATATAGGGAAGTTAACAGAAGGACTGTGCATTGGAGGATATGTTAAATTTGAGATGCCTTTTAGACACTTAAATGAAAATGGCAAGTGAGCTGTTGGCTATAGCCAACAGAATCTGGAGTTTAGGGAACCCTGATCCAGAAATATAAATTTGGGAGTCATCAGTGTTTAGCTGGCACCTTAAAGCCTTGAAATTGGTGAGGTATCCTAGGGGTTGGCATAGACAGAGAAGGTGAGAGGTCCTAGGGATGAGCCCTGGGGCAGGCCAATGTGTAGAGTTTCTTTGGCGAGGAGTATATTAGTTTACTCTTGCTTCTGTAACGAATTACCATACATTTAGTGGCTTAAAACAATACCAGTTTTTTTTTTCCTTACAATTCTGGAGGTCGGATGTTTAAAATCAAGGTCTCGTCAGGGTTTCAGAATGGTGTTCCTTTTAGAGGCTTCAAGGGAGAGTTTAGTTTCTTGACATTTTCAGCTTGTAAAAGCTGCTTGCATCTTTGACTCACGGCTCTTTTCTCATGTTACTCCAATCTCTTATTTCTGTCAACACATCTCTTACTACTGACTTTGATCCACTTTGTGATTCCACTGGGCCCACTTGGATAATCCCTATCCCCAGATCTTAACTGAACCATATGTACCAATCCCTTTTTATCACGTAAGGTAACACAATCACAGGTTCTTCTCCCCTCACCTTTGGGGGGCCGATATTCAACCTACCACAATGAGGAACCGGAAGACAAGACTAAAGGGAGCAGTGTCCAGTGAGGTAGATGGAGAACAGAAGTGAGTTCTGGAACTGGGTGAAGACAGTGCTTCAACAAAAACGCAGTAATCACTGCTAAATATCATTAATGGATCCGGTAAGATGAACGGGAGAATTGACTTTTAGATTTATTCTATGGAAATCAGTACAGACATCGAGAAAAATATTTTACTTAGTAGAATTGGTGGAGGATGAACGCCTGATTGGGGTGGGCTCAGAAGACAATGGAGCAGGGCCAGCTCCAAGGCCCCATGCTTAGAAGAGGCCACACTGAGATTAATGCTCTGCTCTCACTGTCTTGAAATTCATAACAATTTTCAACAAGGGTCTTACACTTTTATTTTGCACTGGACCCTGCAAATTATGCAACTGGTCCAGCAATGGAGGAACAGGAACTGGAGACAGTGATTATGGATAACTTTTTTAAGGAATTTTATATAAATGGAATCAGAAAAATGGAGCCAGAGGAGGAAGTGGGGTCAAAGGAGAGTTTTTAAATTTAGGACGGTTACTTTTTAGTCTGGTGCTTACTATGTAATAATAGAGGGTCATGGCTGACTGGGACCCATTTTCTCTACTGTCAGATGTCCCACATGCAGTCTTTGTTGATATCACAGTATAATTTCACTGGAGCCCTGTGTAGGAAGACATGCCTCTGTTTCCTGGGCTCACCTCCATTATTTTTCGTATGAGTTGGTGGTGTCATGCATGAAGATTCAAAATCCTTATAAAGTCAAATTTTAATATATCTTTACAATCTACTAAGCTCCTGTCACTCTGACCTCAGAATTGGCAGAAGAGATTAGTTTTCTAGGCTTTGTTCTTCAAAAAGCCATATTCTTTTAGAAGCATTTGAAGATTGATTTTATCATAATTTGTTCAAACATTTTCCCAGGCATACCAGTTAAACTGACTCAGACCCAGAGTCATTCATTGCTGTCTTAAAGAAAGGCACAATGTTGGCATCTGTCCAAGCTGCAGACATTTCTCCATCTATCATAGTCACTGGAAACAAATTTTACTGCGAAGGGCTCCTAACCACACTTAACAAATATCATCCAAAGAGCTGTAGGGAGCAGCCAAACACACCAACCCACCCTTCCACCAAGAAAGCAAAATGTAACACACACACACACACACACACACACACGCACACACATCTCCCATGGCCCCAGGAAGTAAACTATCTGACATTATAGGTTAGAAACTTTCAACTTTCAAAATTCCCTGAGATGAGTCTTTTGAAACTATTAACTGGAAAAGAAAAACTGTCACTCTCAAACCATGTTTAATACTTATCAACAATTGTATAACTTGTTGAAGAAAATTATTCTTTTGTATTACAGCTTCAATTTTGCATTACAGGATAACAAATCTTTAATGCAATCCATATTAACAATTACAATAAAATTCAGATAAAATGCTGTTATCTGATATTGAAAATTTCAAATTTATGTAGGACTTTCCTCCCTCTTAACTGACAGCACTTACCTGCAGTGCCCATTCTTAGTACTTGCTCAATAAGTGTCTGAAGGTTGGAAGGCAACAGGGGAAGAAGGATGAAAGGATGGACAGGTGGATGAAAGGACAGGTCTCAAAAAAATTGAAACAGACTTTTCTTCATTGATTTACTCAGTTTTTGTTTGCCAATTATGTACAGTAATACAAGGTTAGGAAATATAAGTCTTGCAATCAAGTGCTTATATTTCAATCAGGAAGACGCATACATAAACAAGAAACTACAGCATATTGTGAGAGGTGACATGTAATCAAGGCATAAGTTTTTGGGAACCCCCCCCCGACCCTTTTGTTTTTTCTTCCCAGGTTTCCTTAACCGAGTATTCTCATGGTGCTCAAACTTCTTGCCTTGGTTTAACTTTTCTCTATCTTTTTCTTCCTTTCCACTCTTCCATCAACACTCACTCTTTCTGTTTTATTCATCCAAAATCTCTTTACTCTAAACTGATAAAAAGTCACTCCTAACATGTTGGTAAGTGAATAGTTTACCCTTCCCAGACAATACATTAAGACATATAAGAAATTTTAATTATGAATCTCAAAATACATTTTCCCCTTCTGATTTTATTTGAAAGTAAGTTTTAATAGTGACAAGTGCAGGCATTTTGGTAGACAAATGCAACACCCTTAATATTATAATAAAGGTTTCAAGAGTATTTTCAGGTACAGCTTTTTTAATATTTATGACAAAAATTTGTTCTTTCCATTTTACACATGAGGAAACAGAGGACCAGGCCAGAATCACACAGTTGGTAAACGATAGAACTTCAATTGGTATCTCCTTGTGATTTTTAAACTGAGCGCTCTTTTCAAGACTTTTTTGCTACCTTTCTAATTCCAAAGTCAAGTTTCTGAAAGTGCTCAGCCATGTATTTGATTTTGAAAGAAAGGAAGGCAGGAGAGAGGAAGAGAAGGAGAGAGATAAAAAGAGAGAAAGAAAGGAAAGATGGAAAGAAGGAAGGAAGAAATGTAATGTAGAGGTGGAGTTGAGTCAGGAGATTGAAGACACCTATGCTAAATATAAGACACCTGTGCTAAGTATGGTACTAAAGAGGAGCTATAAGTTTCTTCCATATACTCTTCTGTTATTGCCCTTCCAAGCAGCAAGTGAAAAGTAAAATAATCCCACATATTAAAATGTATGAGTCAGTATAGAAATTCCTTTGTCATATTGAAGTTTGAATTAATAAATAAGTAACAGCTGGAGAGGCATATTTGTCAGATGATTAACTAGGTGTCACCTATACAAAAGATTCACTCTATGCTGATTGATGATATTTGATCAAGATACAATAGCTTTAGCTCTGAAAGATAACATCAACTTAAAGTAGGTTTAATATATTATTCATATCTATAAAAAGAACAGATCAGAGGTAGAATAATTCAGTTACTGAGTACTAATCTAGAAGGAGGCTATTTTCAAGCAAAGCAGCTCAGACTAATTTCTCTTCTTTCCTGTTTTCTATATTAATTATTAAATGTACATTTTAGATTTCAGTATTTTTTTGTAGTTTCCTATGTTACTCTTTTTTCCCTAGATGTTTGTCTTGATGTCAATGATGTGACAAATGCTTTATATGAATGCCTGATAATATCTAGCAGGGCTTACATAAAGAAATTCAGGGAGGAAAGGGCAGCCAAGATGGCCGAATAGGAACAGCTCTGGTCTGCAGCTCCCAGCGTGAGCAACGCAGAAGACGGGTGATTTCTGCATTTCCATCTGAGGTACCGGGTTCATCTCACTAGGGAGTGCCAGACAGTGGGCGCAGGACAGTGGGTGAAGCACACTGTGCGTGAGCTGAAGCAGGGCAAGGCATTGCCTCAGTCGGGAAGTGCAAGGGGTCAGGGAGTTCCCTTTCCTAGTCAAAGAAAGGGGTGACAGATGGCACGTGGAAAATCGGGTCACTCCCACCCTAATACTGCACATTTCCTAAGGGCTTAAAAAACAGCCCACCAGGAGATTATATCCTGCACCTGGCTCAGAGGGTCCTACGCCCACGGAGTCTCGCCGATTGCTAGCACAGCAGTCTGAGATCAAACTGCAAGGCAGCAGTGAGGCTGAGGGAGGGTCACCTGCCATTGCCCAGGCTTGCTTAGGTAAACAAAGCAGCCAGGAAGCTCGAACTGGGTGGAGCCCACCACAGCTCAAGGAGGCCTGCCTGCCTCTGTAGGCTCCACCTCTGGGGGCAGGGCACAGACAAACAAAAAGACAGCAGTAACCTCTGCAGACTTAAATGTCCCTGTCTGACAGCTTTGAAGAGAGCAGTAGTTCTCCCAGCACGTAGCTTGAGATCTGAGAACGGGCAGACTGCCTCCTCAAGTGGGTCCCTGACCCTGACCCCCGAGCAGCCTAACTGGGAGGCACCCCCCAGTAGGGGCAGACTGACACCTCACATGGCCGGGTACTCCTCTGAGACAAAACTTCCAGAGGAAAGATCAGACAGCAGCATTCGCGGTTCACGAAAATCCGCTCTTCTGCAGCCACCGCTGCTGATACCCAGGCAAACAGGGTCTGGAGTGGACCTCTAGCAAACTCCAACAGACCTGCAGCTGAGGGTCCTGTCTGTTAGAAGGAAAACTAACAAACAGAAAGGACATCCACACCAAAAACCCATCTGTACATCACCATCATCAAAGACCAAAAGTAGATAAAACCACAAAGATGGGGAAAAAACAGAGCAGAAAAACTGGAAACTCTAAAAAGCAGAGCACCTCTCCTCCTCCAAAGGAACACAGTTCCTCACCAGCAACGGAACAAAGCTGGATGGAGAATGACTTTGACGAGTTGAGAGAAGAAGGCTTCAGATGATCAAACTACTCCGAGCTACAGGAGGAAATTCAAACCAAAGGAAAAGAAGTTAAAAACTTTGAAAAAAATTTAGACGAATGTATAACTAGAATAACCAATACAGAGAAGTGCTTAAAGGAGCTGATGGAGCTCAAAGCCAAGGCTCGAGAACTACGTGAAGAATGCAGAAGCCTTAGGAGCCGATGCGATCAACTGGAAGGAAGGGTGTCAGTGATGGAAGATGAAATGAATTAAATGAAGCGAGAAGGAAAGTTTAGACAAAAAAGAGTAAAAAGAAATGAACAAAGCCTCCAAGAAATATGAGACTATGTGAAAAGACCAAATCTCTGTCTGATTGGTGTACCTGAAAGTGATGGGGAGAATGGAACCAAGTTGGAAAACACTCTGCAGGATATTATCCAGGAGAACTTCCCCAATCTAGCAAGGCAGGCCAACATTCAGATTCAGGAAATACACAGAATGCCACAAAGATACTCCTTGAGAAGAGCAACTCCAAGACACATAATTGTCAGATTCACCAAAGTTGAAATGAAGGAAAAAATGTTAAGGGCAGCCAGAGAGAAAGGTCGGGTTACCCACAAAGGGAACCCCATCAGACTAACAGTGGATCTCTCGGCAGAAACTCTACAAGCCAGAAGAGAGTGGGGGCCAATATTCAACATTCTTAAAGAAAATAATTTTCAACCCAGAATTTCATATCCAGCCAAACTAAGCTTCATAAGTGAAGGAGAAATAAAATACTTTACAGACAAGCAAATGCTGAGAGATTTTGTCACCACCAGGCCTGCCCTAAAAGAGCTCCTGAAGGAAGCACTAAACATGGAAAGGAACAACAAGTACCAGCGACTGCAAAATCATGCCAAATTGTAAAGACCATTGAGGCTAGGAAGAAACTGCATCAACTAACGAGCAAAATAACCAGCTAATATCATAATGACAGGATCAAATTCACACATAACAATATTAACTTTAGATGTAAATGGACTAAATGCTCCAGTTAAAAGACACAGACTGGAAAATTGGATAAAGAGTCAAGACCCATCACTGTGCTGTATTCAGGAAACCCATCTCATATGCAGAGACACACATAGGCTCAAAATAAAAGGATGGAGGAAGATCTACCAAGCAAATGGAAAACAAAAAAAGGCAGGGGTTGCAATCCTAGTCTCTGATAAAACAGACTTTAAACCAACAAAGATCAGAAGAGACAAAGAAGGTCATTACATAATGGTAAAGGGATCAGTTCAACAAGAAGAGCTAAGTATCCTAAATATATATGCACCCAATACAGGAGCAGCCAGATTCATAAAGCAAGTCCTGAGTGACCTACAAAGAGACTTAGACTCCCACACATTAATAATGGGAGACTTTAACACCCCACTGTCAACGAGACAGAAAGTTAAGAAGGATAACCAGGAATTGAACTCAGCCCTGCACCAAGCAGACCTAATAGACATCTACAGAACTCTCCATCCCAAATCAACAGAATATACATTTTTTTCAGCACCACACAACACCTATTCCAAAATTGACCACATAGTTGGAAGTAAAGCACTCCTCAGCAAATGTAAAAGAACAGAAATTATAACAAACTGTCTCTCAGACCACAGTTCAATCAAACTAGAACTCAGGATGAAGAAACTCACTCAAAATCACTCAACTACATGGAAACTGAACAACCTGCTCCTGAATGACTACTGGGTACATAACGAAATGAAGGCAGAAATAAAGATGTTCTTAGAAACCAACGAGAACAAAGACACAACATACCAGAATCTCTGGGACGCATTCAAAGCAGTGTGTAGAGGGAAATTTATAGCACTAAAGGCCCACAAGATAAAGCAGGAAAGATCCAAAATTGACACCCTAACATCACAATTAAAAGAACTAGAAAAGCAAGAGCAAACACATTCAAAAGCTAGCAGAAGGCAAGAAATAACTAAGATCAGAGCAGAACTGAAGGAAATAGAGACATAAAAAACCCTTCAAAAAATCAATGAATCCAGGAGCTAGTTTTTTGAAAGGATCAACAAAATTGATAGACCACTAGCAAGAGTAATAAAAAAGAAAAGACAGAAGAATCAAATAGATGCAATAAAAAATGATAAAGGGGATATCACCACCGATCCCACAGAAATACAAACTACCATCAGAGAATACTACAAACACCTCTACACAAATAAACTAGAAAATCTAGAAGAAATGGATAAATTCCTCGACACATACACCCTCCAAAGACTAAACCAGGAAGAAGTTGAATCTCTGAATAGACCAATAACAGACTCTGAAATTGTGGCAATAATCAATAGCTTACCAACCAAAAAGAGTCCAGGACCAGATGGATTCACAGCCGAATTCTACCAGAGGTATAAGGAGGAACTGGTACCATTCCTTCTGAAACTATTCCAATCAATAGAAAAAGAGGGAATTCTCCTTAACTCATTTTATGAGGCCAGCATCATCCTGATACCAAAGCCGGGCAGAGACACAACCAAAAAAGAGAATTTTAGACCAATATCCTTGATGAACATTGATGCAAAAATCCTCAATAAAATACTGGCAAACCGAATCCAGCAGCACATCAAAAAGCTTATCCACCATGATCAAGTGGGCTTCATCCCTGGGATGCAAGGCTGGTTCAATATACGCAAATCAATAAATGTAATCCAGCATATAAACAGAGCCAAAGACAAAAACCACATGATTATCTCAATAGATGCAGAAAAGGCCTTTGACAAAATTCAACAACCTTCATGCTAAAAACTCTCAATAAATTAGGTATTGATGGGACATATCTCAAAATAATAAGAGCTATCTATGACAAACCCACAGCCAATATCATACTGAATGGGCAAAAACTGGAAGCATTCCCTTTGAAAACTGGCATAAGACAGGGATGCCCTCTCTCACCACTCCTATTCAACATAGTGCTGGAAGTTCTGGCCAGGGCAATTAGGCAGGAGAAGGAAATAAAGGGTATTCTATTAGGAAAAGAGGAAGTCAAATTGTCCCTGTTTGCAGATGACATGATTGTATATCTAGAAAACCCCATTGTCTCAGGCCAAAATCTCCTTAAGCTGATAAGCAATTTCAGCAAAGTCTCAGGATGCAAAATCAATGTACAAAAGTCACAAGCATTCTTATACACCAATAACACACAAACAGAGAGCCAAATCATGAGTGAATTCCCATTCACAATTGTGTCAAAGAGAATAAAATACCTAGGAATCCAACTTACAAGGGACGTGAAGGACCTCTTCAAGGAGAACTACACACCACTGCTCAATGAAATAAAAGAGGATACAAACAAATGGAAGAACATTCCATGCTCATGGGTAGGAAGAATCAATATTGTGAAAATGGCCATACTGCCCAAGGTAATTTATAGATTCAATGCCATCCCCATCAAGCTACCAATGACTTTCTTCACAGAACTGGAAAAAACTACTTTAAAGTTTATATGGAACCAAAAAAGAGCCCGCATCGCCAAGTCAATCCTAAGCCAAAAGAACAAAGCTGGAGGTGTCACGCTACCTGACTTCAAACTATACTACAAGGCTACAGTAACCAAAACAGCATTGTACTGGTACCAAAACAGAGATATAGATCAATGGAACAGAACAGAGCTCTCAGAAATAGCACTGCATATCTACAACTATCTGATCTTTGACAAACCTGAGAAAAACAAGCAATGGGGAAAGGATTCTCTATTTAATAAATGGTGCTAGGAAAACTGGCTAGCCATATGTAGAAAGCTGAAACTGGATCCCTTCCTTACACCTTATACAAAAATTAATTCAAGATGGATTAAAGACTTAAATGTTAGACCTAAAACCATAAAAACCCTAGAAGAAAACCTAGGCATCACCATTCAGGACATAGGCATGGGCAAGGACTTCATGTCTAAAACACCAAAAGCAATGGCAACAAAAGCCAAAATTGACAAATGGGATCTAATTAAACTAAAGAGCTTCTGCACAGCAAAAGAAACTACCATCAGAGTGAACAGGCAACCTACAAAATGGGAGAAAATTTTCACAAGCTACTCATCTGACAAAGGGCTAATATCCAGAATCTACAGTGAACTCAAACAAATTTACAAGAAAAAAAAACAACCCCATCAAAAAGTGGGCGAAGGACATGAACAGACACTTCTTAAAAGAAGACATTTATTCAGCCAAAAAACACATGAAAAAATGCTCACCATCACTGGCCATCAGAGAAATGCAAATCAAAACCACAATGAGATACCATCTCACACCAGTTAGAATGGCAATCATTAAAAAGTCAGGAAACAACAGGTGCTGGAGAGAATGTGGAGAAATAGGAACACTTTTACACTGTTGGTGGGACTGTAAACTAGTTCAAGCATTGTGGAAGTCAGTGTGGCGATTCCTCAGGGATCCAGACCTAGAAATACCATTTGACCCAGCCATCCCATTACTGGGTATATACCCAAAGGTCTATAAATCATGCTGCTATAAAGACACATGCACACGTATGTTTATTGTGGCACTATTCATAATAGCAAAGACTTGGAACCAAGCCAAATGTTCAACAATGATAGACTGGACTAAGTAAATGTGGCACATATACACCATGGAATACTATGCAGCCATAAAAAATGATGAGTTCATGTCCTTTGCAGGACATGGATGAAATTGGAAATCATCATTCTCAGTAAACTTTTGCAAGGACAAAAAACCAAACTCCGCATGTTCTCACTCATTGATGGGAATTGAACAATGAGAACACATGGACACAGGAAGGGGAAAAACACACTCTGGGGACTGTTTTGGGGTGGGGGGAGGGGGGAGGGATAGCATTAGGAGATATACCTAATGCTGAATGACAAGTTAATGGGTGCGGCACACCAGCATGGCACATGTATACATATGTAACTAACCTGCACATTGTGCACATGTACCCTAAAACTTAAAGTATAATAATAATAAAATAAAAAAAAGAAATTCAGAAGTACCTATTTTAATTAAAATGGATTGAAATTTTTTTCAAAAGAACTTCTTTCAAGAAAAAAGATCAAATAAAATCTAATATTTTATTTCGTTTCTTACATAAAGAAAAAATTTCAAATAAAGCTGTCCACAAGAGTTATCTTCAGCCATCTGCTCTCACTCATAAAACATTTTACACAGTGAAACCTCTTTATGCTAATATTGCTACCTCGTAGAAAAGGTGTAGATAATTTTTCCTAGTGTTCCTTAATTAAAATATTGATAATTTAAATCTTAAGTGTAAGTATGTCTTTTTTATTCCCTTGAATTTTCATCATTATATTTGTTGAAATATGTTTTTGAAATGGTCTTTCCCCCAAAATGGCTTATTGGTGTGAGAATAAGTTACAACATGTCAAATAGATATTGCATTTCATAGTGATAAAATAAAAATAGAAAGTGACTTGAATGGTCAAATTTCCTCTGAAAATTAGAAAATTTTGTTATATTTAATCATCTTGCTGATTGATACCTTAAACATATGGAAAAAGTCTACTTTAGGAAAATAATACTTCTTTCCTTGAACATTTATATTTTTCATACATCTGTGTGAAAATAGAAGCTTAAAAGGAGATTTATCAACTTGAACTTAATTCTAAATTTAATTCTAAATCCAAGTTGATAAATATATAAATATTTTAAGTAATGATTTGGAACCACAGAAAGGAACAGTTGGGTTTGTCCAAAAAGCATCTATAATAATGAATCTGTTATTTATTTTTTCACTATTGTCTTGTCAAATAACTATTTATCAATGCTTTGCTTTTAAAATGTTTTGGGTTTTTTTTTGTCCTAAGAGAAAGAATAATATTGTTCTGAACAATGTACCTACTAGATTATACAAGCATAAAATGTAAATATTTTTAGCATTTCTCCATTTTAGGCAACATCTCTTTTTAAGGCTAATTTATCTTGTGAGCTGAAGGGTACATTCATTTTAAACAAGTCAGATTTCCATTCTAAGTAGAAAAACCTTGGGTCATAAACTTAAAAATTATTAGCTACTAGAACATTTTAAAATCAAACTTCTGAGTAACATTAGCTTAGCAGACTAAGAAGCAGGAGCTGTGGGCTCTTGCACCAGTTCTGCATGCCCTGTGGCGTGAGATGATGGCAGCACGACTTGGTTCTCTGACTTCACTAAAACGTGAAGCTCTTTCCTGTGCCTGTGGCCACAACATCACCATTTTTCCCGTCATCTCCCATTTGTCCTCATTATGCGTCGTCGAAGGTACTTTCAAAACAGCCCTCTAAGTTGAACCCAAACAACCAGACTACATAAAGCATATCTTAAACAACCACGGCTCATAAGTTCTAATAGAAACATAATTTATGCCTCTCACTACCCCCTTTAAATTGTATTCAGCAGGGTGGATTTTGTCTTTGTGTCAGGATGAAATCTTTGTCTCAAGCAGGCCCCATACTGTTCCGGAACGTTGAGGGAGTGTCAGGAGCCCTGGGTGAGGAGTCCCAGAGTCAGAAAACTGTGATGGGCCCACTCGCTTGGGCATGCAGCTTCTGTTGAATCACTGTGTCTTGGTGGAAACCTTGATGTTAACATCTATTTCACTGCTTTATTACAGATGTCAGGATTGATAAAGGTGACAAACTATAGAAGATGGGTAATAAGAGGTAGAGAGTTTCAGCTTCACATGAATCATGAATCTTGAGTTTTACTTAGAGATGCTCTCAGGTCTTTTCAATTCTGCCTCAAACCCCAGCCTCTTCTCAGTTCAGAACTTGCTTCCTATTTTCCTGAATTCCGTCCTACTTCTGCACTATGGTACAGGATAGATACCAGCTGTGTTCTCTGGATAGTCAAAACAATCAGCTCAATTTTTATTTGGAAACATTTTTATTTCGATTTTCAGATTGCATATATTTTATGTTCTTAGCTATTTAGGAAATAAAAAGCTTGTTTGACGTGGACTATGCCCTTTAGATTTTTACAATGTATTTTGCTTACTCATTAACAAAACTTTACCATATACTTTGTTGATATATTTGTACATGAGAAAATAGAAAAAAATGAATGCACACAAAATATGATATATTTAAATAAAATGTTTGGTACAGATGTCAGTAGGTATGGAAGAGGAGAGGGGAGTGTACTGTAATAGAAAAAGCACTATATCTAGCCTTACACATTGCTAATCAATCTGTGGTCCATATGAACTAGCTATTTTGGCACTATCTAGGAGCTCGTTAAAAGTTCAGAGTCTCAGAATCTACCCTGTATCTACTACATTGCAATCTGTGTTTTAACAAATCTCAATTAAACTTTGAGAAGCACTACTCAAGAACACGTGGACTTAGTTCTTTTGGGGCCACTTTTGAGTGTATGACCATGAGCTACTATATGATGGGAATGACTAATATCAACTTAACAAAATTACCATGAGACTCAAATTCAAGATGATGGATATGAAAACTCTTTATGAACTACCAAATGATGTACAGACGAAAGTTATCTGCATTTTTAGAAATTTTTTTCATGGAGAATGTGTAACTTCAGGATGATCTGTGTAATAAAATGCAACCTGAAGATCCCTTTAAGTTCTCAGCTTCTGCTTGGCTGACAACACTTTCTCCCATAGAGATACACTCTTTGATCTCTATTCCTGAATTCTTTTTTGAGGTGTTTTTTATTTTTGTTGCTGTTTTTTATTCTACTCTAGAACTCCTGAGTCTCTGCCTCTCCTAAAAGAGCCAGAATTATCATTTTTTCAATCTTTTTCAATTAACAGTGAACTATTATCAGTAATATGAATACTTACTTAAACAGTTATACCAAAAGGTGATCAAACACCTAAGCTTAGGAAATTAGAGTAATATGACATGAAATATATAGGTATTATATGTATATCATTTTTTTGAAATTCAGTTGCATGTGGAAATTTAATTGTTTAATATTAATCTTATATCCCATTTGTATGTGACAAACGACAGCTAATTCAGTCTGCCAAATTCTTTCCCGTCTGCTTTCCAATATACAACTTCCTTGGAAGATATAAAATGTTATCAACTCATACCATTACCAGCAACTAGGAGTGACTGTCATTCTATTGCCAGAATATGGAGGGATTTCCACTAACCACAAGGCTTATTGAACAGAATTGATTTACAATTGCTGGCCAAAGTAATTTTCCATTTGAATATTTCATTTCCAAAAGTCATATGGAATATTTAAGGATCACAATACAATTTTTTTCTAGTTATTTGTTGGTTTTGGTGGGGTTGGGTCATGAAGGAAATATCAAAGACTGTCATGTGTCATACATTTGGGGCAAGCTTATAGTTGATAGAATTCTTAGTTTGAAAAGAATTTTATATCCAGATAATTAAGCCACATATCAAAAGATTTATTTCAGTTGTAAGTATTGGAATGAAAAGCAGTACATCACACATTTTGTCTGTAATGGGGACATAGTAGAAGTAATTAACATACTTAGAACTTCTACTTCTGGAAAAAAGTTTTAAAAGTAAGTTATAAGCTCTCATTATTCTAATCCATGCCCCAACCCCCAAAACAGCACTCTGTGGGAAAACATTGACTCACAACTGCTTTATTAACTGGTATTAATCTATTGTTTAACACAAAAGAAAGTTAATGAGACTCTTTATTCTCTGACCCTTTCTATGACATTTATGTTATCTAGTTATGACACAGAGAACAATTATGTTTGATATAATGCATGTGAGCACATTGACATTGTTAGAAGCTTTCTATGTTTATTAAGTCATCCGTTGTTTTTCAATACCCCTGGCTGATAGGTGGAAAGATATCAAATTGGATTATTCATATTTGGTAGATTGAAGAACATATTCAGTGTTTTGTATTCTTAAGAGAAGTGTGTATTTAATCTAAATGTCATACAATGAATTTCATAATTGCTTCCAAGATTTTTCTCTTCTTGGAACCTGAGTTTTTACAACTATGTTAATTAATAATAATGTTTTACAGTTCCGTGGCACTCTTTTGTCTGAAAATCTCACTACTTAATCTTCATATTTTCAGGCATATGTGAATCTGCAATATTTTCTTTTCTGCTTCTTCCAAGTATAAAAAAGTGTATTAATCTCATGTTTATTTAATCTTCATCATGTTTTTGGGCAGATAGGAATCCTTTCTGCTTCTTTCTTTTTATATATAAAAAAGTGTATTAACCCACTTTGTGTGGCTCATTGTATGAGTAAAAGGACGGTCTCAATCAGTTGTCATGTTCAAGAAGCCTGAATGAGCCCTAACTAGTCTCCTGCCTACCTTTGATGAAGGTGCCAGTGAAGGCAGTTAGTGAGCATGCAAAAGTACTTAACAGACTTCTTGGAGGTAAAGACTATACCTTTACTTTTTGAAAATCATTCAATGTATTTTGCATTATAGGTGAAATCAGGTAACTATGAACTCCACATGTACACACTCCACAGAATAACAGAATGGTAAATTTGTAGGATAAGGTGAACTACAGCCATGGAAAATTTGAGATTCAGTTCAGATTCCTTGTGTTAGCAGTTTACCTTGGCATAACAAATTATCACAAATGCCGGAGCTTAAAACGGCACACATTTATTATCTCACAGTTTTGGTGGGTCAGAAGTCTGGGCACAGCATAGCTGATTTCTCTGTTTAAGTTCTCAAAAGTTTGCAAGCAAGGTGTTCGCTGGGCTGTGTTCACATCTGGAGGCTGACTGGGAAGAATTCATTTCCAAGCCTCTTCAGGTTGTTGGCAGAATTCATTTCCTAGTGGTCATAGAACTGAGGACCCTGGTTTGTTGCTGGCTGTTGGATATAGAGAGCACTCTCAGCTCCTAAAGGCTGCCCTCAGCTTCTTGTCATGTGGACTTCTCAACCTGGCTATTTCTTCAAAGCCAGCTAGGAAGACAGTCTCTAGAATCTGCTAAGAAGACATAGTCTTACACACATAAAGCAAACACGGGAGTGACACCTCTTTGCCTTTGCCATTGCCATTTTCTGTAGTGAGAAGCAAGTGACGGGCCCTGCCCATGCTGAGGGGAAGGCAATTGCCCAAGGGCATGAACAGTAGGAGGTGGAATCATGGAGGACTGCCCTAGAGTCTGTCCACCTGACTCCTCCACTGTACCAACTGAGATGAAGGGAATCTGCATATAATGGAGATGCCAGGTTAATGGTGACTAAAGCAAAATAGACCTTTATTTCTCTCTCGTGTGTAAAAAAAAAAAAAAAAAAAAAAAAAAGATAAATCCAGCCAGCTGCAGTGGCTCATACCTGAAATCCCAGCACTTTGGGAGGCTGAATAAGGAGGATCGCTTGAGCCCAAGAGTTCAAGAGCAGCCTGGGAAACATAGGGAAACTCTGTCTTTATAAAAAATTAAAAATTAGCTTACTAAAAATAAAATAAATTAGCCTGGCATGGTGGCACCCACCTGTAATCCCAGCTACTGAGGAGGCTAAGGTAGGAGGATTGCTTGAGCCTGGGAGGTTGAGACTGCAGTGAGTCACGATTGTTGTGCCATTGCACTCCAGCCTGGGTGACAGAACAGGACCCTGCTTAAAAAAAAAAATCCGGAGGAGTGCATGCCATGACTGGTACATCAGGTTCATTTGTTCATCTGGGACCAATACCCTTCCTATCTTTGTGATGTGCAATTTTTAGTTAATGGCTTATAGTCATGGCATCTGGTCTCACTCAAGGTTACCTCATGGTCTAATATGACTGTTAGCATTTATAGTCATCACCGACAGAAGGGGGAACAGTAGACATAAAGAAATTTATACCAGCTGAAGCAGCTCCCTTAATCTTCCTGGATACCCCACAGAACACTCCATCTCTTTGGCCAGTTCTTAGTTACATATAGCTGAAGGTTACATACAACTTAGTTACACATAGCTGAGAGGGAAGCAAAGAGAAACATGATTTTTAACTAAAGGTATTCTTGCCGAAAATAAAACCATGGTTCTTTTACTAGGAAAGCAAAAAATAAATATTAGATGATAACTTGCTGTTTCTGCCATGCTGGCATTCAGAGCCCCTTACAATCTTGCCCTGACTAAATGCTGACTCTTATTGTCCAATATTGACCTTCTTATGGAAACTATTCACCTGGACCCACCTCTACCCTAAACAGAAAAACAATATGTTGATCCCTGCCTGTGCTAGTCTAGTGTCTTTACCTGGGAAAGTCTCACACATTGAGTTTTCCATCCTTGCCAGAGTTCCTGCATTGGTAACATGCTGGGAATCATTCAACAGCACTTGGGCTGTGCTTTGTTTTTTTACTAATCCTACCTGTCATCTCCACCCTTTAGATCCCCAAATTCTTGGGTTAGAGTCCTGGACCAGTGCCTGTCTCCCTTCCACTTGGTGATTTATTGCCTGTTCTGGAATCCCCATCACTGTTCACTGTCTACATTTCAGGACTTGAGATTATATTTTGCATCTTTGATGCCAGGTCCTTGTTTGGAGCAGATCCTGTTCTCTGTCTCCATGCTCCTGATTATGAGCTTCTCTATGATCTATGGCTGGAACTAACTTCATGCTTGACATCTCTCACCGTCTGGACCTTGTTCACATTTTATCTACCCTCAGCCTTAGTCTTCCTCTCTTATGACAATTATCTAGGCCATGCCAGAGGTAGAACAGCTGGTGATACTAGTTTAGGTGCATAGTAGGTACTTGGTGAATATTTGACTGATTGATTTGATTGGCATATTATTTAAATTGGGCCTAATGAGTACTGTATTTTAGAAAAAGATTATTTGATCTTACTGATGCTAATCTCTCTCACATACTCAGGTCATGCTCTTCCCAGAGAACAATTTGGTACAGGTCTAAGACCATTTAAGTTGCAGGAGTAGACTTGGGTCCTATCTTTGTCAGTGCCAAAGGTAATTTGGGGGGGAATCTTAGTGGTAAAATATTTGAAATATTTGAGAGCTTTTTCAGTGCTTTGAGGCCCCTGTAACCTGGATACTAAGGTTGGGATTGTCAGGAGAAAGAGACAAAGGAAACGTAGATCATAATTCTGCTAAGTTCTCTGGGGCTTTGGCTGCTGCCTTTATATTTGCCACTGTTGCCTAAAACCTTCCTCCTTTTTCCACTTCCACCACTGTTGTTGGAGACCTTACAAATGTTAGTAATGTCTTACAAAAATTATGCTTTTTTCAGGTGATTGCCCTAGATCATCCCACCCACCCTCCAAGCTCATCTTTTTGCCTTAGTGTCTTACCTACTTTGAACCCTAGGTTTCTAGTATGAAGTTGCAAGTACAGTGGTCAATATTCTCACCTCTCCAGTAAAAACAGAACATCACAGTCTCAGTTTTTCATCCCCTCTACTATCTTTATGTAGCTCTTCTTTGAGCTGTGGTTTCTTTGAACCACTGTTCGTGGTGGTTGGGATACAATGTTTAATAAGAGAATATTCTTACTCTCATGTTGTTTATAATATGGAGAAATACACAGACAAAGAGCAAGCAAACTAAATGAATAAACATGAAAAAATTCAAGGAATGACAAACACATTGTAGGGAATTAAACTATTGTGATAGTAGGTGACTTGGGTTTAAGTGATCAAGAAAGGCCTCTGAAGAATTAAAATATATGCTGAGAGCCAAAAAATAAAAAAGAGCTAGTTATGTGTTGATAAAAGTGAGGTTTTTCAACCTTCCCACTATCGAAATTTTGGACCAGATAATTCTTTGTTGTGGGGGGCTATCCTGTGCACTAGAAGACGCTTAACAACATCCCTGGTCTCTAGTATGAGAAGCTAGTATCATCTCCCCAGTTGTGACAAAAATGTCTGGGACGGCATTGCCAAATATACCCCTGGAGCAAAATAGCCTCTGATTTGAGAACCACTGGATTAAGAGAAGAGCATTCCTAGCAAAGGGAACAGCTAGTGAAAAATTACATCATTGGAGATAAGTTTGATATTTTCAAGTAGCAGAAAGGAAAATAGTATATCTATAGCATGGTGGTCAGGGGAGAGTGGTACCCAATGTGAAAGAAAGATAGGCAAGATCCATGTAACGAGGGGATTGTAAACTAGAGTAAGGATTGGAATTTTATCCTAAATCTTCTGGGAAGTCATTGAAAATTTCAAATTATGGTGAGATATAATCAGATTTATATTTTCAAAGATTATTCTTAATGTATAGAGAATTGTTTATAGAGAGAGTTGGAGTGGCTGTTAGAAGTGATGGTGGCTTGAGCTAAGGGAGTGATAGCGAAGACAGGGAAAAAAGAATGGATTTGAGATATATCTCGGAGGTACAGTAGAGAGAAGTTACTCATAAAATGGATATAGAGATAAAAGGAAAAATAAGAAATCATGTTAACTCAGATTTTTGGTTTGAGCAACTTACTACTAGTGATATCATTTACTGAGATGTGGGAGACAAATGAGGAACAAGTTCAGGAAACTATGAATTCTGTTCTGGCCATCTTAAATTTGAGGTGCTGATTAGACCCTGCAGTGGTATTGAGAAGGCAATTAGATATATGAGCCCAAGGAAAGGTCAGGACTGTATATACAGTATGGGAATCATTGTTTTTTATGTGATCTTTAAAGTGAGAAGACTGCAGGAGGTCACCTAAGACACAGTGTAAAAAGAGAAGAGATCAAAGCCCAGGACTGGGCTTTGAGTACTGCACCATTTAGGAATCAGATGGAAGAGGAGCCAGCAAAGGAGTTAGGAAGGAATTGCCCATGAAATAGGATGGATGCCAAGAAAGTGTGGTGTTCTAGAGGCAAGAAGGGAAGTTGCAACTGTTCTCACACCAAGGGCTTTATGCCACTTATTTAGTTATGCCAAACTGTTTTTCCTGAGACTCCATTAAAAGTTCAGCCTGTGAAATCGGACTTCTTGAGATTAAATCCTGGCATTACCTCTACTGCATGTTGACCTGACTAGTTGTTTCCTTGTGCTTCAGTTTTTCACCTGTAAAATGAGAATAATAATCACAGCCCCTACCTTATAGAAGTGTTTTAGATGTAAATGGGATCATGAATCTAAAATGCTTGTGAACAGATGCTGCTACGTAGCAAATGTTTCAAAAAGTTAGATTTTGCTATTACTTGTACTCAAATTTTTAGTACACATAATGTGTGTCTCAGGGTGAAGAAAATTCTCACATCATAGTGGGAGTAGATACTGGTATGTTCTATCTGGAAGGATGCATGTTTATGTCCATGAAAAGCTTTAAAAATGTCTATGCCCTTGATGCAACAATCTTTCTTTGTAAACTTATAGAAATAAGGCAAAACAATACATGTATAAGGATACTCATTGTAATATCAATCAAGAACAAAATAAATGAATAAACTGAGCACCCATTAGTAGAAGATCGATAAAATAAAGTTCAAGTTTAAAAGCATGTACATCCATACAATACACTGCAACCAAAATGAATAATATAGATGTGGATTTAGGTAAAGAAGTGAATGCTGCTACTTTGTGCAAGTTTATACATCAAAATGTTTATAATAATGATAAACATTTTTTATAGTATGTAGTCAGGTTAATAGTGAACTAAAAAATTTTCCCTTTTTACTTTCATGTGCTATGTGGGTTTTTTTTTTTTTGCAGTGTATAATATTTTCTCTTATATTAAGAAAAGAAAATCACAGAAGCTCTTAATAAAATAGAGAGAAAGGAATACAGACAGGCTATCCCTAAGCATTTCCCCTCTGCAGTCAGAGATTAGTGACTCTTCATCATTACACCGAGGAGCTGCTCTCCTTATTGTTCTTCACATTTTTTTTTCTTTTACACAAGATGAAGTACTACCCAAGACTAGATTTATTTGAGATCCAGCTGAACAAGGATGAAGCCATGTGCAGCTGGTAGTTGCAAAGAAATGAAACTTCAGACAGGTTAATGAAAAAAGAAAGAAACAGGGCACTGAAGATGTCTGCTTGTTACTGAGCTATAAATCCTTTCTCCAATTACTTCTCTTCCGCCAGCTGTGCTATGTGACCTGACGCTTTGCCTAGGAGACCATCCATGTTCAATAGAGTGTGTTAGAGCAATAGTTTACCCATACAGAAACATGAATATGTTTCCAAAGAGAAGCATGGTGAAAGTTCAGGAACAATATAAATTCTATACTGTGCTGATCTCTTTTTCATATACAAACACATTTTATAAGCATGCTTCATTAACTAAATAAATTATTTATTATGAAGACATACAGCTGATTCTGAAAGAAGGAATCAGATAAATTATTATACAGCTACATTTGTCCTATTTTTCCACTTTATTATACCCCAGTATAATTAATATGCTATCTAGAACTATAGTCAGTATGTATTGAATACAGTGCAAATTGTACTAACATGACAACTTATAACACTTTCAATTAAAATAAACAGATTCATTTCTATGTGTGTTGTGATCTACCTGCCGCTCAAAGTCATATCCAAAGCTCTTAGAGTAACAATGTCTCTTAGAAATCATCTTGTCTATTTTTGGTATTGTAGAGGAGGAGGAGTTTGTTTCAGAAACTTATGAGTACCAAAAAGCAGGCCAGAAACTGTGAAGGATAGGACCCTTAAAGGAGGAAAAACTTCACTGGGTAAGGTACACTTCAACATGGTTTTTTCTCTGTGGGAACTATCTAGCCTGAAAGGCACAGAACAGCTAGAGATTAGCTGAAAGCTGTTGTGTTATTGACTTAAGGTGCCAGAGAACAGAATTGAGGGCTGCCTGAGAAGTTGGAAATTGAGTGGGAAATCCTGGCAAGGAGGAATCCATAGAAGAAAGAACCCCCAAATCTTTACATAAACAGTCCTCAAATCTTGGCTACTCTCTGATATGCATATAAGCGGGGAGATTCTAAGGAACCCAGCAGAAGGCAACAGCTGAAATTCTGAGAGAGATTTCAATTGCTGCCCTTCCTAAGGGAGACAGAATTTGGAATTCGAGTCTGGCCGTATTGAAACAGTTTGGTAAACTCAAGCTCTTCATGGAAACCCCATTAATTTCACGTTGCAGGGGTAGACGATCCCAAAATATAAACCTTAAGGATTCATACTACATCTACGCATAAACCATGAGACACACTCCAAAACGTGTGAAACCTCTACAAGTTTGAAGTGATCATCCAATAATTTAACTGCCTGTTAGAATAAAAACCAACATTATCCAGAAGATGATAACAGAATCGAGTCTCTGCAAAATATTATCCACAATGTCTACTACAGATTAAAAATTAGCAGGCATGCAAAGAAACAGAAAACTGTGACTCATAGTCAAGAGAAAAATGAGTCAAAATAAATCAACCCTAGGTAACATAAATGTTGGAACTAGCAGACAACAATTTTAAAGCAGCTATTGTAACTATGTTATTGGTTTATTGTCTCTCAGCTCCAAGTCTACCTTTCTTTTCCCTGCTTTAAGATCTATAGCTAGAGCGAATAAACTTTTCTTTTTTGTCAGCACAATATTAAGATTTTTACAATTTTATTTGGATACAAGGTCTTGCTCTGTCACCCATGCTGGAGTGCAATGGCATGATCCTAACCTGCTGGAATCTCAAACTCTTGGGCTCAAGTGATCCTCCTGCCTCAGCCTCCCAAACAGCCAGAACAACAGGCATGTGCCACTATGCCTGGCTAATAAATTTTTTTTTTGTAGAGATAGGGTCTCACTATGTTGCCCAGGCTTGGCATGAGCCCTTAAGTCTTGGTAATAGGAGGTGCTGAAGGAACTTTGTGGGAGAAAGGGGCTTCTTGCTCTTCTTCATTCTGATATGCTTTTTATTTTTTATTTTTTGAAAATTCTGGTTGCTGAGTGTGAGGTAGCCTGTAGAATATGACACCCAGAAGGTGGCTTTCCAGTGAATTTCAGCAACAACTCATCAGGCAGCTTCTCAGTCGTATATCATTGGGCTGGGCACTTCAGCAGGTGATTTTTGTTTGCCATCCCTAGATTAAACACATCACTAACTTTCCTGCCATCCAGGGAGCCATAGCCACACTCCCTCCAATCACATCTGAATCTCAGCCCTGGGAATAGAGGTAACTTATTCTATGTTTATTTATTCCTTAGTTACTCTGCTTCCATCCTAGAAACAGTGTCTGTTCTGTATATCTGCAATTTAAATATGCCTGGGAATTCTCTTTATTTCTTAGTAGTTAATAATTATTTTAATTACATTTTCCTATTCAGATTTTTTGGTGAGTTTTCTACTTCCTGACTGGGCCCTAGAATACAGCAATAAAATATGTTCCAAACGAATAGAAAATCTGGGGCAGAGCAAGATGGCAGAATAGAAGCCTACACCATTCATCCTGTCCCCCACTCCCCACCGCTGGAATGCTGAATTTTCACAACTCTGTACACAGAAAAGCACCACCACAAGAATCCAAAATCAAGTGAGCAATTACAGTTCCCAGTTTTAGTCTTGAATTGCTGACACACACTCCCCAAACCCCTAAGCAGTGGCCATGCGGCACAGAGAGTCTGTGCACTTGGGAAAGGCAGAGTGCGATTGAAGGATTTATATTGAACTCAGTGCTGCCCTGTCATAGTGGAGAGCAAAGCCATACTGGGCTCAGCCAGCACCTGTGCAAAGAGGCAGCACTTGAATCAGACCTAGTCAGAAGGGAATCACCCATCCCAGTGGTTGGAACTCGAGTTTCTTGGCAAGTGTCACCGCTGCAGGCCAAAGTGCTGTAGGGTCCTAGTAAAGACAGTTTAGGACACAAGGACTGCAACTCTAGGCAACTCCTAGTGCTGGGCTAGGCTCAGAGGGTGGCATTTTACTTAGAGAGACATCAGGCAGGGTTGCTACGGGAGTGATTGTGCTATGCCTCCCACAACCACAGGCTACACAGCTCACAGCAATGAAAGTAGCTCCTTCCTTCTGTCTAAGGAGAGGAGTAAAGAGGACTTTGTCTTGCATCTTGGATTCTAGGATAGGATAGGGCACTGGGCAGAATGGTGAGGTCCCCATTTCAGGCCCTAGCTGCTAGATGGCATTTCTAGAAACACCCTGGGCCAAAAGAGAACCCACTACCTTGAAGGGAATGACCCAGACCTGGCAGGAGGACTCATCACTTACTTACTAAAGAGCCCTTGGGCCCTAAATAAGCAGCAGCGATATCCAGGGAATACCCCATGGGTTCTGGGCTCTGAGACATGCTGACTACATGTATGACTTAGCACATTCCCAGATGTGGTGGCTATGGTGAAAACTCCTTTTGTTTGAGAAAAGCAGAGGGAAAAGTAAAAGATTTTGTCTTGCGCCTTAGGCATCAGCTTGTCCACAGTGGGGTAGAGCAACAAGCAGGGATTTGGGGTCTTGAGTCCAGGCCTAGGGTCTTGGACAGCATTTCTGGACCTACACTGGATGAGAGGGGAGTTCATTTCCTTGAAGGGTGTGTCCCAGGCCTGGCAGCATTCACCACAAGCTGATGGAAGAGCCCTTGGGCTTTAAGTGAACATCAGTGGTGGACTGGCAGAATTCCCCCATGGGGTGAGGGTGGTAGTGGCCACAGAAAGAGGCTTGTCTGCCTGTGGAAAGGGAAGAGAAGAGTAGGAAAAACTTAGTATTGCAGTTTGAGTGCCAGCTTAGCCACAGTAGAATAAAACATCAGGCAAATTTCTAAGGTTTGTGACTCAAATTCTGGATCCCAGATAGCATCTCTGGATCTGCCTCGGGCCTGGAGGAACTCACCACCCTGAAGGGAAGGACACAAACCTGGCTGGCTTTGCCACCTGCTGATCATAGAGTACTAGGGCCTTCGGTGAGCATAGGAGGTAGCCAGATAGTGGTTACAGCAGGCTTTGGGCAAGACCCAATGCTGTGCTGGCTTTAAGTCAGACCCAGCACAGTCCCAGTGCTGGTGGCCACAGGGTTACTTACATCACCACACCTCCAGTTCCAGTTAGCTCAGCATAGAGAGAAGGCTCTATTTGTTTGGGAGAAAGAAAGGGAAAAGAACAAGATTTTGTGCATGGTAATCCAGAGAATTGTTTCCTGTCTTATCCAAAACCACTAAAATGGTACTTCTTTGAGTCTGCAAAAACAACAGTGATATTGGGCTTGTGGCCCAAGTTCTTTCAAATACCTGGAAAGTCTTCCCAAGAAGGATGGGCACAAACAAGCTCAGACTGAAGACTACAGTAAATACCTAACTCTCCAGTGCCCAGATGCTGATGAACTTCTACAAGCATTAATATCATCCCGAAAAACAGGACCTCACCAAACTAACGAATCAGGGACCAATCCTGGAGTGACAGAGTCATGTGACCTTTTAGAGAATTCAAAATAGCTGAGGAAACTTAAGAAAACACTGAGAAAGAATTCAGAATTCTATCACATAAATTTAACGTAAAGATTGAAATAACTGAAAAGAATCAAGCAGAAATTCTAGTAATAACAGAGAACTTCCCAAACCTAGAGGCAGATATCAACATTCAACCACAGAAAGGTTATAGAACATTAAGAAGATTTAACCCAAAAAAGACTACCTCAAGGCATTTAATAATCAAACTCCGAAAGGTCAAAGATGAAGAAAGGATCCCAAAAGCAGCAAGGGAAAAGAAACAAATAACATACAATGGAGCTCCAATACATCCAGCAGCAGACTTTT
The DNA here is from genome assembly GCF_000001405.40 of Homo sapiens. NCBI lineage: Eukaryota > Metazoa > Chordata > Mammalia > Primates > Hominidae > Homo > Homo sapiens. The sequence goes on along the minus strand of NC_000011.10, from coordinate 101,663,777 downwards.
CAGTGAAAACTTTACAGGCCAGGAGAGAGTGACATGACATAATTAAGGTGCCAAAGGGGAAAAATAAAACTTTTACCCTACAATACTATATCTGGTGAATATATTCTTCAAACATAAAGGGGAAATAAAGATCTTCCCAGACAAACAAAAGCTGAGGGATTTCATCAACACCAAACCTGTCATAAAAGAAATGCTAAAGGGAGTTCTTCAATCTGAAAGAAATGTTAATGAGCAAGAAGGAAATCACCTGAAGGTACAAAACTCACTGGTAATAGTAAGCACACAGAAAAACACAGAATATTATAACACTGTGGTGTGCAAACTGTCTTTATCTTAAGTGGAAAGACTAAATGAAGCAATCATAAATAATATATTACAACAACTTTTCAAGACACAGGCAGTATAATAAAACATAAAGAGAAAACAAAAAGTTAAGCAGGGAAATGAAGTTAGAGTTTTATTAGTTTTCTTTTTGTGTGTTTTGTCTGTTTATGCACTTAGTGTTAAGTTGTCATCAGATCAAAATAATGAGTTATCAAAACTATAAAAACCCTAGAAGATAATCCAGGCAAACCATTCAGGACATAGGCCTGGGCAAAGATTTCATGACAAAGATGCCAAAAGCAATTGCAACCAAAGCAAAAATGACAAATGGGATCTAATTAAAGAGCTTCTGCACAGCAAAAGAAACTATCATCAGAGTGAACAGACAACCTGCAGGATGGCAGAAAGTTTTTGCAATCTGTCCATCTGACAGAGGTCTAATATCTTGCATCTGCAAGGAACTTAAACAAATTTACAAGACAAAACCATTAAAAAGTGGGCAAAGAACATGAGTAGACACTTCTGGAGAGAAGACATACATACAGCCAATAAACATGAAAAAAATCTCAACATCATTGATCATTAGAGAAATGTAAATCAAAACCACAGTGAGATATCATCTCACACTAACAATGGCTATTATTAAAAAGTCAAAAAACAACAAATGCTGTTGAGGTTGTAGAGAAAAAAGAACACTTTTACACTGTTGTGGGGAGTGTAAATTAGTTCAATCACTGAGGAAGACAGTATGGCAATTCCTCAAAGACCTAGAGGCAGAAATACCATTTGACCCAGCAATCCCATTACTTGGTATACACCTGAAGGAATAGAAATCCTTCTGTTATAAAGACACGTGCACACATATGTTCATTGGAGCACTATTCATAATAGTAAACACATGGAATGAACCTAAATGCCCATCAATGATAGACTAAAGAAAATGTACATATATACCATGGAATACTGTGTAACCATAAAAAGGAATGAGATCATGTCCTTTACAGTGACATGGATGCAGCTGGAGGCCATTTTCCTTAGCATACTAACTCAAGAACAGAAAACCAAATACTGCATGTTCTCACTTATAAGTGAGAGCTGAATGATGAGAACACATGAATACATGGTGGGGGTAGGGATGATACACACTAGGGCCTGTTGGGGGATTGGTAGGAAGAGGAGGAAGAGCATTAGGAAGAATAGCTAGTGGATGCTGGGATTAATACCTAGGTGATGGGTCCATCTGTACAGCAAACCACAATGGCACACATTTACCTGTGTAACAAACCTGCACATCCTGCACATGTACCCCTGAAAATAAAATTTAAAAAATTGTCTATATTTGTATTCAGTATTATCAATAAATTTATTTGAGGTTATAAGCTAGTATGGGTAATAAGCTAGTATTTGTAAACCTCATGGTAACATCAAATTAAAAATCATGCAATGCACACACACACACACAAAAACCAAGAAATTAAATCATACCACCAGAGAAAATTACCTTCATTAAAAGGGTGACAGGAAGGAAGGTAAGAAGGTAAGAAGGAAGATAAGATCACAAACAACCAGAAAACAAGTAACAAAATGGCAAGAGTAAGTCTCTAGGTATTAATAATAACATTGAATGTAAATGAACTAAACCTTCCAATCAAAAGACATACAATGGCTGAATGGATGAAAAAACAAGACCCAATGATCTGTTGCCTACAAGAAATCATTTCACCTATAAAGATACACACAGACTGAAAATAAATGGATGAGAATAGATATTCCATCTCAATGGAAAACAAAAAAAAGCAGGAATAGCTGTACTTAAATCAGACAAAATAGATTTCAATACAAAGCCTGCGAGAAGAGACAAGATCATTATATAATGTTAGTTTTCAATTGAGCAAGAGGATATAATGATTGTAAATATATATGTCCCCAGCATTAGAGTACCTAGCTATATAAAGCAAATATTATTAGAGCTAAAGGGAGAGATAGATCTCAATATAATAATAGCTGGAGATTTCAATACCCACTTTCAGCATTGGACAGATCTTCCAGAGAGAAACTCAGCAAAGAAACATTGGGCTTAATCTGCCTTATAGAACAAATGGATCTAACAGATATTTACAGAACATTTTATCCAAAGGCTGCAGAATACACTTTTTTTTCCTCAGCATGTGGATTGTTCTCAAGGACAGACCATATGTTAGGTCACAAAACAAGTCTTAAAACATTAAACAAATCTGAAATAATACCAAGCATCTTCTCTGACTACAATGGAATAAAACTAGAAATCAACAAGAATAATTTTGGAAACTATACAAGCATGTAGAAATTAAATAATATACCCATGAATGACAAGTGGGTTAATGAAGAAATTAAGAAGGAAACTGAAAAATTTCTTGAAACAAATCATAATGGAAACAACATAGCAAAACCTATGGGATACAGTGAAAGCAGTAGAGAAAAATTTATAGCTATAAGTGCCTACATTAAAAAAGAAACTTCAGCCAGGCACGGTGGCTCATGCCTGTAATCTCAGCACTTTGGGAAGCTGAGGCAGGTGAATCGCGAGGTCAAGTGTTCGAGACCAGCCTGGCCAACATGGTGAAACCCCATCTTTACTAAAAATACAAAAATTAGCTGGGTGTAGTGGCGGGCACCTGGGATTACAATCCCAGCTACTTGGGAGGCTGAGGCAGGTGAATTGCTTGAACCCAGGAGGTAGAGGTTGCAATGAGCTGAGATTGCACCACTGCACTCCAGCCTGGGTGACAGAGTGAGACTCCATCTGAAAAAAAAAAAAAAAAAAAAAAGTCCGAGCTGGGTGTGGTTGCTCACACCTATAATCCTAGCATTTTGGGAGGCTGAGGTAGATGGATCACCTGAGCTTAGGAGTTTGAGATCAGCCTGTGCAACATGGTGAAACCATATCTCTACTAAAAATACAAAAAATTAGCCAGGCATGGTGGTGCATACCTGTAATCCCAGCTACTAGGGAGGCTGAAGCATGAGAATTTCTTGAACCTGGGAGGTGGATGTTGCAGTGAGACAAGATCGTGTCACTGCACTCCTGCCTGGATGACAGAGAGAGACTCTGTCTCAAAATAAAAAAAATAAAATAAAAAAACCCTTTGTATAAATAAGCTAATGATGCCTCTGAAATAACTAGGAAAACAAGAGGAAACTAAACCAAAAATTAGTAAAAGGAAAGGAATAATAAAGATCAGAGCCAAAATAAATGAATTTGAAATGAAAACAATACAAAAGATCAATTAAACAAAAAGTTGGGATTTTTGGAAAAGATAAAATTAACTAATCTTTAGCCAGAGTAATAAAGAAAAAAAGGAGAAGACCCAAACAGGTAAAATCAGAGATCAAAAAGGAGACATTACAATTGATACCACAAAAATTCAAAGGCTCATTCGTGGCTACTATGAGCAAGTATATGCAAATAAATTGGAAAATCTAGAGAAAATGGGTAAATCCCTACCTTCTAAAATTGAACCATGAAGAAATCCAAAACCTGAACAGAGTAATAACAAGTAATGAGTTTGAAGCCATAATAAAAAGTCTCTTAGCACAGAAAAGTCCAGGATCTGATCGCTTCACTGCTGAATTTTACCAAAGATTTAAAGAACTAATATCAATCCTGCTCAAACTATTCCAAAAAATAGAGGAGGGAATAGTTCCAAACTCATTCTAGAAGGCCAGTATCACCCCAATATAACAACCAGATGAAGGCACATCAAAAACAAAAAGGAAAACTACAGGCCAATATCTTTGATGAATATTGATGTGAAAATCCTCAACAAAATACTAGCAAACCAAATTCAAGCCAAAGCATTCATCATGACCAAATGGGAATTATCCCAGAAATACAAGGTTGTTTTAGCATATGCAAATGAATCAATGTGATACATCATATCAACAGAATGAAGGATGAAAATCATTCTGCTTTTTGTCATGATAAAATATCTCAAATTCTGTCATGATAAAATCCCTTAAAAAGGGATACCTCAACACAACAAAAGGAACATAACTCAACACGATAAAAGCCATATATGACAGACCCACAGCTAATATCATACAGAAGGGGGAAAAACTGAAAGCCTTTTCTCTAAGATGTGGAACATGACAAGGATACCCACTTTCACCTCTGTTGTTCAACATAGTAATGGAAGTCCTAGGTAGAAAAATTAGACAAGAGAAAAAAACAAAGGGCACCCAAATTGGAAAGAAGTCATCCTTGTTTGCAGATGATATAATCTTATATTTGGAAAAACCTACAGACTCCACAGAAAAACTATTAGAAATAATAAATGAATTCAGTAAAGTTGGAGGATACAAAATCAGCATAGAAGAATCAGCAGCATTTCTATATGCCAACAGTGAACAATCTGAAAAAAATAAAAATGTGATCACATTTACAGTAGCCACAAACAAAATTAAATACATAAGGATGAACAAAAGAACTGAAAGATCTCTATAATAAAAACTATAAAACATTGATGAAATAAATTAAAGACAATTGAAATGGAAATAAATTAAACACAAAAATGGAAAGATATTTCATGTTTATGAATTGGAAGGATCAATATTGTTAAAATATTCGTACAACCCAAAGGAATCTATGGATGCAATGCAATCCTTATCAGAATACCAATGACATTCTTCACAGAAATAGAAAAAACAATCCTAGATTTACATGAAACCAGAAAAGATACATCATAGCTCGAGCTATCCTGAGTGAAAAGAACAAAACCAGAGGAATCACATACCTGACTTCAAGATATACTATAGACCTATAGTATCCAAAACAGCATGGTACTGGCATAAAAACACATACAGACAAATGGAACAGAATAGAGAACCCAGAAACAAATCCATACACATACAGTGAACTTATTTCCCCCAGTGTATGCCAAGAACATACACTGGGGAAAAAAACAGTCTCTTCAATAAATGATCTGGGAAAACTGGATATCCATATGCAGAAAAATGAAACTAGACACCTATCTCTTGCCATATACAAAAATCTAAGCAAAATGCATTAAAGACCTAAATCTAAGACTTCACACTACGAAACCACTACAAGAAAACATTGGGGAAACTCGTCAGTACATTGGTCTGGGCAAAAATTTTCTTGAGTAATACCCCACAAGCATAGGCAACAAAAGCCAAAATGGACAAATGGGATTACATCAAGTTAAAAAGCTTCTGTACAACAAACGATAAAATCAACACGTCACAGAATGGGAGAAAATATTTTCAAACTATCCATCTGAGAAGGGATTATATAAGGAGAATATATAAGGAATTCAAACAACTCTATAGGAAAAAAATCTAATCTAATTTAAAAATGGGCAGAAGATTTGAATAGACATTTCTTAAAAGAAGACATACAAATGGCAAACAGGTATATGAAAAAGTACTCAACAACATTTATCATCAGAGAAATGCAAATCAAAACTACAGTGAGATATCGTCTTACCCCACTTAAAACGGCTTATATCCAAAGACAGGCAATAACAAATGCTGGCAAGAACGTGGAGAAAAGGGAACCCTCGTACAATTTTGGTGATGATTAAAATTATTAAAAACATTATGAAGAACAGTTTGGAGGTTCTTCAAAAAAACTAAAAATAGAGCTACTATATGTTCCAGCAATCCCATTGCTGAGTATATACTCAAAAGAAGGGAAACGAGTTTATTGAAGAGATATCTGCACTCCCATGTTTGTTGCAGCACTGTTCATAATAGCCAAGGTTTGGAAGCCATCTAAGTGTCCATCAACAGATGAACAGATAAAGAAAATGTGGTAAATATACACAATGGACTACTATTCAGCCATAAGAAAGAATGAGATCTTGTCATCTGAAATAACACAGATGGAGCTGTTAAGTGAAATAAACCAGGCACAGCAAGACAAACATCTCATGTTGTCACTTATTTGTGGGTGTAAAAATCAAAACAATTGAATTCATGGAGATAGAGAGTAGAAGGATGGTTACCGAAGGCTGGGAAGGGTAGTAGGCAGTGGAGAGGAGGTGGGGGTGGTTAATGGGTACAAAAAATAGAAAGAATAAATATCTAATATTTGATAGCACAACAGGGTGACTATAGTCAAAATAATTTAATTGTATATTTTAAAATAGCTGAAAGAGTATAATTGTATTGTTTATAACACAAAGGACAAATGTTTGAGAGGATAGATGCTTCATTTTCTATAATGTGCTTATTTCAAATTGCATGTCTGTATCAAAATGTTTCATGTACTGTATAAATATATACACATACTATGTACCCATAAAAATAAAAAAAATTTAAAAAATAAAAATTTGCATGGGAAATCTCAGTAGAGATTTGAAGCTAAAAATAAATGGACTAAAATATGAAACACATATAATGAAAATAATATAAATAATATATAAAATATCCAAAATAAAAATGCATGGCTGGCATGGGCTTACTTAACAGAAGATTAAACATTACAGAAGAACAGGTATGAACTTAAAGGTTGGTTAGTATCTCTGTATATCTCAGAAGAAAGGAAAGAATAGAAAATGAAAAAAATAAGTTAACAGGGCTTTATGGACCTGTGGAAGAATGTGACAAAAATATAGCAAACATGTAATTGTAGTCTCACAGAGAAAGGAGAAAGAAAGAGAAAATGGGACCAAAATTAAAAAAAAAAAATAATGGCCGAAAACATATAAATGTACAGGTTCAAGAAGTTCAGCAAACTCCAAAGAAGGTAAACATAGAAAATATCATTCTGGCCGGGCACAGTGGCTCACACCTGTAATCCCAGCACTTTGGGAGGCCGAGGTGGGCAGATCATGAGGTCAGGAGTTCGAGAATAGCCTGGCCAACAAGGTGAAACCCCATCTCTACTAAAAATACAAAAATTAGCCAGGCATGGTGGCGTGTGCGTGTAATCTCAGCTACTTGGGAGGCTGAGGCAGGAGAATTGCTTGAATCCGGGAGGCAGAGATTGCAGTGAGCCGAGAATATGCCTCTGCACTCCAACCTGGGTAACAGAGCAAGACTCTGTCTCAGAAAGAAAAAAAAAATATTATTCTTAGGCACGTCATAGTTAAACTGCTGAAAGCTAACGATAGAAAATCTTGAAAGCAGACAAAAATGATTTGTTGTATAAAGGGTAACAGTAATATGAATGGTTGCTGCCTTCTCAGAACTAATGGAGAACCAGAATATCAGGAACTGCATCTTTAAAGTACTGAAAGAAAAGAAAAAGAAAGAAAGGTCAACTAAGAGTTCTATATCCCAAGAAAATATACTTCAAAATAAAAATAAAGGTAAAATAAACAATTTTCAGATGAGTAAAAACTGAGAAAATTCTTCACTAGCAGGTCTGCACTATAAGAAATACTGAAGGGATTTCTTTAGCAGAGAAACAGAGAAAATCACATCTATAGTTGGAAATGAAGAGCACTGGAAATTTAGAAACTTAGTTTTCTTTTAATTTGCCTAAAACACATGAAATCAAATGAAACAAAGTTTATAATGTATGAAGATCTATAATATATAAAAACCATAACACAAAGAAGGGAGTAAATTGAATGATAATATTGTAACATTCTTACATTTTACAAGAAGTGGTACAATATTAATGTTAACTAGTTCAATATTGTGACAGGTTAAAGGTGCATAGTGCAATCCCTAAGGCAGCAATTTTTAAAAAAGGGTTATGCCCAAATAGTCAAAAGGAATACAAATATTCTGTTAATCCTAAATAAAGGGAGATGGAGGGGAGAAACAGAGTGACAAATAAAAAACAAATAATATAACCCTTTCTCCTACATTTTTGTTTTGTTTGGGCTCTTAGTGAAAACATGCTCACAGATACACTCCAAAATAATGTTTTGTAGCTATCTGGGTATCTCTTATCCCTGTCAAGTTAGCACATAATATTAACCATGAAAATGGGATATCTTTCTGTTTATTTATGTCTTCTTCAATTTCTTTCATCAATGTCTTACAGTTTTCAGTGTACAGATCTTTCACCTCCTTGGTTAAGTTTATTCCTAAGTATTTTATTTTTTGATGCTATTGTAAATGAGATCATTTTCTTAATTATTTTATTGAAATAGTCCATTGTTATTGTGTAGAAACATGACTGATTTTTGTATGTTGATTTTGTATGCTGCAACTTTACTAAATTCATTTATTCACTTAACTGTTTTTTGGTAAAGTCTTTTGAGTTTTCAATATATAGATTATGTCATCTTCTTTCTTTCTAATTTTTATGACTTTTACTTCTTTTTGTTTCCTAATTGCTCTAATTAGAACTTCCAGTGCTATGATTTTTAGAAGTTGCAAGAGTGTGCATCTTTGTCCCGTTTCTTATATAGAAGAACACCTTTCAACTTTTTAGTGCGGAGTATAATGTTAGCAATGAATTTTTCTATATCTAATTTGTTGAGAATTTTTTTTAATCATGAAAATAAATAGAAAATGGATTTTGTTTAATGCTTTTTCTGCATCTATTGATATGACTGCATGGTTTTGTCCTTCATTCTGTGAATGTGTTGTGCCACATTTACATATGTTGAACTATCCTGCACCCACTTGATCCTTTTAATGTGCTGTTGAATTTGGTTTGCTTATATCTTGTGGAAGATTTTGCATCTATCTTCATTAGGGAAATTGGTCTGTACTTTTTTTTTCATGTGATGTCCTTGTCAGGGTAATGTTGGCTTCATAAAAAGAGTTTGGAAGTATTTCTCCTCTTCAATTTTTTGGAAGACTTTGAAATGAATTGGTATTATTTCTTCTTTAAATATTTAATAGAATTCACCAGTCCGTCTGGTCCTGGACTTTATTTGTTGAGAGATTTCTGATTACTAATCCAGTGTCCTTACTTGTTATTGGTCTATTCATATTTCAATTTCTTCATGATTTAGTTTTGGAAGTTTGTAAGTTTCTAGGAATGTATCCATTTCTCCGATGTCATACAATTTGTGTGCATCTAGCTGTTCATAGCAGTCTCTTATAATCTTTTAATTTTCTGTGGTATCAGATGTAATGTCTCTTCTTTCATTCCTGATTTTACTTGAGTCTTCTCTTTCTTTAGCTAAAGATTTGTTAGTTTTGTTTATATTTTCCAAAAAAAACCAACTTTAATTTCATTGATCTTTTTTATTGTTTTTGATTTTTTTAGTCCTTATTTTAATGATTTCTTCTTGGATGTGTATTATTTTTTCTTTATGCTGACTTTGGGCTTAGTTTGTTCATTTTAGTACCTTGTGGTTTAATATTAGATTATTTGAGAGTTTTCTTTTTTCTTAATGTAGGTGTTTATCTTCATAAACTTCCCTTTCACTGCTTTTGCTGCATCCCTTATGTTTTGATCCATTGTGTTTCCATTTTTATTTCTTTCAAGAACTTTTAAATTTCTCTTTTGATATCTTCTTTAACTTATTGGTTGTTCAGGAGTGTGCTGTTTAATTTCCATGTATTTGTTGATTTTACGGTTTTCTTCCTCATACTCATTTCTAATTTAACACTATTACAGTCAGAAAGAATACTTGATACAATTTCAATCTTCTTAAGTTTAAGACTTGTTTTGTGACCTAACATATGATCTGTCCTGGAAAATTTCCACGTTTGCTTAAGAAGAATGTGTATTCTGCTGCTCATGGATGGAATGTTCTGTATGTCTGTTAGGTTCATTTGGCCTAAAGTGTAGTTTAAGTCCAATGATTCCTTACTGATCTTCTGTCTGGGCAATCTATCTGTTGTTGAAAGTGCAGCGTTGAAGTCCCTTACTATTATTTTATTGCTGTCTGTTTCTCCTTTCAGTTCTGTTAATATTTGCCTTATATATTTAACTGCTTCTAAATATATATGTTGGGTGTATATATATTTTCAATTGTTGTATCTTTTTAATGAATTGACAATTTTATCATTATTTAATGACCGTCTTTGGAAGTTAATAGCACTTCAGTGTGAATATGTTTACTCATTATATTAGTTGTCATCTATAGATGTGCAACAGAACTTAAGTGGCTTAAAACAATGAACATTTATTATCTCTTAGTTTCTGTTGTTCTGAAATCTGGGTATAACTTAAGTGAGCATCTCTAGCCTAAATTGTCTTACGAAGCTACAGTCAAGCTGTTGGTCAGGTTTATGGTCATCTCAAGACTTGACTGGAGCTGAAGGATTCACTTATAAGATCACTTACGTGTTTGTTGGCAGACCTCAGTTCCTCACTGGCTATTGGCCAATTCTTTACCACATGAACCTCCCATTAGGCAGCCCAAGTGTCCGTATAAAAGTCAACTAACTCCTCCTGGACTGAGCTGTCCAAGAGGGAGCACGGGCATGTGTGTGAAAGAGCTCCCAAGATGGCAGTCACAGGCTTTTTATAATCAAATCTTGGAATTGATATACTGTCATTTCTGTCATATTCTATTTATTAGAAGACAGTTTCTAAGTCTTGCCCAAACTCCAGGAAAGGGGATTACACAAGGGTATGAATACCAGGAAGTAGGGATCATTGGAGGCCATTTTAGAGCCTGCCCAGCACATTCATATTTTACTCAATAATAGGCATTATTCATTAGGTAGCTGGGCCCTGAGTACTGGCTGGTAAGGTGAATAATAGACACATATTTGTGTTGTAGTTAGAAATGACAGCATTGCTGATTAAGTGCCACCTCTGAAATGAATCATATAATGTACCACTATAGAGTCATTATAATTCAAATGATACTATAAATTTGAAAACACATTGAAATCATGGGCATAATCAAATTTGACTCCAAAACTGACTCATACAATCTAAATTCTCATACCAATAAAGATTTTCAAAGGTTTCAGAATACATACAGAGATTATTTTTTTTAATTGCCATGACAAAATATTTTATAACTACAAGTTGCAGAAATACTTCTCAGAATATAAATAGCTTAAAGTAGAATATTTTGAATACATGCAGAGGTTACATGACTTATCCTAATATCAAGTATTAATAAAAAGAATATTAATTATAAATTTTTCTTAATGCCTTATACTAATATTAAATATTTAATATTAAATATAATATGTGACAGATATTAAATACTTATTAATTAATAATTGACATTAATATAAATATTAATAAACAGAACACTAATTCTAATTTTTTTCTTAAAGAAATCAACCTTCTAAGGTAGTATCAGCTTAATAGGTACTATCTCAGTGTCAGCAGCTCTGGCCCAAAATAATACCACTAAAGTAAATAGTCGTGCCTTGTTCATTTCACATTTAATGTCTGGGAACACTTTTAGCAAGGAGCTAGATTACCCAAGCAGTAAGTTATGCTGGTAGTTAACTATGAAGTCGTAAAATTTGTCTGTTTTTCCTACAGCTTCAGGGACTAATCTTTCTCAAACTCATTTGCTGGCCCTTTGTCTTTGGCTTGATTGCTAAATATTGTAGTGCTTCAGGGCTGGGTCATGAGCTTTCTTCCCCTCTTAAATCCTCTCCAGAGTAAGTCTTAGTAAACTCCCTCACTTCAAATATCCCTATATTATAATGATTTCCAAGGTAAATCCTCACACTGAACAGCTCCTCTACATTTTAGACTCGTAGGCCTAATAGCCTACTAAATATCTGTATTTGTACATCAAATCTCATTAGCTAACGTAAAAATTTACTTGTTCCCTAAAACCTATTCCTTTCCCAGGCTTCCCATCTCAGTGAATGACCTCATTCACCTAATCACTCAAGCCAAAAATCTAGTTTTTTTTCACCTTTCACATCCAATATACAAGTAAGTCATGTTAGTTTTATCTCCAATACTACCCATAGACTTGTACGGACACTTGCCCTAGGCTTTTGTCTTTGTGGACCCCACTAGAAGTAATTGCCTGGAGAATTTTATAAGTCTCTCTGCAACATCTGAAATATGTTTGGGTTGGCAGTACCATTTTAATAGGCTATTCCAAGCCCAGAATGGGAGGCATATACGTCCCAGTTCCTGTTTCTCTCTCTTGTGCTCTTCTCTTATTTTACCTCCCAAAACACATGGGCTTTATCAGTTGCTCCTGGAAGCTCTGGAACTTGCACCCATGAGGTTATTCCATGGGTCCCCGGCCAGGCCCTGATTCCAGTAGACTACCTCTGATTCTAGTCTAGTGAATGGGTCTCTCCCATTGGCCCAGAGATTGGGCCACCAGAATCATGCTGAAACATTGATTTGAAGTGATTCCCACTCATGTTGGACACAAGACAATTTAAGGGTTTGAGTTGTATTTGTAGGCTTGTGCATGGGATCTTGCTATCTGTGTACCAAGGTACCACTTCTGGTCTATAGTACTTGAATATATCAGGGGGGCAATAGATATCCTTAACCCTGTATGTCCCCACTGCTGGAACTGAGGGTAATCACCCCCTCTGCAGACTCTGTAGCACAAGTCAAGTAGTTCTCTAGGGGTGGTTATGCCTATAACTTCCTATGGCCTTTAGGACTGTTGTCCTGCAATGCCAATGACTTAATGGCCTTTAGGACTGTTGTCCTGCAATGCCAATGACTTAATGTTCTTTCTTGCCTTCAGTTAATGCAAAGAATCTGTGCTTTCCTAGGTTGATCTCTAATCATGCTGTATAAGGGATGATCTTTTTTACAAAATTAAGACCACTGTTAATATATGTGTACTTAAGATATCTTTTCACTTTCTTTATACTTGATAAACTTGTCTCTTTACTTTCTTAATATTGTCATTTGATAAACAAGTTATTACATTTAATGTATTAGAATATATCAAAATTTTATTAAAAGTTAATTCTTTTTCTGTCCTAAGAAACATTTGCCTATCCTCAATGCCATGAAGGTGTTCATGTGTTTTTCTCTAAAAGTTTTATAGTTTTACCTTTAAAATTTAGATTTACAGTCCATTTGGAATTGACTTACATGCTTAGTATAAAGAATAGTCAATATCTGTACTATTTGTATATGGATATCCAATTAACTCAGCACCACCTATTGAAAAGAGCATTCTTTTTAAAAAATATTTTCAACCTCTATTCTAAGTTCAGGGGTACATGTGCAGGATGTGCAGGTTTGTTACATAGGTAAACTTGTGCCATAGTGGTTTGCTGTACTGATCATCCCGTCCCCCAGGTATTAAGCCCAGCATCCATTAGCTATTCTTCCTGATGTTCTCCCTCCTTCCACCCCCCACCCCTCCGACAGGCCCCAGTGTGTGTTTCCACCAATGTGTCCATGTGGAAAAGAACATTCTTTCCCATTGTTTTGCAGTACCATTTATATCATAAATCAAGTCTCTCTCTCTCTATATATATATGTCTGATATATAGAGATATATATATGTATGTCTGATTTTGGACTCTATATATGTGTATATATGCATATTATAAATATATGTGTATATATACATATTATAAATATATGTGTATATATACATACGTATATATTTATGTCTGATTTTGGACTCTAATCTATTTCATTGGGCTATTTCTCTGTCTTAGCAATAACACTATATCGTGTGATTACAGTAGCTTTTTATTAAGCCTTGACATATGGGAGTTTGAATCCTTCAACTTTGGTATGTTACTTTAAAATCATGACTAGCATTGGCCATTGGCATTTTCATGTAAATTTTAGAATCAGCTTGTTAGTTTCTTCAAAATAATCTGTTGGTATTTTTAAAATTTTGAGCTTGCGGCTAATGTATACATTGGTTTGGGGAGAATTACCATCTTAAGAATATTGAATCTTCTACTTTATGACAATGTTATAACTATGAATTCATAAAATATTTGTTTTTCTAAGTAATGTTTCTTAGGTTGTGGTGTTGCAGTCTTGAGCATCTTTCGTTATTTTATTCATGGGTAATTGTTATTTTAATGCTGTCTTTAATGGCCTCATTTAATTTTTAAATTGTGCATTGATATTATACGAATTATAATTAATTGTCTTACATTGGCATCACATCCAGCAACCTTTCTAACTTCCGTTGCTAAGTATAATGGGATTGTCTTTTGGATTTGGATTTTTGTTGACAAAAATAATGTTATCTGAAAACAATCACAGTTCATTTCTTTCTTTCCAATTTTTATAACTTTCATTTATTTTAATTGTTGTGTATTTTTTTTTTGGCTATTGCATTGGTTAGAACCTCCAATACAATGATGAATAGAAGTGTTAATAACAAGTATTCTGTGTCACTCCTGATTGCAATGGGAAGATTTCAGTGCATATTAAGAATGACTTTGTTCAGATTGTGCCACTGCCCTCCAGCCTGGGTGACAGAGGGAGACTCCATCTAAAAAAAAATAAAAATAAATTTGCTATTGGTTTATGTGAATTTAGGATGTTCCCCTATGTTCTGAATTTCCTAAGAGCTTTAAATCATGAACAGGTATTAAATTTTATCAAATACTTTTTTGCATCATTTAAGATTGTTACAGACACTCCTTGACATACTATGGGATTATGTCCTAATAAACGCATCATAAGTTAAAAACATTGTAAGTCAAAAATGCACTTAACCTACTGAATATCATAGATTATCCTACCTACCTTAAGTGTGCTTAGAATATTAGCCTACAATTGGGAAGACTTATCTGACAAGAAGTCTATTTTATAATAAAGTCCTGAATATATCATGTAATTTATTAAATACTGTACTGAAAGTGAAAAACAGAATGGTTCCATGGGTACTTAAAGTATGGCATCTACTGAATGCATATTGTTTTTGCATCACCCTAAATGTGAACCATCATAAGTTGGGAGCCCTAAGTATGATTTTTCTCCTTTATTATTTTAATGTGATCAAACACAGAGATTGCTTGCTGAATGTTAAGTCATCCTTGCATTGATGAAATAAACTTAATTTGGGAATATGAATATTATTTGCTAATATTTATTTACAAGTTTACATCTGTGACTTTTTAAAATTATTTTATTTATTAAGTTCTGGTGTACATGTGCAAAATGTGCAAGTTTGTTACATAGGTAAATATGTGCCGTGGTGGTTTGCTGCACCTATTCGCCCATCACCTGAGTATTAAGCATGCCTGAGTTATTTTTTCTGATGCTCTCCCTCCCCACCAGTACCCCACCACAGGCCTCAGTAGTGTGTTGTTCCCCTCCCTGTGTACATATGTTCTCATTGTTCGGCCTCCACTTATGAGTGGGAACATGTGGTGTTTGGTTTTCTGTTCCTGTGTTAGTTTGCTGAGGATAATGGCTTGTAGCTCTATCCATGTCCCTGCAAAGGACATGATCTCATTCCTTTTTATGGCTGCATAGTATTCCATGGTGTATATGTACCACATTGTTCTTTATTCAGTCTATCATTGATGGGCATTTAGGTTGATTTCATGTCTTTGCTATTGTGAATAGCACTGCAATGAACATACATATGCGTGTATCTTTATAACAGAAGGATTTATACTCCTTTGGGTATATACCCAGTAATGGGATTGCTGGGTCATATGGTATTTCTAGTTCTAGGTCTTTGAGTAATTGCCACACTGTCTTCCACAATGGTTGAACTAATTTACATTCCCACGAACAGTGTAAAAGCATTCCTATCTCTCTGCAGCATCTCCAGCATCTGTTGTTTCATTTCATTTCTTTTCTTTTCTTTTCTTTTCTTTTCTTTTCAGACAGTCTTACCCGGTTGCCTGGGCTGGAGTGCAGTGGCACAATCTTGGCTTTTGGCTTACTTGAACCTCCACTTCCTGGGTTCACGTGATTCTCCTGCCTCAGCCTCATGAGTAGCTGGGACTACAAGTGTATGACCACGCCCGGCTAATTTTTGTATTTTTAGTAGAGGTGGAGTTTCACTATGTTGGCCAGGCTGGTCTCGAACTCTTGACTTCAGGTGATCCACCCACTTTGGTCTCCGAAAGTGCTGGAATTACAGGTGTGAGCCACTGTCCCTGGCCTGTTGTTTCTTGGCTTTTTAATAATCTCCATTCTGACTGGCATGAGATGGTATCTCACTGTGGTTTTGATTTGCATTTCTCTAATGATCAGCGATGTTGAGCTTTTTTTCATGTTTGTTAGCCACATAAATGTCTTTTTTTGAGAACTGTCTGTTCATGTCCTTTGCCCGCTTTTTAATGAGGTTGTTTTTTTTTCCTTGTAAATTTGTTTAAATTCCTTGTAGACTCTAGATACTAGACCTTTGTCCGATGAATAGGTTGCAAAAGTGTTTTCCCATTCTGTAGGTTGTCCACTCTCATGATAGTTTCTTTTGCTGTGCAGAAGCTCTTTAGTCTAATTAGATCACATCTGTCAATTTTTGCTTTTGTTGCAATTGCTTTTGACATTTTCATCATAAAATCTTTGCCTGTGCCTATGTCCTGAATAGTGTTGCCTAGATTTTCTTCTAGGGTTTTTATAGCTTTGGGTTTTACATTTAACTCTTCAATCCATCTTGAGTTAGTTTTTGTATGAGGTGTAAGAATGGGATCCAGTTTCAATTTTCTGCTTATGGCTAACCAGTTCTCCCAGCAGCATTTATTAGATGGGGAATCCTTTCCCCACTGCTTGCTTTTGTCAGGTTTGTTGAAGATCACATGGTTGTAGATGTGCAGTCTGATTTCTGAGTTCTCTATTCTGTTCCATTGATTTATGTGTCAGTTCTTATACAAGTACCATGCTGTTTTTGTTACTGTAACCTTGTAGTATAGTTTGAAGTCATGTAGGGTGAGGCCTCCAGCTTTGTTCTTTTTGCTTAGGATTGTCTTGGCTATACGGCTCATTTTGGCACCATGTAAAATTTGAAATAGTTTTTTCTGTTTCTGTGAAGAATGTCAATGGTAGTTCAAAGGGATAGCATTGAATCTATAAATTACCTTGGGCAGTATGGCCATTTTCATGATATTGATTCTTCCTATCTATGAGCATGGAATGTTTTACCATTTGTTTGCACCCTCTCTTATTTTCTTGAGCAGTGGCTTGTAGTTCTCCTTTAAGAGGTCCTTCACATCCCTCGTTAGTTGTATTCATAGGTATTTTATTCTCTTTGTAGCAATTGTGAATGGGAGTTCATTCATGATTTGGCTCTCTGCTTGTCTGTTGTTGGTGTACAGGAATACTTGTAATTTTTGCACCTTGATTTTGTATTCTGAGACTTTGCTGAAATTGCTTATCAGTTTAAGAAGCTTTTGGGCTGAGAGGATGGGGTTTTCTAGATAAAGGATCACATCATCTGCAAACAAAGATAATTTGACTTCCTCTCTTCCTATTTGAATACACTTTATCTCTTTCTCTTGCCTGATTGCTGTGGCCAGATCTTCCAATACTATGTTGAATAGAAATGGTGAAGGAGGTCATCCTTGTCTTGTGCCGGTTTTCAAGGTGAATGCTTCCAGCTTTTTCCCATTCACTACGATAAATGGCTCTTATTAAATTTGAGGTATGTTTCATCAATACCTAGTTTATTGAGAGTTTTTAACATAAAGAGGTGTTGAATTTTATTGAACACCTTTTTTGTGTCTATTGAGATAGTCATGTGGTTTTTATCTTTAGTTCTGTTTATGTGATGAATTATGTTTATTGATTTGCATATGTTGAACTGGCCTTGCATCCTGGGGATGAAGCCGACTTGATTGTGATGGATTAGCTTTTGATGAGCTGCTGGATTTGGTTTGCCAGTGTTTTATTGAGGATTTTTGCATCAATGTTCATCAGGGATATTGGCTTGATGTTTTCTCCTTTTGTTGTATGTCTGCCAGGTTTTGGTATTAGCATGATGCTGGCCTCATAAAATGAGTTAGGGAAGATTCCCTCCTTTTCAACTGTTTGGAACAGTTTCATAAGAAATGTTACCAGCTTCTCTTTGTACCTCTGGTAGAATTCAGCTGTAAATCCATCTGGTCCTGGGCTATTTTTGATTGGTAGTCTATTTATTACTGCCTCAATTTCAGAATTCATTATTGTTCTATTCAAGGATTCAACTTCTTACTGGTTCAGTCTTGGGAGGGTGTATGTGTCCAGGAATTAATCCATTTCTTCTACTAATATGATTTCTAGTTTATTTGCATACAGGTGTTTATAGTATTCTCTCAAGGTTGTTTGTATTTCCATGGGGTCCATGATGATATCCCCTTTATCATTCTTTATTATCTATTTGACTTTCTCTCTTTTCTTCTTTATTAATCTAGCTAGCAGTCTATCTATTTTATTAATGTTTTCAAAAAACCAGCTCCTGGATTCGTTGATTTTTTTTGAAGGGCTTTTTTTTTGTGTCTGTATCTCTTTCAATTCAGCTCCGACCTTGTTATTTCTTGTCTTCTATTACTTTTTGGGTCTGTTTGCTCTTGGTTCTCTAGTTCTTTTTGTGTGATGTTCGGATGTTTTATATGAGACCTTTTTGATGCGGGCATTTAGTGCTATAAATTTCCTTCTTTTTCTTTTTTTTAATCTCTTTTTTAGATTATACTTTAAGTTCTAGGGTACGTGTGCACAACGTGCAGGTTTGTTACATACCTATACATGTGCCGTGTTGGTTTGCTGCACCCATTAACTGGTCATTTACATTAGGTATTTCTCCTAATGCTATCCCTCTCCCATCCCCCCACCCACAACAGGCCCTGATGTGTGATGTTCCCTGCCCTGTGTCCAAGTGTTCTCATTGTTCAGTTCCCACCAATGAGTGAGAACATGTGGTGTTTGGTTTTCTGTCCTTGCGATAGTTTGCTCCGAATGATGGTTTCCAGCTTCATCCACATCCCTACAAAGGACATGAACTCGTCCTTTTTTATGACTGCATAGTATTCCATGGTGTATATGTGCCACATTTTCTTAATGCAGTCTATCATTGATGGACATTTGGGTTGGTACCAGGTCTCTGCTATTGTGAATAGGGCTGTAAGAAACATACGTGTGCGTGTGTCTTGATAGCAGCATGATATATAATCCTTTGGGTATATACCCAGTAATGGGATGGCTGGGTCAAATGGTATTTCTAGTTCTAGATCCTTGAGGAATCGCCACTCTGTCTTCCACAATGGTTGAACTAGTTTACAGTCCCACCAGCAGTGTAAAAGCATTCCTATTTCTCCACATCCTCTTCAGCACCTGTTGTTTCCTGACTTTTTAATGATCACCATTCTAACTGGTGTGAGATGGTATCTCATTGTGGTTTTGATTTGCATTTCTCTGATGAAATGATGATGAGCATTTTCTCATGTGTCTGTTGGCTACATAAATGTCTTCTTTTGAAAAGTGTCTATTCATATCCTTTGCCCACTTTTTGATGGGGTTGTTTGATTTTTTCTTCTACATTTGTTTAAGTTCCTTGTAGATTCTGGAAAATAGCCCTTTGTCAGATGGGTAGATTGCAAAAATGTTCTCCCATTCTGTAGGTTGCCTGTTCACTCTGATGGTAGTTTCTTTTGCTGTGCAGAAGCTCTTTAGTTTAATTAGATCCCATTTGTCTATTCTGGCTTTTGTTGCCATTGCTTTTGGTGTTTTAGTCATGAAGTCCTTGCCCATGCCTATGTCCTGAATGGTATTGCCTAGGTTTTCTTCTAGGGTTTTAATGGTTTTGGGTATAACATTTAAGTCTTTAATCCATCTCGAATTAATATTTGTATAAGGTAAAAGGAAGGGATCCAGTTTCAGCTTTCTACATATGGCTAGCCAGTTTTCCCAGCACCATTTATTAAATAGTGAATCATTTCCCCATTGCTTGTTTTTGTCAGGTTTGTCAAAGATCAGATGGTTGTAGATGTGTGGTGTTATTTCCGAGGACTCTGTTCTGTTCCATTGGTCTATATGTCTGTTTTGGTACCAGTACCATGCTGTTTTGGTTACTGTAGCCTTGTAGTATAGTTTGAAGTCAGGTAGCGTGATGACTCCTGCTTTGTTCTTTCTGATTAATATTGTCTTGGCAATGTGGGCTCTTTTTTGGTTCCATGTGAACTTTAAAGTAGTTTTTCTGAATTCTGTGAAGAAAGTCATTGGTAGCTTGATGGGGATGGCATTGAATCTGTAAATTACCTTGGGCAGTATGGCCATTTTCACAATATTGATTCTTCCTACCCATGAGCATGGAATTTTCTTCCATTTGTTTTTGTCCTCTTTTATTTCGTTGAGCAGTGGTTTGTAGTTCTCCTTGAAGAGGTCCTTCATATCCCTTGTAAGTTGGATTCCTAGGTATTTTATTCTATTTGTAGCAATTGTGAATGGGAGTTCACTCATGATTTGGCTCTCTATTTGTCTGTTATTGGTGTATAAGAATGCTTGTGATTTTTGCACATTGGTTTTGTATCCTGAAACTGCTGAGGTTGCTTATCAGCTTAAGGGGATTTTGGGCTGAGACGATGGGGTTTTCTAAATATACAATCATGTCATCTGCAAACAGGGACAATTTGACTTCCTCTTTTCCTAATTGAATACCCTTTATTTCTTTCTCTTGCCTAATTTCCCTGGCCAGAACTTCCAACAGTATGTTGAATAGGAGTGGTGAGAGAGGGCATCCCTGTCTTGTGCCAGTTTTCAAAGGGAATGCTTCCAGTTTTTGCCCATTCAGTATGATACTCACTGTGGGTTTGTCATAAATAGCTCTTATTATTTTGAGATACGTTCCATCAATACCTAGTTTATTGAGAGTTTTTAGCATGAAGGGCTGTTGAACTTTGTCAAAGGCCTTTTCTGCATCTATTCAGATAATTATGTGGTTTTTGTCGTTGGTTCTGTTTATGTGATGGATTACATTTATTGATATGCATATGTTGAACCAGCCTTACATCCCAGGGATGAAGCCAACTTGATCTTGGTGGATAAGCTTTTTGATGTGCTGCTGGATTTGGTTTGCCAGTATTTTATTGAGGATTTTCGCATCGATGTTCTTTAGGGATGTTGGTCTAAAATTCTCTTTTTTGTGTGTGTCTTTGCCAGGCTTTGGTATCAGGATGATGCTGGCCTCATAAAATGAGTTAGAGAGGATTCCCTCTTTTCCTATTGATTGGAATAGTTTCAGAAGGAATGGTACCAGCTCCTCTTTGTACCTCTGGTAGAATTCGGCTGTGAATCCGTCTGGCCCTGGACTTTTTTGGTTGGTAGGCTATTAATTATTGCCACGATTTCAGAGCCTGTTATTGGCCTATTCAGTGATTCAACTTCTTCCTGGTTTAGTCTTTGGAGGGTGTATGCGTCCAAGAATTTATCTGTTTCTTTTAGATTTTCTAGTTTATTTGCATAGAGGTGTTCATAGTATTCTCTGATGGTAGTTTGTATTTCTGTGGGATCAGTGGTGATATCCCCTTTATCATTTTTTATTGCATCTGTTTGATTCTTCTCTCTTTTCTTCTTTATTAGTCTTGCTAGTGGTCTATCAATTTTGTTGATCTTCTCAAAAAACCAGCTCCTGGATTCATTGATTTTTTTTTGAAGGGTTTTTTGTGTCTCTATTTCCTTCAGTTCTGCTCTGATCTTAGTTATTTCTTGCCTTTTGCTAGCTTTTGAATGTGTTTGCTCTTGCTTCTCTAGTTCTTTTAATTGTGATGTTAGGGTGTCAATTTTAGATCTTTTCTGCTTTCTCTTGTGGGCATTTAGTGCTATAAATTTCCATCTACATACTGCTTTAAATGTGTCCCAGAGATTCTGGTATGTTGTGTCTTTGTTCCCATTGGTTTCAAAGAACATCTTTATTTCTGCCTTCATTTCGTTATGTACCCAGCAGTCATTCAGGAGCAGGTTGTTCAGTTTCCATGTAGTTGAGCAGTTTTGAGTGAGTTTCTTAATCCTGAGTTCTAATTTGATTGCACTGTGGTCTGAGAGACAGTTTGTTGTGATTTCTATTCTTTTACATTTGCTGAGGAGTGCTTTACTTCCAACTATGTGGTCAATTTTGGAATAAGTGCGATGTGGTGCTGAGAATAATGTATATTCTGTTTTTTGGGGTGGAGAGTTCTGTAGATGTCTATTAGGTCTGCTTGGTGCAGAGCTGAGTTCAAGTCCTGGATATCCTTGTTTACCTTCTGTCTCCTTGATCTGTCTAATATTGAGAGTGGAGTGTTAAAGTCTCCCTTTATTATTGTGTGGGAGTCTAAGTCTCTTTGTAGGTCTCTAAGGACTTGCTTTATGAAGCCGGGTGCTCCTGTATTGGGTACGTATATATTTAGGATAGTTAGCTTTTCTTGTTGAAATGATCCCTTTACCGTTATGTAATGGCCTTCTTTGTCTCTTTTGATCTTTGTTGGTTTAAAGTCTGTTTTATCAGAGACTAGGATTGCAACCCCTGCATGTTTTTGCTTTCCATTTGCTTGGTAGATCTTCCTCCATCCTTTTATTTTGAGCCTATATATGTCTCTGCATATGAGATGGGTCTCCTGAATACAGCACCCTGATGAGTCTTGACTCTTTATCCAATTTGCCAGTCTGTGTCTTTTAATTGGGACATTTAGCCCATTTACTTTTAAGGTTAATATTGTTGTGTGTGAATTTGATCCTGTCATTATGATGTTAGCTGGTTATTTTGCCCTTTAGTTGATGCAGTTTCTTCCTAGCATCGATGATCTTTACTATTTGGCATGTTTCTGCAGTGGCTAGTACTGGTTGTTCCTTTCCATGTTTAGCGCTTCCTTTAGGAGCTCTTGTAAAGTAGACCTGGTGGTGACAGAATCTCTCAGCATTTGCTTCTCTGTAAAGGATTTTATTTCTCCCTCACTTATGAAGCTTAGTTTGGCTGGATATGAAATTCTGGGTTGAAAATTCTTCCCTTTAAGAATGTTGAATATTGGCCCCCACTCTCTTCTGGCTTGTAGAGTTTCTGCCGAGAGACCCTCTTTTAGTCTGATGGGCTTCTCTTTGTGGGTAACCTGACCTTTCTCTCTGGATGCCCTTAACATTTTTTCCTTCATTTCAGCCTTGGTGAATCTGACAATTATGTGTCTTGGGGTTGCTCTTCTCGAGGAGTATCTTTGTGGTATTCTCTGTATTTCCTGAATTTGAATGTTGGCCTGCCTTGCTAGGTTGGGGAAGTTTTCTTGGATAATATCCTGAATAGTGTTTTCCAACTTGGTTGCATTCTCCCTGTCACTTTCAGGAACACCAATCAAACCTAGATTTGGTCTTTTCACATAGTCTTATATTTCTTGGAGGTTTGTTCATTTCTTTTTACTCCTTTTTCTCTAAACTTCTCTTCTTACTTTATTTCATTAATTTGATCTTCAGTTACTGATGTCCTTTGTTCCACTGGATCAAATTGTCTATTGAAGCTTGTGCATGCGTCACGTAGTTCTCGTGCCATGGTTTTCAGCTCCATCAGGTCATTTAAGGTCTTCTCTACACTGTTTATTCTAGTTAGCCATTCATAGTTTTTCAAGGTTTTTACCTTCCTTGTGATGGGTTCGAACATCCTCCTTCAGCTCAGAGAAGTTTGTTATTAGTGACTTTCTGAAGCCTACTTCTGTCAACTTGTCAAAGTCATTCTCCATCCAGCTTTGTTCCGTTGCTGGTGAGGAGCTGCGATCCTTTGGAGGAGAAGGGGCACTCTGATTTTTAGAATTTTCAGCTTTTCTGCTCTGGTTTCTCCCCATCTTTGTTGTTTTATCTACCTTTAGTCTTTGATGATGGTGACCCACAGATGGAGTTTTGGTGTGGATATCTTTTTTGTTGATGTTGATGCTATTCCCTTCTGTTTGTTAGTTTTCCCTCTAGCAGTCAGTTCCCTCAGCTGCAGGTCTGTTGGAGTTTGCTGGAGGTCCACTCCAGGTGCTGTTTGCCTGGCTATCACCAGTGAAGGCTGCAGAACAGCAAATATTGTAGAACAGCAAATATTGCTGCCTGATCCTTCCTCTGGAAGCTTTGTCTCAGAGGGGCACCCAGCTGTATGAGGTGTCTATTGGCCCCTACTGGGAGATGTCTCCAAGTTAGGCTATAGAGGGGTCAGGAACCCACTTGAGGAGGCAGTCTATCTGTTCTCAGATCTCAAACACCATGCTGGGAGAACCACTGCTCTCTTCAGAGCTGTCAGACAGGGACATTTAAGTCTGCAGAAGTTTCTGCTGCTGTTTGTTCAGCTATGCCCTGCCCCCAGAGGTGGAGTCTGCAGAGGTAGGCGGGCCTCATTGAGCTGCAGTGGGCTTCACCCAGTTTGAGCTTCCTGGCCACTTTGTTTACCTACTAAAGCCTCAGCAATGGCGGATGCCCCTCCCCCTGCCAGGCTTGCCGCCTTATGCGGGATATAATCTCCTGGTGTGCCGTTTGCTAAGACAGTTGGAAAAGTGCAGTATTTAGGGCGCAGTGTCCTGATTGTCCCAGTACAGTCTGTCATGGCTTCCCTTGGCTAGAAAAGGGAAATACCTCAACCCCTTGTGCTTCCCAGGTGAGGCGATGCCCTGCCCTGCTTTGGCTCGCCCTCCACGGGCTGCACCCACTGTCTGACCAGTCCCAGTGGGATGAACCGGGTACCTCAGTTGGAAATGCAGAAATCACCAGTCTTCTGCATCGATTATGCTGGGAGCTGCAGACCAGAGCTGTTGCTATTCGGCCATCATCAAATTTCCTTCTTAACACTTCTTTAGCTGCATCCCAGGGATTCTGGGACATTTCCTCTTTGTTCTCATTAGTTTCAAAGAACTTCTTGATTTCTGCCTTAATTTCATTATTTACCCAGGAGTCATTAAGGATCAGGTTGTTCAATTTCCATGTAGTTTTGTGGTTTTTAGTGAGCTTCTTAATCTTGAGTTCTAATTTAATTGCACTGTGGTCTGAGAGACTGTTTGTTATGGTTTCAGTTCTTTTGCATTTGCTGAGGGGTGTTTTACTTCCAATTATGTGATCAATTTTAGAGTAAGTGTCATGTGGCACCACGAAGAATGTATATGCTGTTGTTTTTAATTGAAGTGTTCTGTAGGTATCTATCAGGTCCACTTGATTCAGACCTGAGTTCAAATTCTGAATATCTTTATTTTCTCTCAATGATCTCTCTAATATTGACAGTGGGGTGTTAAAGTGTCCCACTATTATTGTGTAGGAGTCTAAGTCTCTTTGTAGGTATCTAAGAACTTGTTTTATGAATCTGGGTGCTCCTGTATTAGATGCATATGTATTTAACATAGTTAGCTCTTCTTGTTGAATTGAGCCCTTTTCCATTATGTAATGCCCTTCTTTGTCTTTTTTGATCTTTGTTGGTTTAAAGTCTGTTTTGTCAGAAACTAGGATTGCAACCCCTGGCTTTTTTTCTGTTTTGCATTTGCTTGGTAATTTTTCCTCCATCCCTTTATTTTGAGCCTATGTTTGTCTTCGCATGTGAGATGGGTCTCTTAAATACAGCACACCTGTGGGTCTTGACTCTATCCAGCTTGCCGGTCTGTGTCTTTTATTTGGGGAATTTAGCCCATTTATATTGAAGGTTAATATTGCTATGTGTGAATTTGATCCTGTCATTATTATGCTGGCTGGTTATTTCACAGACTTGTTAAAGTAGTTGTTTTATAGTGTCATTGGTCTGTGTACTTCAGTTTTTTTTTTTTGTAGTAGCTTGTAATGTTTTTCCTTTGCATATTCAGTGCTTCCCTCAGGAACTCTTTCCAGGCAGTCCCGGCGGTGACAGAATCTCTCAGAATTTGCTTGTCTGGAAAGGATTTTATTTCTCCTTTGATTATGAAGTTTAGTTTGGCCAGATATGAAATTCTGAGTTGGAAATTCTTTTCTTTAAGAATGTTGAATATTGGTCCCCCAATCTCTTCTGGCTTATAGGGTTTCCATTGAGAGGTCCACTGTTAATCAGATAGACTTTGCTGTGTAGGTGACCTGACCTTTCTCTCTGGCTGCCATTAACATGTTTTCCTTCATTTCAACTTTGGAAAATCTGATGATTATGTGCCTTGGGGTTGATCTTCTCATGGAGTATCTTACTGGGGTTATCTGGATTTCCTTAATTTGAATGTTGGGCTGTCTTGCTAAGTTGGGGAAGTTCTCCTGGATGCCATACTGAAGTTTGTTTTTTAACTTGTTTCTGTTCTCCTCATCTCTTTCAGGTACCCCAGTCAGTTGTAGGTTCAGTCTTTTTTACATAATTCCGTAGTTCTTGGAGGTCTTGTTCATTCCTTTTCATTCTTTTTCCCCTAGTCTTTTCTGCCTGTCTTATTTCAGCAAGATAATCCTGAAGCTCTGAGATTCTCTTGGTCTATTCAGCTACTGATATTTGTAGTTGCACCGTGAAGTTCTCCTGTTGTGTGTTTCAGCTCCATCAGGCCATTTATGTTCCTCCCTAAACTGGTTATTCTTTTTAACAGCTCCTCTAATGTTTTGTCATGATTCTTAGCTTCTCTGCATTGGGTTAGAACATACTTCTTCAGCTCAGTGAAGTTCATTATTGCCCACCTTCTGAAGCCCACTTCTGTCAGTTCATCCATTTCAACCTCAGCCTAGTTCTGTGCCCTTGCTGGACAGGTGTTACAGTCATTTGGAGGAGAAGAGGCACTGGCTTTTTAAATTTTCAGCGTTTCTGTGCTGATTTTTTCTCATTTGCGTGGGTTTATCTCCCTTTAATCTTTGAGGCTGTTGACCTTTGGCTGGGGTTTTTATGGGGTCGTTTTTTGTTGATGTTATTGTTTTTTCTTTTTTTCTATTTTTTTTTCTTTTTTTACATTCAGGCCCCTCTTTTGCATGGATGCTACAGTTTGCTGAGGGTCTATTTCAGACCCTGTTTGCTTGGGTCTCTCCTGCACCTGGTGGTATCACCAGTGGAGGGTGCAAAACAGCAAAGATGGTTGCCTGCACTTTCCTCTGGGATCTCGGTTCCAGAGGGCTACCAACCTGATGCCCGCCAGAACTCTTCTATATGAGATGTCTGACAACCCCTGTTGGGAGGTCTCACCCAGTCAGGAGGCACAGGATCAGGGACCTGCTTAAAGAAGCAGTCTGGCTGCCCCTTGGCAGAGTGTATGCACTGTGCTGGAGGGAGTTCCATTTGCTGCCCTGACTCCTCAGAGCCAGCAGGCAGGAAAGACTAAGTCCACTGAACCAGAGACTGCAACCGCCCCTCCCTCCAGGGGCTCTATCCCAGGGAGATCAGAGTTCTGTCCATAAACCCCTGGCTGGAGTTGCTGCAACTCCCACAGGGAGGTCTTGCCCAGTGAGGAGGGATGAATCTGGGTTCCACCTAAAGAAGCAGACTGGCCACAATCCGCCACAGCCGCTGTGCTGTGCTGTGAGGAATTCCTTCCAGTTCAAACCACTCAGCCTCCCTGGTACTAGCAGGGTAAGATGGCTGCCTGGAGCTGCAGTGATGGCTGCTACCCCTCACCCCTCTGGAATCAGTGGTCTTAGGCAGTCTCTAGCCTGCTGCCACTGCCCAAAACCCGAGCGGCTGCCAAGAGTCTGCACAGTTCTGTGCTTGGGACCCAAGGCCCTGGTGGTGTGAGTTCACCAGGGGAC
This sequence comes from Homo sapiens, assembly GCF_000001405.40. Lineage (NCBI taxonomy): Eukaryota > Metazoa > Chordata > Mammalia > Primates > Hominidae > Homo > Homo sapiens. The sequence continues at coordinate 101,636,077 of NC_000011.10, read as the reverse complement.
CGCCTGATCCACTGGTTGCACAGATCTGTGGGAAAAGTATGGTTTCCCTGGTTGGGTAGCACAATCACTCACTGTCTACCTTGGTTGCAGGTGGGAGTTTCCCTTACCCTGTATAGCTCCTGGCTGGGCTGTCACTACATCCTGTTTTCCCTTGCTTTCCGAGGGTTGCACCAACCACTTACTTAGTCCCAGTGAGAGAACCTGGATACCTCAGCTGAAGGTGCAGGATTCACTTGCCATTTTCATTCTTCTTGGTGGGAGCTGTAGATGGGAGCTAATTGGTCGTCTCAGCCTCTCCCACATCTATGACTTTTGATTTTAGAAAATCACTCTGTAATAATTTTCCTTTTTTTTTTGGTTATGTTGGTAATATTTATTCCTTTAGTGTTTGGGGAAATTAACTTTCAAAGCCATTAGGTCCAGAATTTTCCTTATACTGTGGTTTTTCAGAGACTTCAACATCTTTAATAACTATAGAACTACCCAAATTTTTCAATTTCCTCCTAAGGTTTTTCAAAAGCCTTGTCTCCTTGATCTGACTTCTTATTTTCATATTCTAAAAAATTCTTGTATTTTCTTTTAAAAAGCTGTAGAATCTATGAGAATGACTCGTTTTTTGCACTGTTTATGTTGGTTAAATTGTGTTTTCTCTTTTTTTCCTAGGGGTGTATGAATTTTACTAGTCTTTTTAAAGGACTTCATTAGTGTTCATTTATTTTCTATTTCATTAAGTTCCTATTTTACCATTTTTTCTTGCTAGTATTTTTTAGTTTATTTTACAGTTTTCTTTCTGTCTTCATGAGAAAAATAATTAGATCATGGATGCTTAGCCTTTTTGTCTAGTATATGGAATTTAAGGCTATAAAATTTCCTCTAAGCACAGCTTTAGCTGAATTTAATTTTTTCTATTGTCTATTTTTTTCTCGGTTATCAGTCCAATGTTATCTTTTCAATGCTTGATTTTTTTTTCTTTTATTGAATGACAGCCTTTATGTGAAAAAAATAAAACAGAGAACCTTTGAGGTTCTGGTAATAGTATACACACCCAGAAAGAATTTACTTCTTTAAGCATGCTTTTAGACATTATTGGCAGATCACTTTAATTCAATTGGGAATTAAGCTGATTTGAGTCTGGAATTTAGTGTTAGTGCAGATTATTTCCAGTGCATTCCTATTCCTGGGGTAGATAGTCCTTTATGTGTTCTTACTGAAAGCCAAAGATGTTCACCAACAGGTCTTCACCTTAACAAGCCCTGAACATCAATGTTTATTTCCCCAGTACAGTGAGATTATTGAAAGCTCTGAAAGGTCTGTTAGTCTCTAGATTGCCATTTGTGGACTGACAAAATGCCTAGAGGAGAGAATCAACACAGAATGTTTGGTTCATCTTTCCTTGCTGTGTTGCTCTTTTGAATCTTGTTCACTCAGTGTTGGTTACTTTGTTAGTTTTCTTTTGCCCTCAAAGATATATTTTAAAATATTTTATCCACATTTATTAGTTGTGACTATTTTCCTTGAACAGTATTTAATGGCATGAAAACACACAAAACAAAAGATAAAAATCAGATTACAAGTATTAGTCTTTTGAAATCATGTATATTTATGTATATGTGAGCACATGCATAGAACTCATTCTGGCTGATGGATACCAAGATATTAGTAGTAACTGTCTCAGACTGATGGAAGTATAAGTCATTTTTAGTCTCTCTCTCTCTCTCTCTCACACACACACACACACACACACACACACGCAAACACTCTTACATACACTCATCCCATAGATTCCTGTGGTGCTTCTCGGTTCCAAAGAGTACAGGTCCAGAGTTCAGGTTCTCAGATTTCATACAGTCAGATCATATGTATGTGTGTGAAACATGTGGAGGAGAGTTAAATGGTTAAATGGTACCTCTTAGTCTCCATCTGACACCAGAAAAGTCACTAGCAACTTTACCACTAGGCCAGACCTTGGATTCCTCAAAGTCTGTGGTTTCCCTCAGGTTCTGGCAAGCCAGAAATATGTATATAAGTGATTCTTATTAGATAATAGTGAATTTGGTATGGTTAGTTTGGGGCAAGGGGGAGTTGGTGAGCAGAGATACATGAAGTTATCTATGTTCCTATGTACATTTTTATTGATACATAATATTTATTTGTATTTATGGGGTACATGTGATATTTTGATATATGCATATAATGTGTAATGATCAAATCAGGGTAACTGGGATATTCATCACCTAAAATATTTATCATTACTTTGTGTTGAGAACATTCCCAATCTTCTAGCTATTTAAAATACACACAAATTTATAGATAACTATAGTCACTCTTATAGGGACCTATAGTCATTCTTTTTCCTTTTTTTTTTTTTGTCTGAGTAGGTTATTTTAAAAGACCTGTTTTCAAGTTCAGAACTTCTTTCTTCTGCTTAATCTAGTCTATTGTTAATGCTCTTGATTGTATTTTCGATTTTACTACTTGAATTCTTCAGTTCCAGAATTTTGTTCAGTTCTTTTTTATGATACCTGTTTGTTGATTTTTAAATTCTGGTCGTGAATTATTTTCCTTATTTCTTTGTAATGTTTATCTGTGTTGTTTTGTATTGCACTGAGTTTCCTTAAAAGCAATACTTTGAATTCCTATTCAGTTATTTAATAAATTTCCTTTTCTTTGGGGTCAGTTACTGGAGAATTATTATGTTCCTTTGGAGGTGTCATGTTTCCTTGCTCTTTCATGTTTCTGTGTCCTTATATTAATATCTGGTGTAACTGTCACTTCTTTTACTTTTATTGAGTAGCATTCACAGGGAAAGACTTTTTCCTGTAGATGTATCTATAAGGTCAATTGGGTAAGGTTCTTGGGCTTTGATTTTGAGTGGGCAACAAAATGTGGTCTCCATATGATTACTTTGGCTATAATAAGTATCAGTGGTGTCCTTAGTGGCTTAGGCTGTGGTAGGTTGTGGAGGCTTTTCTGAGGATGCGGGTGCTGGGCAGACTGGTCTTCAGGCACCTAGCTAGGTGGTTTGTGCAGTCACCAGATGTGGTAGAAATATGCCCTTGGCAGGCCATTCCTTGCGCCTCAGGTGAGTCATGCAGTAACTGGTGGTGGTAGTGTTGGGCCCTGAGTGGGGCATTTGGGCACTGGCAGTAGCAAAAATGGGTCAGTCATCAGGCACCTAGGTGGGCCCTTTGTGTGTCAGTGGCGTTGATGATGGGTCAGCTGGCCTAGTCCCCAAGTCCCTAGGCAGGGTGTGCAGACACTGGAAATGTCCATGTCAGGCCAGTCCCCAGACTCCTAGTGGGCTGTGTCATTCCGCAAGGGCCGTGGCTTTGAAGTCAAGTGGGGTCACTGTTGGTAGCCACAGCCTTAGATAGGTGGATCTCAGGCTTTGGGGAGTGCCTGCTTTAGTTCCCTATGTCCCAGGGCAGCCTCCCTGATGTACTGGACTATATATTCCCTGGGGTACAGGCACTTTGCTGGCTCAGGTGCTGGCGATGTGATCATACCTCTGGGTCCAACTGGTACCACAATGCTGTAACCCTTTGGGTAGATGTGGGGGGATGTTGGTGGGGCTCCAGGGATGTGGAAATGCAGGGGCTACTGGACCCCTAGGCAGGTTGTAGCTTGGTGTCAGCTCCATACTCAAAATGGTACCAGGGGTAGAACCCAATATAAAGTTCCTTCTCTGGAATAATACCATCATGTGGACTCCAGGCAGCCCCTTATACTAGGCTCAAGGACTATGAGGGCTGAGGGGCTTTCCTGCAGTTAGAACTGTCAGAGTCTGCAGTGGAAATGTAGACTGCTGAGGACCTCTTACCTTTTCCCCTCAATGGGGAGTCCCTCCGGGCTCTGAGCCAATCTGGCCAGCTGCCTTGCTTCCCTCTCTATGCTGCCATCTCAAGCTTCTGTTCCTCATAGGGTACCTCTCACTTCCTGCTGGATTCTAGCATTCCCCTCTAGAACATCTACTTGATGTGCAGTTATCTCCTTGCTACTTTGGTCTTTGTTATGGAGGAGGATAGTGCTGGGTGCATCAACCATAGTGATGATGTCTCCTCCTTAGGTGCATTTTGATATATTCTCCTGGAGGGATTTATCCCAAGGTGACTATTGATCATGGTAGTGTGTGGTATCCCATAGGGATGGTTTGGTATAAATAACAGCTAAGAGTAGTTCATCGCTGTTAAAGTGGAGTTGTTCTTATTTTTAAGGTAAGTCTAATACAAGATAATCCTCCATAGACAAAAGCAGAAATCCCTACCAGCCTGCCTTTTTCTACAGAGAATAGCCAAAGTGATCTTTTCAATTCACAGATCACTTCAGATCACTTTTCTAAGTAGGACCCCTGGAAGTTTTTCAGAACACTTAGAGTAAAAGCAAAACTGCTTACCATAACTTGCAAGGCCTCACATGGTTTGGCTTCTGCTTGCCATCCAATCTCATCTAACACAATCTTCACGTTTTGCTACACCAGCCACCAAGGTCTTCTTCCTGTTCACAAACTCACCAAACTCCTACCTGCCTTGGGATTTTTGGTTCCTTTTGCCTGAACACTTCTACCTCAGAGGGTTATATGGATGATAACTTTTTAATTAACCAGGACTCCACTCAAATGTCATCTCTTCAAAGAGGCCCTTCCCCGAACCCTTAGGGCTGCTGTGTAGCACAGTTGAGGGGACATTATCCGTATTAGGGACTATGGAAACGGCACTGGAATTCGGCAGTGCACAGCCTGGTGTGGCTCTATGCTTTCTTCCTGGACCACTCTATTCAAAATTCCTCCTCCATTACTCTCAAGCACAGAACCTTATCATTATCTAAAATTATGTTATTCATTTACTTTACAGAAGGTATGCCTGCATGCTGCCACTTGCATCCCAAGAAGGCAGCAACTTTGTCTCTGCTATTCACTTCTATATTCACAGAGTTTAGAGAAGAACCTGGGACAGGTGCTTCCTATATATTTGTGGCACTTCCAATATATTTCCTATATAGTATGGATTGTAGGGGTATCTCAACACAGATCATAGGTCGTGTCTCCCCGGTTTCATTTGCTCTGCTTCTTTAGGGGTCCAGTGGACCATATTTGCTTCTTGTTCCAGATATTAAGTATTTAATAAATATTTATTGAATAAAATTACAATAAAGATACAATAATTAAGATGGCATGATGGTCATACAAGAATAAATAAATAAATAAATGGAACAGAATAGAGACACGAGAAATAGAACACACAAATGTAGACAATTGATTTTTGAAGAGCTCTCCATGTAATTAAAAGCAAACTAAATGTTTTATCAATTAGTAGTCCTGAAGAAACTGAACATTCATATAGAAATAAGTGATTCTTTACCCCTAATTTGTACCATACATAGCAATTAACATGAGATGAATCATAGACTTAAATGTGAAAGCTAGAACTGTGAAGCTTCTAGCAGAAAACATAAGAGAATAGCTTTAAGACCTGGGGATACAAAGATGTTTTAAATAGGAAGCCAAAAACACTTGCTATAAGATAAAAATAATAAATCAAACATTATCAAAATTAAAATTTTCTGCTCATCAAAATACCATTAAGAATGTGAAAATGCAAGCCACAGGCTGGAAGAAAATGTTTATAATACATATATCTGTCAAGGGTGTCATATCCAGAACATATAAAGAAAAATAAAAACAATCCTATTTTATAAACATAAATAAAAGTACTTTAAAAGTACTTCATAAAATAAAATATCCAAACAACTGATAAACATATAAAAAGATATTCAACATTATTAGCCATCCAGGATATACAAATTAAAAACACAATAATATACCAGCCTACATCCACCCTAAATGACTGATATTTAAATGACTGAAAACACAAGTGTGTTTTCTAGAATTTTGAGCAAACAGAAACTTTTTTTCAATAAAAGCCCATAAACTGAAAACAACACTAAATGTTCATCATCAGGATAATGGATAGTGATGTGAGTGCATTACAAACTGATACAAGCAACAATATGAAAGAATCTCAAAGCATGGGGAGTGACAGAAGCCAGAAGAGTAATAGTATGTGATTCCTTTTATTTATTTATTTATTTATTTATTTATTTATTTGTTTATTTTTAGACAGAATCTCACTCTGTGGCCCAGGCTGAAGTGCAGTGGCACGATCTTGGCTCACTGCAACCTCTGCCTCCTGGGTTCAAGCGATCTTCTGCCTCAGTCTCCCGAGTAGCTGGGACTACAGGCATGCACCATCATGCCAACTAATTTTTTGTATTTTTAGTAGAGACAGGTTTTCACCATTTTGGCCAAGCTGGTCTTGAACTCCTGACCTCGTGATCCACCCGCCTCAGCCTCCCAAAGTGCTGGGTTGCTGGTGTGAGCCACTGCACCTGGCCTATGTGATTCCTTTTATATGAAGGTCAACAGCAGAAAAAACTGATCAGTTAAGAAATATGGAAATAAGTGATTCTTTACCCCTTATTTATTGACTGAGAAGGTGCACAAGTAAGTAACGGAAATATTTTTTATTTTTATTTTTAATGGGGTGGTAGTTACATGGATGTTGTGATGGTTAGTACTGGGTGTCAACTTGATTGGATTGAAGGATACAAAGTATTGATCTTGGATGTCTGTGAGGGTGTTGCCTAAAGAGATTAACATTTGAGTCAGGGGAGTGGGAGAGGCAGACCCACCCTTAATCTTTGTGGGCACCATCTAATCAGCTGCCAGCCTGGACAGAATATAAAGCAGGCAGAAGATCGTGGAGAGACTAGACCGGCTTAGCCTCCCAGCCTACATCTTTCTCCCTTGCTGAATGCTTCCTGCCCTCGAACATTGGACTCCAAGTTCTTCAGCTTTGGGACTTGGACTGGCTTTCTTGATCCTCAGCTTGCAGATGGCCTATTGTGGGACTTTGTGATTGTGTGAGTTAATACTTCTTAATAAGCCCCCCTTTGTATATAAATATATATAGCAGCCTCTCTCTAAAGTCATAATTATATATACATATATATATATATATATATATATATATATATGTATATACGTAGACCTCTCTCTAAGGTTGTCATTATATGTATTTTATATAATATAAATATATTTTATATATATATATTTTATATATGTAATGATGACCTTAGGTATATAAAATATTATATATTATATATAATTTATATATAAAATATTATATATTTATATATATTTTATATATAATATATATAAAATATATATAATGACATCATATATATAAAGGGGAGTTTATTAAGGAGTATTAACTCACACAATCACAAAGTATATATATTATATATATATAATATATATATACTATATATATATAATATATATATCCTATTAGTTGTGTCCCTCTAGAGAATGCTGACTAATACAAATTTATATGTATTGGCTATACAATTAAGATTTGTGCATTTTCCTACATTTAAATTATAGTTCATTAACAATTATACTAAGCAAAAATAGAAAATATATGTTGAATGAAAAAACAGGGAAATTATTTACTATACAAAAATAAATGTTCAAAGAAGGTTGTAATACATTTTTCCTTCAGAACTACATTTATCTCTCTTTATTTGACTTATTAATATTGCCTATTATTTTAAAATATTATATATGCTAAAGAACTAATATAAATTGCTATTCAGAATTTCCAGCCAGAAGTTTAACTTAAGAAAGAAGAAAGCCATGATTTTAATTTTACAAATAACAGAAATTTCCCTAATGTCAGACTATTGCAAAACAGATGATATTATACTCTGGACAGCAGTTATGAGCCTATAATTAACAACAAGATGACTTTCCCTGCTGGTTTCATGAGACAGCTTAACATCCTAAATAAGTTATACAATGCTTATCTCAGATAGCAGCAAAAATGGAACATATTTATTAGCCATGCTTTGTATGTTTTACGTTCTTCATGGTTTTCAAATTCTGTGATTTTTCTTCTCCCTGTATCTCTCATATTCACCCCATTCTTCCAATTCCCAGAAACACACCATAATTCAAGCTCTTGAGCATTTCTCATAGGGAGTGAAGATCGTACAGTAAAGGTGACATTTTTGCTGTATTATTATTTGATTCTAGTTTTAACAATGACATCTACAGATTGACAGGCCTTTCAACTGACTGAATTAAGCTTATGTTATGACCTATGTTATTAAATATTATCCCCATTTTATTCCCCATCTTTTTCACATGCGTCCTCCTTTATGTGCTCATGGTGTTATTTGCCCAACTTTTTTCTCTATCACTTTTTTCACGATCCACTCAGCCATACTCTATCATTCAAGGCAATGACTTCCTGTTGTATTTTCCACTGGTGCCTTTCACTGGCATTGTTGATCTGTCTTGCTTATGTCCTTCGTATGTTCACATCTTCACAGATAATATATACAGAGTCACTGAATGTTCTGGAAATTTCTGTTTCCTTCTCCAAGTTCACACTCCACCTTTTCCAGTGGGCTGTGTGCCTTAGGAGGCTGACCTCTTTAACTTCATCACTCACATTCCCTCACTCTCTAGTTTGTGGGTGGATTTTGCAGGTGACTCTTATTGGCTGGATATTGGTGAGTGGGAGTACAGAAAGATGGAGATGTTTGCTTTTGAGATTCTGCAGTGGTTGCACCCTCTCTCTAAGGTTGTCGTTATTAATGGGTAACTCCTGTCCCACAACTGTAATTTTTGCTGAGTTCTGTTATTAACTACCTTCTCTTACCCCATTAGACCAAAGGAGTACAAAAGTTTCTAGCCATTTCTTGTCCTAGAATTCTTAATCCTTCCTGTGTGTTCCTACAACTTGCCTACAGCTTTTCAAAATGATCTCTTCCCAAAATTCTCTTTGCTTTCTTCTTTTAGTATGACATCTCTCAAGACCTTGATGGATACCCCTGTTTGACATAAATAAATGAGGCTTGAATATGTGACCATCTCTGAGGACACATATGCTAACTTTTCCAGCTAGCCATCAAGATTAAACTCATGAGATTTTCATGCTTAAATTCGTGAACTTATCTCAGGAGTTGCACAGATTAGGTGTGGGGCATAATCTTGCTATTACCTAGAAATTCCTGGGATTACCATTAGTATGGAAACTTGCTAGGCCTCCTCCTGGAAGGAACAGTGCATGCAATGAACTATGTCAGTTAAGGACCTCTGGACACAAATATTATAAAATTAGTCAAAAATAGCTGGCACTTATCAAATGCTTAATGTACATTGGAATAATTGCTTTACATTCATTATGTCATTTAATTATAACTTTTTCTACCACTACTACTCCAATAAAACATAATAAAACTCATCCCAGGCTCTGGGGATTTTACTACATTTGAGTATATAACTCTCCACTGTAATGTTTTGCCCCATTAGTTGACAGCTGTCAAGATGATGAGAGGTTGAAAGGGCGTATACCAAGATATCTCTAAATCTCCTTCATTGAAAACATTTTATTTCTCTAATTAAATCTGTCACCTGAAACAGCACACATAGACGAATTTTCCTCATGGTGAAGTGACTCAGGAGGAAGATTCCTTTGATTAGCATTTACTGCATATCTGCTATGTGTAAGACACTGTCTGTCAACCTAGGAAGATGAACTAAGTACAGCCTATGCCCACAAAATGCTCATAAACATGAACACATAAACAAAGTGAGCATACAAATACAAAGTGTGACCTAGGTTGCCAAGTTGTAGCACATGAAGGACCCTTTGAAAACTCTAATCCGTCCTCCTCATCTTATACATGAAACCCAACTATAAACCCAACTAGTGTAAGAACTTCCCAGGTCTGAATTCATGGAGTCACTCATTAGTTTAATAATTAAAATTTAAATTGTTAGAGGGCCCTATTCCATGTATTGGAGGAGTAGAATGCCTTGTACAGTGTCAGCAATTTGGCAAAGATTTAAATTTTAATAGTTCTATCCCACTCCAGTTTCATATTTCTAGGAACCCTTGGTCTTATTCAGGACTTTCCCCACCATGGCCATTCTGTCGTCTTGTCTCTGAGATCTTTAAGACATTTATCATAGTCTCTTGTCTGTGTGTGATGTCTCTGAAGCATCACCCACAGAAGGCAGTCTGTAGTTTGGAGGGAAAGGGAGAGATACATTGTAGCATGCCAAAACCTGTACAATTTAATATTAAATATCCTGGTTCATAAATAGCATCTGGACATCCCCTACCTGAGGAATTACATGGAAGAAATAGCATGAGTTGGGCTCTGAAGAACAACAGAATTTTTTAAAGTTAGAAGTTGGGGGTAGGGACATTTAGAGAAGAAACGTTCGAAGTAAAGGTTCAAGTCAAGGATGGGGCATGAACAAAAATCTTTCACAAAAATGACTTCCCTACTTGTCCACCACTACTCTGACATACACACCATTCATCTGGCAACAATAGTACCCTGAACTGTCTTAGGGAATAGTGGTTTTGCTAAATGGAAGATGCGTAAGTGAGTACTGTGGATAAAACCTAGAGAGGTGGCTTGGGTGAAATAATGGAGAGTTAGCTAAATGTGGTGTGTACGATGGAAGCGTGTGAAGGTTATTGAGCAATGGAGTTTCATTACCAAACCTGGGTTGTTGGAAGATTAATATGGGAATAATGTATGTGCTAAATTACAATAGGGAGAGGTGAAAAGAGGAAGGCTAGCTGTCATGAACAGAGGGATGTGCTCCCCAAGTGGGGCAGTGCTCCTGGGAGTGTTGATCATAGACAGCCTTCTGTTGTCAGACTTGCTGTGGATTGCCTCACCTACAGAGAGTTCTCTCAGCCAATGGCAGACCCCTTGGATTAGTGGCTCACCTCCGGTCACTGATGTATGTTTAAGTATAAAGGCCTGGACATACTGGCCCAAATCGGGCAACCCTGTAGTGTCCATCTAGCTTCTGAGCTTCTCCTGGGAGGGGGGTGGTGGGGTTGGGCTGACCTTAGACCTGACTTTTATCTCTATGTACTCCAGGTTCCTTCCTCTCCCTTCCACAGGTGTTGATTCCAAGGGTACACTTTAATCAGTATTTGGCACCTTAAACTACATCTCAGTCTCTTTTCCAGAGAAGTCAATCTGAGATATTGGTTAGAACATGATTATCCTAGTCTAGGTGAGGGGCAATAAAGACCTGAATTAGAACTGTCTCATCTGGAATAGAAAGTTCAGATATAAAGGAATCAGTTTCTCCATGGTATAGCTTTGCTGCCATGTAGATGTTATTGGGGATTCTGTAACTAGGATTCACTAGGACTAAGTCTGTGTGACTACAGAAATGATTCAGCCTAGTCCATTCAAAGCATATGTGAAAACACGAATGAGAGAATAAATCCATGAATGGATTAGTAAGTGCAACAGATGTGTTAAGTTCATTTATCATCTCATGAATAGAGTGGGTCCAGAAATAATTATTCTACTGTTTGTAGGGCAACAGTAACAAGCCATAGAGAAGCTGACTGGCTGTCTGCGTTGTTGCATCTGACTCGGCTGTACTTGTATATACAAAGACTGTGATCAGAAAAGCAGCACAGAGCATTTTCAATGAGATATTTGTTGTACTACAATTGCAAGTTCCACACATGCTAATCAGGAATTTGAGTTATCCTAAACAGGTATATGTTACTACAGTCCACTGCCAGCTGGGAAACATGAAATGACCTTTTGTTTTGCATTTAAGGTATCAGATTTATAAAAGGATACACTGAAATTTCACCAAGTATTTGTTAACTATGAATCAGCCGGGAAATTGTTTTTCAACACTTTGATTTTATGAGCTAGTAAAAAATAAAACAAGATGGTAAGACCAATTTTACAGTAAATGAGCTTGTTCTGTTATAATTCATCTCTTTCTACTAAACATAGCAAAAATAAGACCTGGATAATTTTAAATATTATCTTTTAGGTACTTGCTCATTGGGTTTTTATCCCATTAAGAAAAGACAGTTCAGGGGATGGCCTAATTTCTACACTAATACAGTCAGCTTCCTACCCTAAGTATGTCCATAGCTCAGACACACTAATCCTTAGACACTAAAATATACCTACTCTCCAAAGAACATGTATTGTTGTGTAATATATTATTCTTATCAAATATATTTTTATTCCACAAATACTTATTGAGGACTAACAGTGTACTAAATAACACACTAAGCAGGGGGATCTAATGTTATAAAAGAATAAAAGCACTGAAGGAGAAAGGGAGAAGGGGAGGGAGGAATGGAACTCTTGACAGTGTCACTATTACTGAAGATTAAAATAACATAAAACCCAAAAAACATTCATTAGATTTAACATCTTGTACATTATAAGCAACTTTTGAAAAGCAGTTTCTGCAGGGCAGAGGACAAAATGTGGTGGGTTCGTATTTTCACATCAAGAGAAGGAAGTGGACACAGCAGATTCTTTGAGTTTTTTGTTTGTTTGCTTGTCTGTTTGTTTAAGTTCTGTCACCCAGGCTGGAGTGCAGTGGCACAGTCATAGCTCACTGCAGCCTCAAACTCCTGAGCTCAAGTGATTCTCCTGCCTCAGCCTCCTGAGTAGCAAGAACTACAGGCATGTGCCACCACACCAGGGTACACAGCAGGCTCTGAGTAGATTTCCGGGAACTCAATGTGAAGCAAAGGAAAAATGCAGGGCAGTGACTTGGAAGAGGAATAAAAGCAGAGAAAGAAGCTTTTTTACAGATGTGAAATAATTGATCTTATATGCTGAGAGGAAGAAAACAACTACTAGAGAGGAAAATGCAGAAAATACAGGAGAATGAGGAGATAAATGAGGCAGCCTGGGATGGGACTGTGAAGATAGGGGTTGAGGATGGGTTTCAACAACAACCAGAGTAATAGCAATAATGATAATTAATAAGCATTGATCTCTATGTGCTATACCTGCCTAAGGATTATATATGTTATTTAACCTCCCCCATAACATTGTTAGATGTATATAATTATTATCCCATATTTTAATGGTAGCTTAGGAAAGTGAGACACAAAGAGGAGTAGTGTAGATGCCAGGCAAGTTTTTAGGTGGAGAAAGAAGTTGAGATGTTTGCTTTGGTGGGCCTCACTTTGGTCTGTAAGGCAGAAGGTGAGTAAATCTGCTGAGAATGAGGAGGAAGCTGATACAGCTTGTGAATTGTGAAGGCTGGAAATGGTTGTGAAGGAAACTGGAAATCATATGAGACTTCCTTAGTAGGTCTGAAGAAATTAGGTTCAAGATCATGGATTTTCATAATTCCAATCAACTTAATTGTACAATTTGCTCTAGGAGCAGAGGAGGAGCTCCCAGGAGCAGAGGAGGTAGACACAGTGTTGACACCAGGATCACAGTCTTTCTCTGTAGCTCCAAGAGCTTCTAGCATCTTGAGGACATCAGTGTCCACATGATGGCCATAAAGTATCCCATTGTTAAAGTTCCTTGACCCTCTCCATTCCAATGACCTTCCTTCTCACTCCATTTCATCCGCTCATTTCAAGGACATTTCATGGACTTGTTATAAACCTTATTTGTGCAATATACGTTCGGAGACCTCATTAAAACTAGCAGTACTTAAGTCCTCCATCTTTTCCCAAGCTATGAGATTCTTCCTATCCGGCCCAGATCCATACTTTCATCATTTTAATTATTTATTTGTAACTTTCTTTTCTTTTCTTTTCTTTCTCTTTCTTTCTCTTTCTTTCTTTTCTTTCTTTCTCTTTCTTTCTTTCCTTTCTTTCTTTTTCTCTTTCTTTCTTTCTTTCTTTCTTTCTTTTATTCTTTCTCACTCTTCTATCTATCTATCTATCTATCATCTATCATCTATCAGTCTATCTGTTTAGAGACAGAGCCTTGCTTTGTCACCCAGGCTGGAGCACAGTTGGACAATTATAGTTCACTGTAGTCTCGAAACCTCCTGCTTTGGCTTCCTGAGTAGCTAGGACTGACTACAGGCATGGCATGTGCCACCATGCCCAGATAATTTTTTTTGGAGGGATGGGGACTTGCTATGTTGCCCAGGCTGATTTTGAACTCCTGGCCTCAAGCAATCCTCCCACTTTAGCCTCCCAAAGTGCTGGGATTACAGGTGTGAGCCACTGCACTCGGCCTTAATCATTTATTGATACTGTCCAAACTACTGCCTCCCTATTTGTATGTCCTTGCACATGCTCCTCTCTTTGTCTAGTACATAGTTTTCTGCTTTCTTTGTCCGGAAAAAGCTGTCCTATATGTCATATGTAGCATATGTCTTATTCGTTCTCTAGGAAACCTTCCTTGGCTCCTCTCATCCCTAAGGATTTTTTAGTTATGTATCTCCCATAGGCTTCCTCCTGGAGCACTCTGCATGACTCCTCCAGTTTATTTTCTGGTCTCCCATACAGTTAAATCACGAGGCTCTTGAAGCCAGAGATTCTGTTTTTGTTTAATGTCTATGTGCATATAATTTACCATAGTGACTTAAATAGAGCAATTGCTTAATAAACCCTTGAAAGATATAATCAATTTCTTTTTAATATTAATTCAATACTACATAAATGTTCTTCCACTCATCATTTCCCAAGAACATGAAAATAAAATTCTGAATACAGACACACATTCACTGTCTAAGAATTTAATGAGGTTAGACTGATATATACTAATTTTCAGTAATATACACAAGCATTCAGAAGTCTTGATGCTATGTTTATCCTTTTATTATTTCTTAGACACTGATGCATCACATGCTATTCCTAAGAAAGTATCTCAATATTAACATGAGTGATATTAGCACTGAGGGGCTGACAAAGTTACTATACTTTAAGGAAAATATTTTTTAAAAGGGAATACATTTTGTATTTCAAAGCTTTGTGCTATTTTTACAACCACAGAGAAATTAAATGAGATCTGATAGGGCCTAGCTTTATTACTTGTATTACGCTTCATTACTTGCATCTTGGAGTAGCTCAAATCTGTCCTCACTGGAGATAGAATATTATTTTTATTTTGATATGTAAAAATAGTGATAAACAGTTTATCTTTAAAAGTTTGAAGAGTTATATATGTTTTTAAAACACTGGAGAGTTATGTAGAATTTCTAAGACAAAAGTAACAGAATAGGAGGAATGATCTTGTGTAAAAGTGTTGAGAAGGTTATGATGCATCATCCAAATATGGAAGTTTATGATGAAGCCACCCAATATTCCTCTGCTTCCCTCCATGACAGCTCATAAGATGGAGCACCTCTTGTTATTTCAAGCCAAGGGCCTTGTCTAACACTCTCCTCCAACGCTTAGCTCATGGCTTGCCTCCTTCAGGAAGACTTACTGGACACTTTGGTTAATTTAAATTCCCCTTTTCTGTGATCTCGCGGGACCCAGACATTACTTTATCTATCCAAGCACCCAGAGCTCTGTATTTTGATTTTAGTGTATTTATTGGTTTCCCTCCTAGACCATAAGCTTCTTTAGGTCATGGATCATGTCTTATCTGATTGTTCATCCCCTCTCTTTCTTAACAGAGAGCTTGGCACAGAGTAACTGCTGAATAAATATTGATGGTTGAATGGATGGATACATGGATGCATGAGATGAATAAGTACAAAATACTAGATCTTTGCCTCTTTCCCTGCTTGTAATGCAGACAGGGTATATGTTGGAGCTAGAGAGTGGAATATGGGAGATTTGTGGTTAAGAGTGTCTCTCTTTTCTCTTACCACCAGTTGTTTTTCATGAGATTTATACTTCCCATATATAGTAAACTTCCTAAAGCAATTAGCTCTACTGTTCAATTCCATCCTGCAAAGATCACATATCCATCAGTCTATGCACAGAGCTCACAGAGAGATAACCGTTTTGACACAAAAAAATCCAATTCTAATGTCACTGAGCTGCCTGCAGATGTCACTCAGAGATAAAGCCCGTGTCTCTGTACCTGTCTTTCTTCATTCTGGGCCACTGTCTCTTTAGGTAAATAAAGAGGAAGAGATGAGGATTCTGTTGCCTGTTATGTGCCAGGCCTTATTCTAAGTGTTTTACTTTGTGTCATCTCATCTCGCCTTCACACAGTACTGCAATACAGGTACAATTTGTAGATAAGAAAACTGGGGGCTAGCTACATTCATTAGAAGCAATGGGACCCATTGAAAAGTGCACCAGCTTTAGATTTAAGCATTGACCTAACCATGTGCCAAGATATTACCTTAGACAAGCCATTTACCTTTCCTAACATTCAGTTTTTTAGTCTGTAAATGTCAATAATAAATGCTTTCTTTAGAGAGTGGTCATAAGAGTTAAAGCAACTAGCACAGTGTTAGGCACATAGTGTTAAACAGATCTACTTTATTATACAAATAGTCTAATATCATTCTAGTCAATAGTAAAATTAACTCCAGTTTCGGAAGCCCATGTCCCCAGCCTGCCACAACTTCATCTTGAGACAGGAATACTGGGTGGTCACAGAAGCGAGAAAATGTCAAGCAGCAATTTCATATGGCAGCAAGAAAGGAGCTGTTAAAATTAGCTACAGGCTGGGTGCGTTGGGCCTGTAATCCCAGCACTTTGAGAGACCAAGGTGGGCATTTCACGAGGTCAAGAGATCAAGACCATCCTGGCCAACATGGTGAAACCTTGTCTCTACTAAAAATACAAAAAAATTAGCTGGTCATGATGGTGTGCACCCATAATCCCAGCTACTTGGGAGGCTGAGGCTTGAGAATTGCTGGAGCCGGGAGGCAGAGGTTGCAGTAAGCCGAGATCACGCCACTGCACTCCAGCCTGGTGACACAGCAAGAGTCCATCTAAAAAAAAAAAAAAAAAAAAAATTAGCTTCAATGACAAGGATGAGCCTAGGCTGATAAGACCCTAACAGAAAGGATATGGGATAACCTGGTTGAAACTGGCTAAGTCCAACATGGTGGTGGATTTGACCCATGCCCTATCCAGACCTAATTATATGCTCATTACCATACTAAATTACACACCCACCAGCACCACAACAGATCCGAGCAAGCCCATAAAAATAGGTGCCACCCCAATTCTAAGAAATCACCACCTTTTTTTCCTAGAAAACCTCATGATTATTCCACCCCCTAATTGAGAGGAGCACATTAGAATAGAAAATTCCTTTGTGTGTGACTTGTTCTCATGAGCATGCCTGCACTTCTCTCTTACGTGTGTACTTTCTCTTCACAATACAAGCTTCTTGTCTTTCGCATCATTCTGACTCATTCCCAAATCCTTTCTTGTGATGGTGTCAAGAACCTGGATACTGGCTGGGGCTAGGGTTTCACTAGCATCTGGGGACCTTCCTGAGCCCTCCAACAATAAGCTGACCTCATCAACCACACCATGACCAATACTGAACACATTTCCCATTGGGGCCACTTGTTATAAGGGAAAGCAGAGAGAATTTAGAATCTGAGGACATGTGAGTGTCATCTCTGGCACTTAACCTGGTCTTGGGCAGGTGATTAAAGTTCTGTAAGTTTCTGTTTTCTCATCTGTAAGATGGTGATAATACAATGATACAATGAGATAATTTATGAAACACATTTGTAATAATATGTTAGTGTCCTCCAAAGATTACTATTACTAGTATCACTACTTCTATATTTAGTACTTATTCTTCTACAATCATGCTGAGTTTTCTACACATTATCTCATTTAAACCTCACAAAATGCTTGATGTACTGACATTTGTCATACAGTAATTACAGCTGGAGAAATTAAAGCTTAGGGAGTTTAAGTCACTTTCTCAAGGTAAAAAAGCCATTAAGTGGCTGAGTTGGGATTTCAACATATGTCTTCATACTCCATGACCTAAAAATGCTACTGTATGGCCTGTAACGTGGCACAGAAAGTCCCTATTCAAACTAGTTTACCATGTGATATGATGGCAGCAGTTAATTGTATCATGTAACTGAATGTTTAATACCTGTAAGAAGGCATTTGAAAATTTTCTCTATGATTCATTCTCAAATTACTTCCTTCTGAATTAGTAGGAGCTGTGGGTAGTTCTGCACATCTTGCCATTACTCATCCTGGAAGATCTATTGCTAAGACAGAAGGAGAGGAAATGTTACATACATTTCCAGAGTACTGAGGGCTCAGGCATTGATGAAGATGAGCCAGTCAGATGGGAGTGGGTCCCTGGCAAACTCCTACTGGCCTGCGCGCTGGGAGGAATGCTCACTGAGGTGGATCCTTGGGAAGTTTGCCCCGTCTGCAGCTGGGAGGAGCCTGGCCCCTCCTCTTACGGTGTGTGGAACCTGGAATTCAAACTGCTGGAGGGAAGCACTCTAACGGGACCCTGGCCTTGTGGAGAGTCTCTGTTTCCCCCTTTTCTTCCTTTTCACCCAATAAAACCCTGCTTTACTCACCCTTCAAACTGTCTATGAGCCTAAATTTTCATGGCCATGCGATGGACAAGGACCCTGTCTTCAGCTGAACTAAGGAAAAATCCTGCAACAAAGGCAGTGCCAGGTACTGAAGAGAGCTCCTGGTTTGATTCACACACTAGAAACCAGCTTTGCCATCTTGCAGCTTTAGCAGGAAAGCATTCTATACCTCATTTCCCTCATTCATAAAATGGGAACAATTATACTTCAATTACTTCGTTAACCTGAAAGCACAAAAGGTGATTCAAAAGCCAAAGATTTCCAAGAAGATAACTAGAAAGGCAGGGCAAGTCTGCAAGCCTTTGCCAGACAGATAGCGTTAAAAAAAATCACCCCTCAGTGTGAGACACTTTATGATCCAAATATCCAAGTTGAACTGGGATTTGTTTCATGAGAAGCAGTGGAGCCAATATGAAGGGGAAAACACAATCGCAAATATGTTGTAATCTGAAGAATGTGATTAAAGAGCAATATTTGTTACTCAAAAGCCCCCACAAAGTGTGGCGTACTTGTGAAATACCCATAAATGAGTACCCTCTGTCGGGATGAGACACTATAGGACAAGTTTTAGCTTCATCAGCATGTCAGTGCTTATGAGCCCAAGTAAGTTTCATTGCATGATGGAGCTGCTGCCTTGCAGAGTGCAGGGCAGGGAAAAAGCTTTCTGAGAAAGAGACTTCAGTCCCCTTGCTGTAAGTCAAGGTTCGCAAAGGAACATCTCAAATCACTCCTAGGTCTGCCTACAGGGAGAGGTGAGTGGACATTAAGGCTTTCAGATATTTCTGGGCTGTGAGGCAGGCACTTTTCATGGTTTCTCAACAGCTTCCCATGTTGCTTACCACAGGAGAAGAATGTGCTTGTTCTACGTCTTTTATTGCTGTGACAGTTGTTTTTTCCACGGCTAACACCAGTTCTTTTGTGCATTTTAGTAAGCATGAGCCTGGTTCCCAGGATCTGACCACCTTGAGGCATTGACCCAATTATGTCTCTGAGCCTTCACAGAAAAGGGCTACATCCAGTCGCATTTTCTCAGAAGGTGCTGCTTCCCCATGCATATAGGCACACTCTCACACTCAGAGCATGCCCATTTTAGATGAAAGAAATAAACGTAGTTAGAGACCTGCTTGCCTGCCATGGAAGGGAATCTTGGACACTAAGATCGGCATGTGATTTCCTATAAAATTACAAGAGAATGTGCTCTTCCAAAAAGAAATGTAGTCTTTTTTTTTTTTTTTTTTTTGCCTGAGGCAGGTCATGGAAAGTGACTGATACCAACATTTGCCATCATCCCTTTTTTGTGACCTTGCTCCCACTTCCTGATTCCTCAGATCTGTGTGAACCAGACTGAAGCTCAGTAGTGCAATAAAACTTTATGCCATAAAATTCAAAATTCATCTGAATATTTTAGTCCAAGTTAGTCATTTTCCAACTCTAGCAGTGTGTGAACATTGAACATGCTCAGTGCACATATGTTCATACCACATCCCAGGACAGGAGATGATCATGTGGCTGAATGAGTGAAGTCTTCCACTTATGCAGTGTTCTGTATCTTCAAATTCAGAAGAGTACAAAGTGCTCAATACATACATGGAGGCTCAGTTAGACACATTTTTCTCTTAAAAACCATTGCCTCATTTACCAACTTTCTTCTATCAGCCTCTTTGAATTCACTTGCATGA
This sequence comes from Homo sapiens, assembly GCF_000001405.40. NCBI lineage: Eukaryota > Metazoa > Chordata > Mammalia > Primates > Hominidae > Homo > Homo sapiens. Next base: position 101,616,055 of record NC_000011.10, on the reverse strand, counting down.
AAGCATGAGTCAAATACATAAAATTTTCTGAAGACATCATAGAGGAGACAGAGGAATTCTTCTCACACGTTCCACAGCCAAAATTTTGGAAGAAAAGACATGACAATAGATTTTTGTTTGTTCAAGTTTTTTTTTAGCCAAGGATGCTGGGCTACAGAGGAGCATTTTTCTTAAAGTAGAATCACTGGCACCTCATTGATGCTAGCTCCCTTTCCCCTAGATCTTCCTCCAGGAATTTGAAATTGCCAGTCATTTTTGGAGGACTTATTTTCCATCTCAAGAAACTTATAAGCAGTTTCTCAATGGAGGATAACCTGCTGTGTGAGGAATTCTTACACTAGCTTCTAAAAGACAAATATCACAGTTCCTTATTATGTAATAATATAAAGAATATTCTTATTTTTATGTGTGTGTCGGTTAATATGCTACAGACATGAGGATATTTCTTTTTGAAACATTTAGAACAGTGGAAATAAAAATAAACTACAGACTTCTATATTTATAGATTAGAGATCTATTTAAAAGTAGTGCTCTATACTCTTCTGTGGAATGACTGGTTAATTATATTTAATGACTGAAAAATAGACACATTGAAACAGCACACTGTATCTCATAAATATATGTAATTAGTATGTATCAATTAAAAATAAAATAAAACTTTAAAAAAATTAGGAAAAAAGCTAGTCTACTAGGTTAAAACCATTAGTCATTAATACTAATTATGAAAAAGGATATATTATCATAGTCAGTGGTCTGTATTTTGGAAAACTTTGGCTGTAGTTGAGTATGTTTCTCAGAAAGAAGACATATGATTGAGGCAAATCTGCTGGAATCACACCTTCTATGTGGTTATATAAATGATTTGGAGGGACAGTTGCTTTATCAGTCAGGGTCCAGGTGGGAAAAGAGAAATCACTCTAGCTCTTTCAAATACAGTTAATTTGATACAAGAAATGGTGGAACTGGGATAGAAAGGATGACAAGCAAATACGAGGTGGTGAGCAACCTAGAGATTTAGCAGCAACAGTAAGACAACGGGGTGATGCCCGACCTTGGACACCAGGGCTGTGTAGAAGGTGCTAGAAGAAGAGTGGGTACCTGGGTGGGTGCTGGGAACCCAGCTTGGTCAGATTGTGAGCCATGGTGAAAGTGTAACTGCTGCCAGACACCATAGGAAGCAGACAGAAAGAGGGAGGGAAAGAATTACCCTGGTTGCTCCCTTCCTCCTGTCCCCCCATCTTCCATGATTGCCACCAAGTACCCAAACTTACCGCCAGACCAAAAGAAATGGCCTAGGCAATGTAGCTTCCTATGATTCAGGGCATAGGAAAGAAAGGATAAGAAATGGATCTGAGAGGAAATGGAATTTTGACATGCATAAATGCTCTTCTTATAATCTGTGTTTGAACTAATAAGAAACTTAAAAGATATAATTTCACTGGACAAATAGTTGGAGGAAACCTAGTCATGTACTTTCCCCACTACCCTTCACCAACCTATTGAGCTCTTCATTGAACACATCCTTACTCTCTTACCTCCTTTATCAAAAAACTGTTCTTCCTTAAGTATCATAATCCACCTAGGCTCATGTCATCCCGCCGTAACTATGTTCCACCACTAATCCATGTGTCCTCAAATATGTTACGTCCCTCTCTATTCTTTCAGCCAAGATTCTTTGCAAAAGAGCATATACATGGTTTTTACACTTTTTATTATTCACTTTAATCTGATTTCTGCTGTTACAGACTTTAAATCTGACAGAGTTTTCCAATAACTCATCTTTTACCAAATTGAATGGGACTACCGCTTATAAAACTTTGATGCTGAATTTGATTCTATTTATCTCTCTCTCCTTTAAATTGTTTCCTAACTTGTCTCTGTGAGACCAGTTCCTGTAAGTTTTCCCTTTCTTAAATAGGGAAGGGTGACTTTTCTCCATGGGAAGAAGAAATCGGGGAGAAGGCAATGCTAGGCTGGGAAATAATAAAGGACTCTTGGAAAGAAGAAGTTAGAAGATAAGTTTCAACATCCCCAACAATCTCCCCGGCCAAACCCCCTATTTTGTGCCAATTAAATGGATACCAATAACTGTGAAATCCCTGGTAAAACTACCACATTTTTCTGAAAAGGAAAGGAAATCTTGTAGTTCAAATAGTTCCCAGCAGAGTGGATTCTTTCAGCTCCCACCCACAGGCCTAGCTACCAGCCAGCTGCCATATGCAAACTGTCTTCATAATGCAACGAGGCTGAGCTGGGAATATCACCCTCACCAGTGGTTGGAAAGGCTCCTGTATAGCTTCATACCCAAGGGCTAAAATATAGAGAAAAATTAAGTTCTTCAGCGTGAGTTTCAGCAACACTAACAAATGGCCACTTCATGGAGTCCAGTCTATCCAGTGTTTTGGGTTCCAGGAGTTCTCTCTCTCTGCTAGGTCCTTGGACTCTATCAGGCCTCTCATACTGTATCCAAGACAGCTGGCTGGCACCTGCATTCCTCTCTCATTCCTACCCAGCTCTGCTTCTTTGGACTCAGCCCTATTTTGAGTATTCCATGGTTCATCTCAAAAAGAGATTATCCAGGGCATATCTCTGACATCCAGTTGCCATTTCTGTCTCTGCTCTGCCCTCCTGAATCAAACTTTTGTTTTCTTCCTCAAACCTTGAGGCTCTGCCACTTGATATAAATCTTGTGGCTACACTTTCTTAGGATCAAACATTTCTGCCCCTGGTGGTGCCTCCTTACTCCTGTGAATTACCTCTCCCTTGATGTCTTCCTGTGTCGGATGACAGAAAATGGATGGGAGCAAACAACTGAAATGGTTAAAGCTTGCTCTTAAAAGACATGTGTCTGGTGGCTGAATACTTCTTATACAATAAATTAATTAGTTAATCAATATTACTGAGCCTCTACCCATACTGTTTCCAGCTGTGCCAAACAGCATGGAGGAGGCAAAAGGATACTCTAAAGAGTGTATGATCTAATCAAGTAGATTAATAAATAAGTGAATACAAGTAGTAAATGATTAGACCCTAGTTCCAATCTGGGCTCTCTCACTACCTGTGTAACTGTGAGGCTTAGAAAGGTAAATCACTTTCCCTTCCTATAGTATAGGAATTTAAAACATATCCTTTTGGATTATTGTGAGGATCAAATAAGAAGATGAAAATAGAACGTATGGCACACACTGAAAAGCTCCCATTTTTTGAGCACTGCTTCAGTAAGTGTTCAATAGGGTAAACAGAAAAGACTTTGAGTATTTGAAACAGGAAATGCAATGCTCACAGTTAGTTACACAGGTGGTAGGAAATCTACAAAGATCACAGGAGGTGAGGGAGGCAGCCCAGAGATTAGCAGCAGCAGGAAGTCACTACCATCCTTAGGCTGGAGGGACTGGGGAAGATCTGGGTTATAAGCAGGGTCACCCATCGGAAGTTGGAACCACAGTGGCATGTGCAGTAGTAGCAGGAGCCACAGAGCAGCTGCCCCTAATGCTGGAGAAGAAGCCCTTGGCACTGAGGGAGGGAGAGATACTTTGTTTTCCATTTTCCTCCTCCTTCCTCCACCTGCAGTCTTCAGGAGATAATTTTCATTAGCTGAATCCAGCTTATTCAGAAATAGGGAGAGCAGCTGAAAAGATTTATTGTCCCCCACCAACTATTCCTTGGCTCCCCTTGCAGTACAGGCACACAAAGGTGAGGACAAGGAAAAGATTTAAGGACAAGCCTGCCCAGCATTGGCACAGCATTTGCCTTGGGTATGCGTGTGTATTGTGGGGTGTAGGGTGGGTGGGGTGGGAGAGAGGTTCACAGATGTATGGTATTTGTGCTGGAGAGACGCATGACATGGCTAGGGTGAGAGATCATGTAGGGGTTCTAGAGAGAGTAGGCCTAGGCCAGAAAGCAAGTGGTCTTTTTTTTTTTTTTTTTTCCAAGACGGAGTCTTGCTTTGTTGCCCAGGCTGGAGTGCAGTGGTGTGATCTTGGCTCACTGCAACCTCCACCTCCTGGGTTCAAGAGATTCTTCTGCCTCAGCCTCCCAAGTAAGTAGCTGGGACTACAGGTGTGTGCCACCACGCCTGGCTAATTTTTTGTATTTTTAGTAGAGACGGGGTTTCACTGTGTTAGCCAGGATCGTCTCAATCCCCTGAACTCGTGATCTGCCCGTCTCAGCCTCCCAAAGTGGCAAGTGGTCATATTTAAGAAAACCAGATTGAAGGGGTAGACAGTAGGGAGTCATTGTGGATTTCTGAGTAAGAGCAATAGCAAGATAAGTATAATATCTAAGCCAGGGCCTTACAAGCACTGATTGCACTGAGAGCAGAACAGATTATTTTTAAAAACATTTTATTTACTTAATTGCTAAATAAAAATTGTATACATTTATTGTATACGATATGTTGTTTTGAAATATGTATACACTGTGAAATGGCTAAACTGAGCTAATTAACATATGGATTTCCTAACACACATTATTAGTTTTTGGGGTGATGAAAACACTTAAAATCTACTCTTTTAGCAATTTTCAAGAATTCATTACATTGTTATTAAATATACTCACCATGTTTCACAATAGATCTCCTGAACTTTCCTCCTAACTAAAATTTTGTACCCTTTGACCAACATTTCTGCTTTTAAATACTTTTACATTCAATATTTAAAATGTAAGTGATGGCTATTCTTAATAATTCTACCTGCTAGTCCATCTGGATAGTAAGAAACTAAAACTTGTACTTTTCATGGGAATAATATATGAATGCAAAGGAGACTCATTTCAAGTGTTTTCATGATTTAGTTGTAATTAAAATACACCTGATTTTACTCAAAACATATATAACAAGATTAATCATTTTTTTTTTTTTTTTTTTTTTGAGATGGAGTCTCACTCTGTCACCCAGGCTGGAGTATAGTTGCGTGATCTTGGCTTACTGCAACCTCTGCCTCTTGGGTTCAAGCAATTCTCCTGCCTCAGCCTCCCAAATAGCTGGGATTACAGGCATGCACCACCATGACTGGCTAATTTTTGTATTTTTAGTAGAGATGGGGTTTCACTATGTTGTCCAGGCTGGTCTCGAACTCCTGACCTCAAGTTATCCACTCACCTCGGCCTCCCAAAGTGCTGGGATTACAGGCATGAGCCACTTCACCTGGCCTGATTAATCATCATTTTTAATTAAAAGATTATTTGCAAAATGTTTATACAGCTTCTTTGAAAATTTATAGTCTCATAAAATTCAACTCTCATAATGAAGTTTATTTGAAGCCTTTGTGTAATATAAATCTAGCTATCTATGCAGATTATGATGCAGAAAGATCTCTTTCTTTCCATGTAGCAAATTGGCAGTGGTGAATTCATACCCCAGGAAACTACTCTACAATGTTGTCTCTGCATACTTGTTGCCAGGCACTGATCTCCTCTGGGGCATTATGTTTCTTAAGTATCTTCTTATGCCCTGGACCTAGCACACTGCCTGGCACATGGGAGGAGCCAAGTTCATGTTGGCCAATTTGCTCTCATTAAATTAACTTCAGAATATTCTTACTAAAGAGGCCGCAAAAGGGTCCCATTTCTATCCCTTCTGTTACTCTAATGTCATGCAAATGAGGCTTGAAGTAATGCTTCTGACGAAGGGCGGACTTCTTGGGCCTTCTCTGATGCTGTCTGACCTGTATTCAGATCTTCATTGTACCAGTCTTGGGTCATGTGAAATTAGCTTCCCTGAAAATAAGCTTTTGCATTTGCAAGGTAGACTACCCATACCTACATTCAGGGAGTTCTGAGGGTTAAAGAAAATCATGTAGCTGGGAGTGAATAACAGTTATTAGCTACCTACTATGAGTCTGGAGTGGTTTCACTCAGCTACGAATCTGCTAGGACACTACTTATTCTCAGTGGGGCTGCACTTCACATAGTTTTCTCATGGTGATGTGAAGTCTCATTGAATAGAAGCTATGAGGTTAATTTCAAGACAACTGGCTAGGTGCATTCCAGCTGCTTAGCTAATCATATCATCATTACCTGCCTTTAACACCCATTCTGTTCTATTTCCTATGGTACAATGTCCTTGTGGTTCTTCCTCTGAAATATGCCTTATATCCCAACTCTTCTATTTTCATTGCCGCCATACCTATAGGCTTTAGAACCCAAGATAAATCACTGCAATAATTTCTTAACTATTTCTTCAACTCCTGTATTTCTGTCTCGTCTCTCCATTTCTATATACACCTGCTGGATTTATCTTCCTGAATCCTCCCCTCTCAACCTTGCATCAGTTAGAATTGTGATAAAAAAACAGGATTTCAAAGAGTATTTCCAACTAGCCTCAAAAAGCAAAACAAAATAAAAGCTAAAACTTACTTTTCCTTTAACATTTTTTAATGCAATGATTTTGAAGATAGTAGAATAGATGTCTTTTGGAATATAGGCTATTACACCAATGTGGCACTTTTAGCTTTATGCAGAATTCACTAGATAGCGTTATTATTTTTACTTTTTAACTGAGGTCATTAAAAATTTCACCACATTCGTTGGCAAAAATAAAAATAAAAAAATTTCACCACAAATAAGCATTCAGAAACACTAAAATATATATCTCCTTTAATAGGTGTTTGGAGCCAAAAGCAATCTCTAAAACCAAGCCCCAATGAGTAGTTGAGGACATGAGAGTAAAGGCAGGATAAGGAATGGAAATAATTTCTTCCATTAACTCTACTAAACTAGACTCTTTGCTGTCTTTCTCCCCACTCACCTCTCTAACCTAATGAAATGTCCCGTTGCACTATTCACTCATTGCTACTGGGGAGAGTTTCAGTCCTCACAACCCTGATCACACCCATCCTGCATAGCTCATTACTTGGACTGGGATAACAAAATACAGAGTGGCCATGTACACCAGATCATGGGTTTTGAACTCAAGAAGCTCTGCATTAGAAGTCTCAGGTCTATTGCGTAACCGTCTGACAAACTCAGACAAGTTTTAAAAAATATTGGTGTTAAAAATGTCTGGGACATTATAGTTCCTGATATATCACAGTTGCTCAATGATTGGTGGTTACATTTTTTTTTTTTCAAGACGGAGTCTTGCTCTGTTGCCCAGGCTGGAGTGCAGTGGCGTGATCTTGGCTCACTGCAACCTCTGCCTCCTGGGTTCAAGTGATTCTCCTGCCTCAGCCTCCCAAGTAGCTGGGATTACAGGCACGTGCCACCATGCCCAGCTAATTTTTGTATTCTTAGTAGAGACGGGGTTTCACCATGTTGGCCAGGCTGGTCTCGAACTCTCGACCTCGTGATCCACCCACTTTGGCCTCCCAAAGTGCTGGGATTACAGGTGTGAGCCACCCCCACCAACGACCCGGTGGTTACATTTTAACTTTATTTTAGGACATGAGAACAAGAATAGAAAAGGTTAAACTGTTTCAGAACTGTTTGTAGGTTCTTAGTCATGAATAAAATGGTATTAAAATTTCGGAGTCATCTTCCTTTCTCTTCAACCATTTTAACACTATTCACTTTTTTCTACTATTGTGCAGAGCAGAAACTACAGTCATGTGCAACATAATGACCTTTCAGTGAGCAAGGGGCTGTGTCTACAATGGTGGTCTCATAAGATTATAATGCCATGTTTTTACTGTATCTTTTCTATGTTTAAATATGTTTAGATGCACAAACCAGTGTGTTGCAGTTGCCTACAATATTCAGTACAGTAACATAGCATACACGTTTGTAGCCTAGGAACCACAGGCTATACCATATAGCCTAGGTGTGTAGTAGGATATACCATCTAGATTTGTGTGAGTGTAGTCTATGATGTTTGTACAAGGACATCACCTAATGATGCTTTTCTCAGAATGTCCTCTTACCAATATACAGAGAATAAGTTCCTAATTTTTCCTAAGATCTACATTAGTAGTCATCAGAGCTCAACTTAGAATATGTTCATTTCAGAGAAACAAAAATTAATCAAAATTCTTCCCTGAAGTATTAATTCCATGTATATGAAAAGGAAAGCCAAGGAGTATGGGAGCAGGTAAGTCCAGGAAATAGGGATCATTGAACCCGTGGTGGAACGTCCAATAAATCCTCAGTGGGAGGCTCAAAGGAAAGAGTAGGTTCTGTTTATGCAGAATAGTAAAGGTCACCCTTGCTTATTTTTGCTGCTTCAGGGAGAGAAGAGGCAGACCTAAATATATTTAAGAGCTTAAAACAGAATGAAGTTGAGACTGTCTGGGTTATCTGACTGCTGGACTTTTTCAGTCCCATTAGATTCTAAACAGAATCCATCTGTGTGCAGTGTTCAAAATCCATACTGAGAAAACAGGCCATGGAACCACAAAGACTCACTGGAAAACAAATCATATTGAAAAGAGCTGATGTGCAGGGTTTATGACCTTCCACATGTCATATATCCCCTGTAAATAATTATAAAACAAGGTACTGATTCATGACCCCACCACTGTATGGAAATTCATTTAACTTTCTTCCTGAAAAATTTGTAAATATGTGAACTTTGACACAAAATTGAAGAAAATGAATTTTGATACATAGCACCAAATTTCTATTTAAAATTCTTTTTTTTAGAGTGAAGAAACATTAGTATAACCAATCAAGTACTGATTTGTCTAATATCTACTTATCCAATATTCAACATATTTACATAATTGTATACTTCTTAAATGTACGTGTGTCCTATGCAGTATTAAAGTGCCTGATGGTGAAGACTGGATGGCAAGAGAGTGAGATAGTGCTGACTTGTTTCCTCACCAGCAGGAAAGCAGCGAGGTGTAAAAAACAAACCAAAGGCCAGTAGTGACAATCACTCAGATCAGATCTGAGCTGAGGTAGCTCATGCCTGGCCCTTTACTCTCCTGGAACTCTAGGTTCTTTGGATGAAAGATGGGGTTCTAGGTCAAACCCAGGAAGAATGAAGGCAGGGAACAACAACAACAACAAGAACGCAGAACAATAAACAGTTGAGAACATTGCGCTGGAGTCAAGTAATTTTTAAACTCCCAAGGAAGTTGTGGGTGATGCAGAAAGGCTGGATGGGGTTAGAAAACATTTGCGATGTTTGAGTTGCCCTGGATAGTTGCCCCTGGTGACTTGAAAGCAGATTTGCAGCTTCTTCTCCATCACTTTTGGTCATTGATGGGGGACTCTCCTCACCAGACACCCATCCCTGCCCATGAGCCAGTGAAGGCTATCCTTACATCTTTTCCACTTTGGAATGAGAACCTATATTTTCATGCTAAAATTTAGTCATTAAGAGAAAGAGTAAACAAAACCTGGGATAGGAGGCTACAGAATGAAAATTTGATAGAAAGTTTTTGAGAGAGTCCTGTATCAGCAAAATGGGAACTTGTTATCAAGGCAGGTTAGATAGCTGAGTTCTCTGCTTGTGGTACACATGTAATAAAAAATACATTAAAAATTTTTATTTGACAGTTGGTTAATTATCAATTTCACTTTGCTCAAAAGGGTTTAATGTAAGGATAGAGCTCTAGAAGGCATTCTTAGCTTAGATCATGCAATTTTAGAGTTTCAGGGATCTTAGACATCAGATAATCTAACATTTTCATTTTGGAAATGGAGATAAAGAAGTCTGAAAATGTTAGAAGAGAGTCAAAGTCACATAACCCATTCATTTATTTTAAAGTATTTTTATGGTCTACAATGGGCCAGGCAAGTGAATCAGATAGTGACAAAATCAGGACAAGAACCCAGATATTCTCTGCTGTATCCCAGGGGCCTCACCACTGAACCACTGGTGCTGGGTACCCCATGAAGCCCCCAAATCTTTCCAGTTATACTGTTTTCTTCAGAGGAAAATAGAGCCAAGTAGTTCTTTTATGCATAAAGAATCAAGTAATTGTAATCTTCCTCTCTGGATACTGGACAAGTCAAAGAAAACCTGCACCACGTTGCTGCAATCCAATATGAAGTTCCCCTGACCTTATCAAATTTGCTCTGTGGCAATAGTAGATACTAAGAAAAAGTAGGTTTGTTGCCCAGTTTGGATAGTACCAGGCCCAGATTGACCGTATGGTAGGTGAGCCAATTCCTTGAGTTATATGCATTTTTGTTATTCCTGTACTAAATCCAGGGTGAAACAGACTTGATGCAGATAATGCATTACATTGGAGACTAAGGGCTACGAGGGACCTGTATAGATACATTCAGTGGGAAGGGCCACAAATTGAAGGAAGGTATACATCATGATGTTGAAGAAGTATAAAAAAGCAGGAAGAGAGCCAGTCATGGTAGCATACACCTGTAGTCCCAGCTACTCAGGAGGCTGAGGCACGGAAAGATAGTTGGAGGCCACAGTGCGCTATGCTAGCACTTGTGAATAGCCATGACATGCCAGCCTGAGCAATATAACAAGACCTTGTCTCAAAGCTACAACAACAACAACAACAAAGAAGCCGTAAGAGGTAACATGTAAAGTTTTTGAGCTACAGTAAGGAGTTGGAATTTATATTGCCAAATAATTCCAAGATTAATTTATAGCTTTGAAAGAGTTCTCAACAAAATCTAATACAATATGCAACTTAAAAATTTAGCATTACATTTCTATAATATATTAAGCAATTATTATTGACTACATATTAGGGAGATGGGATTCCATTAAATGTAAGATCAAGATGGAAAAGCAAAAGTGTTTTTCAAGTGAGCAAATGTGAGAAAGGTACAAAGGGAGATTTTGGTAAGTCTCATGAACTCCTCTAACCCAGCAAGGTCCTCTGGGATCCAGTTTCAGCTTTTCAAAATAATGTACACAAAGTTTTATCAGTAGCAGTTAGAATATAAAAAAACATTTGTGGGAAAAGCAAAAAGGTTATGGCTTAAATCTGCATATTATCAAATAAGCTTAATTTATGACAAATAATATATCTTCTCTCTATAGCACTCAGTGGAGCTGCACTTAGCAAGGTGGGTCAAAGAAAGTGGAGAATAAAGAGGTTCATGCCACATCCTGTATTAAAAACTCCTTGGATGATTATACTCTAAGTCTTCACTTAAATTCCTTCTTCTGATGAAAAATGCATATAGTTAATAACTTTTGAGTTTTTCTGCCTTGTTGGAATAGTGAGGAAACAGGTAGACCTTCAGAGACCTAAATATTTCATGATATTTGGGGATTACTTAAGTTCTGCTTGAAACCACAGGCAGATCTGACCCTCTGCCGAGAGTTTTCTGGTAACATGGGAGGAGAAATTGGGAGAAAGGAAATTTATTATTCCTTATTAGATTTCATTTAATTTTCTTTCTGATGGGATTGCCAGTAGATCAGGAATCCTTTAGATTACTGTAGTTACTAAGACCACCATGATAGCTCTGTGAGTTAACAGGGAAATACAGGCAAGGGTTTAGTGCACTTAGTTTTAAAACTAAGCAGTCATGTCCAATGAGTGCTCATAAATGAACTGGTGCCAGCTTGGAAGGTGGTATCTGGTAATATGTGAAACATCAACATGAATTTGAATGGGCTTGAATCAGGAGATTAAAGTGAGTATTCCTATTCCTCCTCAGTATGTTTTCAAGTTTTGTTTCCTTCTAGTCCATCCCCATCCCACACGCTTACCATAGAAATAGAGCACTATTTCTAGAACCTCACTCTGTCACTTGCCACTTTAAAACTTTTCAAAGATTCATCATATACGTTGGGATTATGACTCAACCTCTAGGCATGGTTTGACTCTTTGTATTTTCACAGTCTCATCTTTCTTGTCCCTGTCCTCTCTTTCATACTTTAAGGATAATTAACCAGTTTGGGGGTTTTGGACATATGGCTTTTTCTGTCTGAAACATCACTTCCCCTCACTCTTCAACTGGCTAACACCAAATCACCCTTCAAATTTCAACTCAAGTGATTCTTCATCAAGGTTCATCTCTGAACCTTTCTTCCACAGGTAGGATTAGAGTTAGAGTTAAGAAGGTTAAAATTTCTTCACAATCACATAACTTCGAATCAGAAGACTTACTAAATGTATTGGTCTTTGTTATCATTAATCCTAAATAATACCTGGCACCTAGATAAAAATTTTTAAATGTTTACTGAATGAAGAGAGAATACTATAACCAAAATTCAAATATTTAAGCACTCTGAGATAGCCATTGTTTAAACATTTCTAAAAGTTTGAGCTTATGAATAAACAAACAATACAAAATTAATGAAACCATACAATGGAACACTATACAGACATCAAAATGTTATTGTAAAAGAATATTTAAAGTATACAGGTAAATATTTACTACCTGTGGTTAGATAAAAGAAGTAGGATACAAAGTCGTATTTATAGAATGTGCTGTTTTTGTAAAAGAGAAAAGTATAAATAGAAAGATAAAATTTTCAGAAGAACCTACAACAAATGTTAACAATGGTTGCTTTGGAATGATAGAAGTGGTATGATTTTTATTTTCAGTGTTTCACCTGTTTATATTTTGTAACATAAATGTTTGGTCTGTAATATAAAAGGGAAAATATTTTAGGAAATAGAATCAACTCGCTGAGAAGCTCATGATGAGGAAGGCTCTTCAGGGGCACTCCTGCATTGCCGATTCCCTTGGGTATGAGTCAGTGGAGACATAAATGTGCATCAGGGCACAATTCCTTTTGCTCCCCACATTATCCTCACATAGGGGTGAAATGACCAGCTTAACAAAGCAATGATATGGTGTGTGCTTGGTGGCCCCTTGGCCACCATAGTTTTCACCCTGTATGCTTCATGAAATAATCTCTATCATCCTTGAGAAAACCACACCAAAAGTTAAGGCCCTACACAAGAATTTCCTTATGGTTAGCTTCTGGAATTTAGCCATGCTAACATGTTCTTTGCGCCATGTTTCTCTGAGAGTGTAAATCTTCCTTCAGACTTCCAGACTGTGAATTCCCACCCACACAGTAGCTGCCTCGGCTGTGAGAAATGCATCATTCATTCCCCATCCAGAGACTTTGTTAAATAGTGTGGGGGACAGAGCAATCTTTAGGAAATGCACCCTAGATTAGAAGAACATTATGTAGGAATATCAGCAGAATAATTCAGGACTCCAGTTTGGCTTAATCTCACATCTGACGTCCTTCGAGTTCTCCTTGCTATACATACACACACACACACATTGAAATGCTTCCTTCTTTGCTGCTGAGCCAGGGAAATCTTGAGAATACATTTGCAGGCATGCTCTGTTATCTTCTGTATTTGAGAAGGGAAGGCAGTGTGAGGATCTGTTATCCTCAGGTTAAGCTAAATGGCAGGAGATGAGAGGGTGGGATGGAGTGTCAATTTTGTGGAAAACAAATTTTCCTAGTTTTTAAAAGACTGCTAAGATCTTAGGGTAAACAGAGTGAATGGAATCAAACTTCACATAGGAGGGTGTGAGGAAGAAAGTTAGAAAGGGAGATTTTGAGTCTCAACAATATTAAAAAAAGGGACAATAATTTATGTGTGTGTGTGTGTGTGTGTGTGTGTGTGTGTGTGTGTGTGCGACCAGAGATTTTTGCTCAAATCAGTCTACCTGAGCATTTGGGGATGAGAGTTTTCAAGGACAGCTTGGTGGGGGGGGTAAGCCAGTGGGCTAGGAGTGCTGATTGGTCAGGTCAGAGCTGAACTCAGGGAGTTGAAGCTGTCTTTTTACAGAGTCAGTTCCTGGGTGAGGGCCCCAAGATCAAATGAGCCAGTTTATCACTCTAAGTGGTGCCAGCTGATCCATCGAGTGCAGGGTCTGCAAAATATCTCAAGCACTGGGCTTAGGTTTTACAATAGTGATTTTATCCCCAGGAGCAATTTGGGGAGTGTCAGAATCTTGTACCCTCCAGCTGCATGACTCCTAAACCATAATTTCTCATCTTTTGACTAATTTGTTGGTTCTGCAAAGGCAATCTAGTCCCTAGGCGAGAAGGGGGTTTGTTTTGAGAAAGGGCTGTTATCATATTTGATTCAAACTATAAAGTTCCTCCCAAAGTTAGTTCAGCCTATGCCCAGGAACAAACAAGGACATCTTGGAAGCTAGAAGCAAGGTGGAATTGGTTAGGTCAGTTCTCTTTCACTGAAGAGACAATAATTTTTAAGAAGAGAAGGGAGATACTTTGAAAAGAGAACTTAGATTTCCCTTAGGAGTGAGGTAGCCTCTTCTCACTCCACTTCCTGTTTCAATTTTGTGTTCCCATCATGAAGTTTGCAGCATCCCTGAATCTTCCATGCTGCCTTTCACATTCAGGTTATTCCCTCTTCCTGGAACATGACCACCTTCTCCCCTAACTCCTAGGGATATCAGTCTGTTGATGTCAGATGCTGTGATATCTCTTCCGATGCTCAAAACAAAGTAAGTCTCTAACCCAAGCACCTCCATACCATTGTGTTTATCCTTATCGTAGGTGCTATCACAGCGCATCCATTCTGCCCTCAAGACAAAAAGCAGATAGGGTTTTAGAGTTGGTGCCATATAAATTTTCACCATTGTATTCTTGGTGCCTCCAACAGTGCCAAGCACCAAGTAGAACTCAGTACATTTTTTTAAAGATATTAAAGAAGAAATGTTGGACCGAGAATAATCTAGACTTAGATTTGAGAGGGAGATCAGAAATATTCAGAAAAACAAAATTAATAAAAAGAGTTGTTTCTACTACATTCATCGTGTAACTTACATATGTTTAATTTACTCACAGAGTTGATACCCCTCTCTATTTCCATTGCCTGTGGTATGGCAAAGCAGTTACCCTGGAGAGGGCCACTGGAGGAAATGTGTTATAAAAATAAACTTCCCACCTATTTTCTCTATGACTGACAGAAGCTGAGTTATCTTTGGAACATAAAGCCTTTTTAAATGTATTTCAGGACTATCTCAGTGTCATTAAGCTGGGAAAAAACAAATTTTTTCTATCCATATTTCCCTCCAATTCTCGAGGGCCTACTAGGGCAGAATCACAGACTAAAAATAGATTAGACTAATTTAGGCTCCGTTAGGCAGGCTATTTCTTCTGTTGTACATAGTTGGGTTTTTTTTTTCTTCTGAAACATCTAGTTAATTCTATTAATGCTATGAAAGCATCTATGTGGTATGAACAAGACCGACAAGACTGCTGTACATATTGGGTCACTTCCTTGAAAGTAATTCTCAGAATTCAGCTTTTGTTGAGCATCTGTTATTTCTCTCTTCAATTGCATTTTGTTACAAATTATTTTTCTATATTATAGCCACAAATCCTTTATTATCTGCCTGATTATTGATAACACATTCAAGTATGCAAACAACCACGTTCTCAACACCTAAATATTTTGGTTATAAAAGGAGAAAATTAGTTTTATACATTTTCATCTCTTTAACTTCTGGGTTTCATAGGTCACTTTATATTGAGTACCCGAGTCCTTGTGTTTTTTTTTTCATATGTATATATATATTATATATATGTTTTATTCAAGTCAAGATACTTCCTTCATTTTCTTCCTTGCACACTGTGATCATCATTCATTAATGCTTTATCCATGTTTATGTTTCTTACTCATTATATCTTTCAAGTTCTTCCTTTAAAGTTCCTTCATGTTCTCCAAAGTATATCTATCATCTTGGTTCCTTCATGTGGCTTTTTATGAAGGTTCAGTTTGTGATTTTCTCAGTGTATGGAATTGCTGGAAAGAACAATGTCAAGGGCAATATATTTCTAATATTTCTATCACGTTAAGAACTCTCAAAGTATTGAGTAACTATTCCATCTTTCAGCAATTTCTAACTCCCACCTCAGTTTATCACCTCCACCCCCAGCATGCGTGAGGTTCTGGTGCCTTACATTTTGCTAAATTAATAAAGATCGATTTAGTCAGTAAGACCCAAGGCATAGTCTTGATATGGCAAATAATTCTCGAATGCTGATTTGCTATGCACTCTTCTAGGCACTAAGAATTCAATGGTAAAATAGAAAAGGTTCCTGCACTGGTGGATCTCATAATCCAATCATGGAAGATGGCCAATTAATACATGAACATTCTATATGTAATGAGTGCAAAAAAGAAAACTGGAAAACAGGGTAGTGATGCCCTGTACTTCTTTTTCTAGGATACATTATTTAGCTTATATATTCTGAGAAGGCTCCTCTGATGAGGTAGCAATAAGCAGAGACAAGAATGAAGGCAAGAAGTGAAGTGTGCTGATAACCACAGGGAGGATCATTCCAGATAGAGGGAGCACACACAACTAAGGCCCTAAGGCAGAAGCACTCTCTGCCTGTTTGAGAAACAGCAAGAAACAAGTGGAAATGCAGAACCACCATGTTTGCAAGTTTCTGCAGGGTCCACATCTGCTAATACCGCAGCCAAGCAAGTTATACGGCCAAACTCAGAGTCAAGGGTGAGAAAATCGACTCCCATCTTTAAAAGGAAAAATTGCAAAGTCCCATGGCAAAGAACATAGAGAAATGGGTGAAAAACTGGGACTCAGAACATCTTTATCCACATTCCCACTTATTCTAAGGAATAAACATCAAAAGTAGGAATTATGAGACCAATGATCTTTTGAGTTTTTTCCTTTATGAAATCAATGTAACAAATAACTTGTTTGATTTTTTTAATATTAAATTCCCCTTATGTTCCTAAGATAAAATCAATTTGTTCATGAAGTGCATAATTTTTAGGTATTTATGTAGTGCATGGTAATGAGTGAAACTGGCTTGTAATTTTCTTTTCTTACATTTTCTAGTCTGCTTTGATATTAAGGCTATGCTGTTCTCATAAAAATCATTGGCAAGTATTACCCCTTTTATTAGTCTGTGGCTAAGTTGGTGTAAGATTGCATTCGTCGCCTCTTAAAATGTTTAGTAGAACTAGTGAGTGAAGCTATTTCACATTGTTTTCTTTATGAGACAGTTTTAAACACTGATTCACTCTTTTAATCAGGAACTAGAAAGATTTCTTGTTTCTCCTTGTGTTAGTTTTGATAAGATGTATTTTTCTAGGAACTTTTCAGCTTTCATTTGCGTATAACTTTGTTTATAATATCTTTCCATTATTTCCTAATGGAACTGTACACCTACCTCTAAGATGTACAGTGACATTCTATTTTGCAATTCTAAAATTGCTTTTTTGTTTTTTTTCTCTTCTTGGTAAGCTTGCAATAGGTTTATCAATTTTACTAATACAAAATATATTATCTATACTACACTACTATTTTGCATTACACTGGTGGTATTAACCAATGCAATTAGACAAAAGAAAACAACTAGACTCGTAAGAATTTGAAAAGTGTAGAAAAAATGTTTCTAGTTGCAAATGGTATGATGGTACTCTTAGAAAACTGAATAATCAATGACAGAAGTAACTGAAACAAAGAACTTGGTAGGGTAACAGGATATGAAATTAACATAGAGAAATCAGTGACCTTAATGTAAATAAAAATAACTATGTATGTAACATAATGAAAAATAAAACTATATTTAAGTAGAGTGATAAAAATTTTAAAAGTTAAAAAATGTGCTTAACAAGAAATATACAAAAACTGTGTGAATAAAACTAAAACAGTTCTGAAAGATGAAGACATAGATTTCAGCAAATAAAAAGGACATCCCTTGTATTTGGATACAATGACTGAACCCACAAAGATGTGATCCCAATAAAAATACCACCAGGCACTTTTTCTAGTGTCAGGAATATTGATACTAAAATTCATCTGAAAAAATAAGTATACAAGAATAGCTAGGAATATACAGAAAAGAAACACTAACAGACTAGTCTTACAGTATATTAAAATATATTATAAATCCTCTACAATTATAACAATGTAGAACTCACAAGTGAAAAAACATATAAATGAAACAGAAAACCAAGTCTAGTAGTAGACCCAAGTACATGTGGAAATTTAATATGTGAAAAAGATGGTACCTAAGAACACCAGGACAAAGGTGAAGTTTTTAATAAATGCTATTGGGGTAAGTGGATAGTCATTTGGAAGAAGACAAAATTGAATCCATAACTCACACCATACATAAGAATAAATTTCAAAATGAATCAGGTATATAGATATAAAAATGAAGCCATATAAGCTCTGGAAATTGTATCATCTCTTACACCTTGGCTGTAGGGAAAGGAAATTTAACTATGACTCAAAATTCAGATTAGTTAGATGAGATTTGAAGAAGTTACATCACTACGTTCTGGTACTTTAGAGAGAAATCATTGGCTAATTGAATTGTTGTTCACCTTTGTATATTTTATGTTTCTACTAGCTTCTTTCAAGATTATCTCATGGCCTTCAGTTTTCAGTGGTTAAACTATGTGTCAGCTTCTATATGGTAAATTAAGTTTCTTCAAGACTCACACCTGCCATATGTAACAGCTATTAATTCTGGGAAAAAAGCAAAAAAAAAATACACAAAGGCACTTGAGAATGAATGAAAGCAGGATAATTCTTGAGGGGAGTGAAAACTTGAAAGAAGAGTCTCATTTGAAGTACATTTCTCTTTTTTTGACTTTTATGGAAGGACAGGCCAAAACTGCCACCAAATCATCAGTAGAAAACTCATAACCTGGCCGGGTGCGGTGGCTCACACCTGTAATCCCAGCACTTTGGGAGGCCGAGGCGGGTGGATCACGAGGTCAGGAGATCGAGACCATCCTGGCTAACACGGTGAAACCTGTCTCAACTAAAAATACAAAAAAAATTAGCCGGGCGTGGTGGCAGGCGCCTGTAGTCCCAGCTACTTGGGAGGCAGCAGAATGGTGTGAACCCAGGAGGCGGAGCTTGCAGTGAGCCGAGATTGCACCACTGCACTCCAGTCTGGGCGACAGAGCGAGACTCTGTCTCAAAAAAAAAAAAAGAAAACTCATAACCTTTATGGCATGTAGACAAGAGGACAAAATTCAGGGCAGTCTCAGCTGCTGGGAAGTCAGGGAAGATTCCGAAAAGAAGAGAGCCAGAATGGGGGTGATTTTCAAATTATGTAAACAACTCTGGGCAAGTCTGGATGGAACTAAGCATACATGGGTGTAGATTCAAAGTAGCACAACCAAAAATAAAAGAACTGTCTTGAGCGGCCACCCCAAAGAAATAGTTTGCAACTTAAGTTTGATCAAATGAATTGCCTTCCAAATAAAAACATAAGACTTTTCCAGAGTCTTCAAAACCTTATGTTCACTTTGCTCAGGTTACAATCATATATATATATATCTCATATATGTTTTTTAAATTTTTGTGGGTACATAGTAGGTGTATATATTTATGGTATACATTAAATATTTTTATTCAGACATACAATGCACAGTAATCACATTAGGGTAAATGGAATAACCATTGCCTCAAGCATTTATCCTTTCTTTGTGTTACAAACAATCCAATTATACTGTTTTAATTATTTTAAAATGTACAGTAAATTACATTTTATTTATTGTTGACTGTAGTCACCCTGTTGTGCTATCAAATACTAGATCTTATTCATTCTATCTAACTATATTTTTGTAGCCATTAACCATCCCCCCTCCATGCCCACTACCCTTCCCAGCCTCTAGAACCACTATTCTACTCTCTAGCTCCATGAATTCAATTGTTTTAATTTTTGGCTTCCACAAATGAGTGAGAACATGGGAAGTTTGTCTTTCTGTGCCTGGCTTATTTCACTTAACACAATGACCTCCAGTTTTATGTTGCTGCAAATGACAGGGTCTCATTTTTATTAATTGACAAAGAACTAGGTGGAGAAACCCTATCTCTACTAAAAATACAAAATTAGCTGGGCATGGTGGCACATGCCTGTAATCCCAGCTACTAGGGAGGCTGAGGCAGGAGAATCGCTTGAACCCAGGAGGCGGAGGTTGTGGTGAGCCGAGATGGTGCCATTGCACTCCAGCCTGGGCAACAAGAGCGAAACTCCATCTCAGAAAAAAAAATAAATAAATAAAAATAACTAGGGAAATGTGACCTATTTTTTTTTTTGAGAAAGTAGTAAGAATTTTTATTGTTTAATAAGAGATCATAATAGAAGATGCAAATAAATTAATTGTTCTGATAATTCTAGATTCCAGGCCTCTCTATGGAAAGGTCAACTTCTTATGCGGATGAGATACTATCCAAAACAAAAGTGGGTGTTTGAGACAGTGTTCAAGACAATGACTGAACTTGTACACAGCGAGGAGAAACAAAAAGGCAGTTTCCCTATTTCTTTTCCTCAGAGACAGAGACAGAGAGAAAGAAAGAGTTATGTGTTGCATAAAGGAATGAGGCTTATTTTGGTGAAAAATGCTTTCGTACAAAAAATTTTGAATTCTTTCACCTCCAGGTGCAGATATTTCAGGCCCTGACTTGAACAAGGATATCAAAATAAGGTAACACTGGTTTCACATGAGCCTCAAGACTGTAATCTAACTGTACCTACCATCTTACTTTACGTTACTTTAAAAAAGTTTAACATCCATTTACCTATGCCAATTCAGTAGACTGAATTTTTCTCTCTTAGGAAGTCTTCAACCAAATTGGAATTAAATTAATCTCACTTTAAAGCTCAAGAAAGGCTTTGCCAGACTAGGGTTTGTTCTGCGGAATAGAAAGAGAAGCATGCCTCCCTCAGCACTGGCCTAAGAGGCCCCACATGAAGAACTGGCTGCAGGACAGTGATCCATGAGGTCTACCAAAAAGCAGGGGGACTCAAGGTTCAGCCTAGAAAGAGGGGTCCATGCCAAGTCTGGCTTTTATCTGTACCCAGGTTCTAAACATATCTTGGGGCCCCTAACTGACAAGGCTGGGGCACAGCACCAGCAGTCAAGAGGGTCAGAGTCCTCTCAACGAGTCAGTGAACCCCTCTATGCCATGATTTGTCAATGCTCACATGGATAGTGGTAAAGGAATCAAGAAGTCTGGGTTTCAGAACAGCACAAACATTCTTTACCTAGTAAGCAATGATCGAAGTTCTTATCTAGGGTAAATGATGAAAAAATAGGTAATGAGATCCCCCATACATCACTGCTGAGATTATTTAGTCCAACTTTAAAGCAGTACAAAATGGCTTTTTGCACACAACAAGGGCAAGCTTTGTACTAATGTTTCTCAAACACCAATTATGTCTCCAGTGCTAGTCTCAATTTAACAGGTTTTGAAAAATGTAACCTTCCTATGTCACAGCCAAGGTAGAGTCCCTAGAATAGAAAGGGCTCTAGAAGCCAGTGGGTGTGAGCACATTCAAGTCAGGTGGTTTGAGCTTATGGGTCCATGGTGGCTGTTTCTTCCCTTCCATCACTAGGATGTTCATCTTGGGCAGCTTCAAGGTTACTGGATCTTCAGCCATTCAGCTGGCCTGGGCATGGATCAATTCCATTGGAGAAGGCTTCTAGGCTCCTTGGTAGGCCTGGGTGGCAAAACTTCCAGAATCAAACTTCTGAAGGCATCTTGGTCCAAAGAGGCTCCACTTACCTGACAAGTTTCTGTCTTTATCCCCACTTT
This sequence comes from Homo sapiens, assembly GCF_000001405.40. Classification (NCBI taxonomy): domain Eukaryota; kingdom Metazoa; phylum Chordata; class Mammalia; order Primates; family Hominidae; genus Homo; species Homo sapiens. The sequence goes on along the minus strand of NC_000011.10, from coordinate 101,594,647 downwards.
CAGAATCCATGGTGCTAGGATTTGGGCCAGGTAAAGCTGTGGAAGAACCAGAAGTGAGCCAGCCTCTGGGCTTCTGCTTAGGGGAAGAATGAGGAGTGGAGCTTGGGGTGACCGGGCTGATGCAGGCTGCCTCTATTCTTTTGTTATCTCTCTACTCTGTAGCTTTAGTTTGTGGAGTGCTCCTGCCACTGGAAGGTACTTGGTCTCCTCGGTGGTGAGGCCCCTGTGGGGTGTGTAGCCAGCATCTCTCAGCCCTGCCTGTCACCCAAAATGCTGAATACTTTCCTGGGTCTGTTTTGTGATCCGATAATTCATGATGACATGTGTAGCTTAGCCTTCACCACTGGGACCTTGTCCACACTGTCAATGGCCGATGACAGGGTCATGGCTGGGGAGGGTAGGCTGGCCTCATCTTCCTCCACCTTGGTGATGCACTGATATTGTGCTCTGGAATCACTGGCTTCTAGGGGACACTGCTCATGTCCAGTGGAGGAAGAGTCATGGGCGCAGGGTCCTTGAGGGCATCATCGTAGCTGGATGCCCAACGGTATATCCTGGTGGGCAGGAACATCTTGCCTAGAGGCCCACTAGCCTCAAGAGCAGGCACTTCTGGTTGTCTTGAAGCCATTGAAAAACTGGGATCCAGGTGCTTTTTCTATCTAGAATTCTGAGCTGAGTCCCTGCCACCACAGTGAAATGATGTGATGACTAAACTGACAGACAGATGTTAATGAGAAACACGGTCCAGCTGCTGCAAATTAGCAAAACTTCTCAGGAAGTATCCATCCAGAGGTTCTGTTATCCTACTGCCAAGGGGCTGCCTGCAGCCTGGAATCTGGCACTAAAGAGGTTCCGAGGGCCCACGTCTCCTGAGAGGCTGTGGTGCAGTCTGGATCCAAGCCATGGTGAGAGCAGCAGTGACACGGAAGGTCTCCAGTACCCACCAGACAACACTGCCCCAGTGCGACCTATTGTTAAAGGAAAAGATAATGAACAAAGGTGATGCAGTTGTTGGAAGTAGTAGATAAGGGCTTTAAAGGAGTTGTTATAACTATGTGCAATGAAATAAAAGAAAATATTAATAGAAAATATCTAAAGTAAAGGAAGATATAGCTTGCATATATATAGAAATAAAGAATAGATATGCTTTTATTTATCCTTATTCTTTATTATCTTATCCTTTATGTATAAAAAAGTATCCCAAATTTTGGATGTAATATCTGAAATTTAAAAATTTATTTCATCATCTTAGAAGAATTGAGATGGCAGAGGAAAAGAACAGAGAATTTAAAGATGGACCAATAGAAAATATATAATACAAAGAAGAACCAGAAAAATAACACTGAAATAAACTAAACAAATAACACACATGTGTTTATTAGGAGTCTGAGAAAGAGACAAGAGATTGGGCCAGAATAAGATATTTGAACTTATAATCACCAAAATTTTTATCCAAGTTTAGTTAGGCACAGGTTTTCAGATTCAAGTAACTCTGTGCTTGCTTTTGAGCCATCAATTCCACTTCTAGGAATTCATACTAGAGATGTACCTCTGTATTAGTCTGATCTCACACTGCTAATAAAGACATACTGGGTAATTTATGAAGAAAGAAGTTTAATGGACTCACAGTTCCACATGTGTGGGAATCACAATCATAGGAGAAGGCAAAAGAGGAGCAAAGCCACATCTTGCATGGAGGCAGGCAAGAGCGAGCGTGTGCAGGGGAACTCCCCCTTTATAAAACCATCAGGTCTTGTGAGCCTTACTCACTATCATGAGAACAGCACAGGAAAGACCCTCCCCCATGATTCAATTACCTCCAACCAGGTCCCTCCCGTGACATGTGGGAATTATGGGAGCTACAATTCAAGATAAGATGTGGGTGGGGACACAGCAAAACCATATCAATCTCCAATAATATGAAAACACACATGCACAAGACTATTCATTATGGCATTATTAATAGTTAAAAATATTGAGTACAGTTTCAATATCCACACATTGGTTATTGTTTGAACAAATTATGATTAATTTTCACTAAGGGACAGCAAAATTTTCTTAAAAACGAGGGAGGAATTTTTGGCCCACACAGTCTCTATTTCAATTACTGAACTCTGTGGTCGTAATCCAAAAGCAGACATAAAAAAACATACAAACAATTGTGCATGGCACATCAATCAAAGATCATTTACAAAAACAAATGGTGGGTCAGATTTTGCCTGTGGGCCTTAATTTGTAAATCCTTGATTTACACAATGGATTTATACAACAATACATCAATTTAAAAAAAGATTGAAGAGGATCTCTATAAACTGATATGGAGGGATTTTCAGAGGCTGATCAAAAGTGCCAAATCTAGAATCATTTGAGCAGCAAAATAAATTATGATGATAATGGATAATAACCACTTCAATCAAATATCTGTCCATGAATCCACGGATAATGAATGAATGGCAGAAAAAGAAAAAAGTTTTCATTCACTAACCATGCATTCATGAATATGAATTTTATGTATTTATACATATTTGTGTATATATATTTATTCTTCACAGATTATTACTCTTATTATATTATATATATTATTATTATTATTTCTGTGCTGTCTATTCTGTTCCATTGGTCTGGGTGTCTGTTTTTATGTCAGTACCATGCTGTGTTGATTACTATAGTTTTATAGCAGATTTTGAGATCAGGTAGTGTGATACCTCTAGTTTTGTTCTTTTTCTTCAGGATTGCTTTGACTATTTGGGGTTGTTTCTGTCTCCAAAGAGACAGAGCCAATATAATTTATAGAGAGATATATGAAAAAGGATTTATTAGAATTGGCTCACTTTATTTTGGAAGTTGAGAAATCTTGCAGACCATCTTTATCAAGTGGGAGAACCGGGAAAGAGAGTAATGTGTCTCAGTCCAAGTCCAAACTGCAGAACCAACAAAGCTGTGGTGTGATTTTCAATCCTGATTGCTGGAGAGCCTGAGGGCTACTGGTATGAGTCCTGGAGTTCAAAGACCAGACCACCTGGAGTTCTGACATCCAAGGGCAGGAGAAGAAGGTGTCCTGTCTCAGGGAGGGAAAGTGAGAATTCTCCCTTACTCTGCCTTTGCTCCATTAGGGCCCAAAACTGATTGGATGATGCCCACTCACATCGAGGGTGGATCTTCCCCACTCAGACCACCAACTCACATGCTAATCTCTTCTGGAAACATCCACACAGACACACCTAGGATAGCCCGATCATCTAATCAAAACCACAACTACCTGGACTTCCCTTTTAGCAAAAGAGGGATCAGTTCCTTCTGAAACATTAAGAATAACGCCTTACCTGCTATCTGAGTATGCCTTAATCAAGTCAAGTCCAAAGTTAACCATCACAGGGATTTTTGTGGTTCCATGAATGCTTTAGAATTCTTTTTATTTCTGGGAAAATGTCACTGGAATTTTGATGGAGAGAATCTGTAGATAACTTTGGGGGAGTATAAACATTTTAACAATATTAATTCTTCTAATCCCTGAACATGAAGTATCTTTCCATTTATCCATGTCTTCTTTACTTTCATTCTTCAGTGTTTTATAGTTTTCAGTGTCAAAGTCTTTTGCCTTCTTTGTTAAATTTATTCCTAAGTTTTTTTTTTAACTATTGTAAATGGGATTGTTTTCTTGATTTCATTTTTTGGATAGTTTGTTTTTTTAATATAAATGCAATTGACTATTGTATGTTGATTTTGTATCCTGCAACTTTACTGTATTGTTTATTAGGTTTAAGTGGTTTTTTTTGGTGGAGTCATTAATATTTTCTAACTATAAGATTATGTCATCTACAAACAGGAACAATTTAACTTTTTCCTTTCTAATTTGTATGCTTTTTATTTCTTTCTCTTGCCTAATTGCTCCGGCTAGAATTTCCATTATACTATATTGAATAGAAGCAGGAAGAGTGGACATCCTTGTCTTGCTCCTGATTTAGAGGAAAAGATTTCAACTTTTTACCACTCAATATGATATTAGTTGTGGGCCTGTCATATATAGCCTGTATTGTGTGATGTACATTGCTTCTATATCTAGTTTGTTAAGGGTTTTTATCATGAAAGGATGTTGAGATTTGTAAACTGCTTTTTCTTTAACTATTGAGATCAGGTGGGTTTTGTGCCTTATTCTGTTAATGTGGTATATCATGTTTATGGATTTGCACATGTTGAACCATCCCACATTCCAGGGAAAAATGCCACTTGATCATGGTGTACCATCCTTTTAATGTATTGTTGAATTCAGTTTGCTAGCATGTTGCTGAGGATTTTTGCATCAATGTCATTGAGGATATTATAACTTTCTTTTCTTGTAATGCCTTTGTCTGGCTTTGGAATCAGGGTAATGTCAGACTCATAAAATGAGCTTAGAAGTATTTCGCCTGCTTCAGTTTTTTGAAGTAATTTGAGAAAGATTGGTACTAATTCTTCTTTAAATGTTTGGTAGAATTCACCAGTGAAGACATCAGGTCCTGGGCTTTTCTTTGAAAAATATTTTTGATTACTGATTCAATCTTCCTACTTGTGATTGGTCTGTTCAGATATGCTATTTCTTCATAGTTTAGTCTTGGCTGATGGTAAGTTTCTAGGAATTTATTTCTTCTAAACTATCCAATTTGTTGGTGTATAGTTATTTGTAATAGTCTTCTAAGGTTCTTTGTATTTCTGTATAAGTTGTAATGTCTCCCTTTTCGTTTCTCATTTTAGAGTCTTCTTTCATTTTTTATTAGCCTAGATAAAGGTTTATCAATTTTATCTTTTCAAAGATCCCCTTTTAATTTTGTTGCTCTTTCATATTGCTTTCTAAGTCTCTATTTTATTTATTTTTTCTTTGATCTTTGTTATTTCCTCCTTCTACTAGCTCTGGACTTAGATTGTTCTTTTTTTTCTAGTTTTTTTTTTTTTTTTTTTTTGAGAAATGATGTTAGGTTGTTTATTGGAGGGTTTTCTTCTTTTTTAATGTAGGTGTTTATTGCTACAAACTTTTCTCTTAGAACTGCTTTGCTGCTTCCCATAATTTAGTAAGTTGTGTTTATATATCATTTGTCTCAATATATTTTTTTATTTTCCCTTTGATTTCTTCTGTGATCCATTGGTTGTTCAGAAGCATGTTTTAAAATTTCCAAATACTTGTGAATTTTCCAGTCTCCTTCCTGTTATTTATTTCTAGTTTCATGCCATTGTGGCCAAGAAAGATACTTGATATTAATCTTTTCTTTTCTTTTCTTTTTTTTTGAGACAGTCTCACTCTGTTGCCCAGGCTGGAGTGCAGTGGCGCGATCTTCTTAAACGTGTTGATTATCTTTGTTTAGTAGGTTTTACAACTTCTTTAATTACATTTGACTTATTAACGCATACCATTTGTGGCAAAAGTACAAGATAGAAATCTCTTATCCAGTTTGATTTATTCCACATTCCTTCACATCTCCCATTGACTTAAGATGTGCTCTTTATCATACCATAAAATCTTTTGTATCCTTTATTCTTTCCATTAAATTCTTTACATATTTCTAGTTTGTGTGTACCAATTTATATTATTTTTGTGGTTTCTTTAAATCATTCGATATTTTTTACACCAAGTTTCTTTCATTGCTTTTCTTTTTTTGGATTTTTCTTTCTTTTAGATATTTATTTTTAGAAATGTGAAAAAATAAATAGTAGAGAAAAACCTGTCCTTCTATAGGAAGACATAAGTATTGAAACTACTACATTCTAACTAAATCTGTAAATTTAATACAAGTATAATGAAACTATCAATAAAATGTGTTATATAATTTGATACAGACCTCTGATTATTTTTCAATTAGGTCTTAGTGAAGATTTATAATTTTCTTTTCATAGGTTTTACAATTCTCTGTTAAATATATTTCTGCTTATATTATATTTTATAGCTTTTATTATATTTTGGCTATTGCTGATATAAAGGAAAACTACTGAATTTTTAATATTTACTTTTATTATCTGGCATTGTACCAAACACATTTCTTACTTCTGAATCTAACTATTTTTAGCTAAAAATCTTGAATTTTTTATAGTAGACTATTATATAGCCTGTGAAGTAATAGATTTATGTCCTCATTTCAAACTTTTTCATCTTATTTTTTATGTTTTATTTTACTTATTGTTGAAGTTCTTAGCTATGAAAAATAGTAATGATAATGACAAACATCTTTGATTTCTTAAATTAATGGAAACATCTCTGGTGTTTCTCCATGTTGTTTTTATCTAAAATAGTTTTCTCTGCCATGTTAAAAATGTGTCTGTTACTCTTAGTTTTCTAAGCTTTTTCTTATTTCCTTTTAAAAAATGAAGAATAGATATTTTATTAACTTTTTGGATCCATGGAGATGATGATTAGTTTTTGAATTTTAGATTTTTTCTTACAGGATCTTAGTGTTCACTTAATTTTCCATAAGTATATTAATTTTCCTTGTAGTATACGTGGAAAATTGAGGTCCAGGTTGTATTTGAACATGTCCAGTGAAAGAAAACAAAAACAAAAACAAAACAAAACAAAAACCAGCAAAAACAAGCCAAAACAAAAAACCAAAAGCAGCTCAGTCCATTCTTGGTATGTCTTCATTTACTAAACTTGGGTGACATTGATGTATAAATCAACAATCTTTTCAATCGTCTTCTAACTATTTATGAATCACTCCTTTGTTACCCAGTTCTTATTTTTCAATCGTGCTGTCAAACATATCACACGATGCTCTTGGTAAACAGTTTACTAAAAATGTCCCAATAATTCCATCAAAAGAGATATTAACATAACTTGTTCTCTAAGTGAAACCATATTAATCACAAGTGCTTACAAAATAACCATATGATAATGTTAGAATTTTGGACAACATCTATGTCAAGCTCAAATTAGAGCAAAAATGAAATTAGCAATCTGTAGATTCTTCTATTTGTTTCTGATGGTTAATAACATTTTAGCTGCAAGACAGATACTAAATGTAAAGTATTATAACCCCTTTATTTTAAAAATTAAGAAATTGAGGTTCAAAGATATAGCAGCACCTGCTCAGATTTTACTCAAACTGGAGTTTGCAGGGCACTTTCATTCATAGAGAATCAGCAGCCCCTCTGAAGCTTCTGAAGTGTTTCTGTTTTCACCCGGTTGATTCTACATGTGATAGGAGTCAGGGCTCAGGGTTTCCATGCTTTAAAATATCCAGATGAAATCACGACTAAACTTTTATCTGTACTTCTGGCCAACCAACCCCAAACTGCATTTTCCAGAGAGACTCCTATGTTAGTGGTTTTCCATCAGCAACAGCAACTCACAAACTGCAGCTTTGTGTAACTTTTGAGCTTCTTGAGTTATTAAGCATTTAATGTTTTCTCAACCTTTTGCTTCTAGTGGCAATTTCTTTTCCTTTCCCTTTGGGCTCCTTGCCTGAGACTTCCTAGAGCAGCGGTTCCCAACCCCCAGGCTATGGACTGCTATCCATCTGTGGCCTATTAGGATCTGGGCCACACAGCAGGAGGTGAGCAGTGGGCAAGCCAGCGAAGCTTCACCTGTATTTAGTATTTACAGCTTTTTCCCATCACTTGCGTTACCGCCTGAGCTTTGCCTCCTGTGAGATCAGCGGAGGCATGAGATTCTCCTAGGAGCATGAACCCTATTGTGAACTGTGCATGTGAGCAATCTAGGTTGTGTGCTCCTTGTAAGAATCTAATGCCTGATGATCTGTCACTGTCTCCCATCACCCCCAGATGGGACCATCTAGTTGCAGGAAAACAAGCTCAGGGATCCTATCAAGTCTACATTATGGTAAGTTGTATAATTATTTCATTATATATAAAACAATGTAATTATAATAGAAATAAAGTGCACAATAAATTTAATGTACTTAAATAGTCTCCAAACCATCCATCCCACCCCACAGGTCCGTGGAAAAATTGTCTTCCACGAAACTAGTCCCTGGTGCCAAAAAAGTTGGGGACCACTGTTCTAGAGGACAACCATTTTTCTTTACTCATTTTTCTCCTATCAGCTTTTCAAAACACTGTGTTATATATATATTATATGTATAATATATATACACATTATATATATTACACACATGTATATATGTAAAATATCTGTTTTTGTAAAATCAAACTAATAATCAAACAGTGCAGATATATATAATGAGGCAAAGGTCCTCTCTCATTAACATCTCTTCCTCTGCCCACAGAGACACATAACTCACCTTCATCCTCACATCTCAGAATTAATGACTGAGTGTTTTTTTATTTCAATAGCATGAACATACTACATAAACATACATAACCTATAATTGCATAGCAATTTCCAACTCTGTGAGAACTATCAGTCCTGTGCTCACCCAACAATTTTTTAACTTTAAAAACTATTGTTTCTTTGTTCACTCAGCTTTCTTCATGACTCCAGATCTACTCAATACTTCCATAGTTGATTCAAAAATTATATTATTTAATCGTATTTTGTCTTTTTAAAAATTGGTTTCACCATGTTTTTAATGTAAAGTGATAAAACTGCATAGATAACTATATAATGTGGGAAGTTAGAGATTGAGGCGTAATTGTATACCAGCTTACTGATGAAAAAACTGAGGCAGAGAGAGATTTAATGACCTCTCTGAAATCATGTAACTTCAGTTAGGGAAGTGGCCGAAATAAAAATCCAGGCTTTGAGACTTCTGATCTAATGATTCCACTTCATCATGTCATAAGCTCTTTCAGAATCTTCTAACATTTGTACACCACCTTATTCCTTCTGGGTACTCAATAAATGACTGGGCTTGTTGTTCTAGTACTCACAATAATTCAAAAAAAAAAAAAAAAACAGAGGAAAACATGTCTTACCACATGATAAATTGATGTCAGAATAAGTTTACTGTAGTAATTTTTTCAGTGTGAAGGTTGTTACCTGTGAATGAAAAACAGTGTAACAACAGCAAAATAAATTCTGTCTCAGTTTTTGTTTTTTTTCTTTTTATGTGAAAGGTTAACACTTCAACTGACACTACAAATGTTTATTAATTTGGCTTTAACTCACAGAATTTGAATTGGGTAGAAAACCTTTGAATATTACTTTTCCCATGAATGTTTTCCCCATACTTGGTGTTGCCAAAGAGATTACCTTGGCACTGTTTAACTAAACGTTTATTGATTAATTCATTCAAGCATCAAAGCTAATGAATACTTACAGATAGCAGTTGCCACAAACAAATTTTAGGAAGAATATCTTATTGCTAGGTATAGTAACTAGAAAATTATAAGAATTTTAAATCATGGCTCCACATGTTGAAAGATCAAAAAGGAAGGCTGTTAAATCAGAAAGAACAGACTTCAGAATGATGCAGGTTGTTTGTTTCCCCAGGGAAAATGTTCTTTCCAGGGCCAAGAGCATTTTCTTATTTTTTCTATATTCCTTCCATCCATCCATCCATCCATCCGTCCATCCATCCATCCATCCACCCACCCACCCACTCACCCACCCAAGCATGCATGCATGCACCCTACACACCTGTGTCAAATACGAAGCTGGATCCTCAGGACACAGTGGTTTCTGCTCTCTCTGAGTTTCAGTTCTAAATTTAAAGGCAAACTCAGAAGTTTCTAAATGTGTGAGCTCTTTTCCCTTCTATCAAATCAATTGCATTTTCCCACACTTCCAACATTCATTTTGTTGTCCACCTGTTCATGGGAAGCAAAGGCACCTTTGCAGACAGATTTCAGTCTGGCTTTCTTTCATCCAATTGCAATGGGCCTCTGATCTTTTCATGGCTGGCTGCTTGCCATGCATGTCTCAACTTAACGAGCACCTCCTTGGAGGGGCCTCTTTTAACCATCTCATCTGAAGTAGTCATTCACCAGCTGCCATCACATCAACCTGTTTTATTTTCATTGTAGCATTTGTCCTTGATATTTTTTCATTTGCTTATTTAATTGGTCCCCCTTTCTGCCACGAAAGCTCTATGAGGGCAGACAGGTGCCTCATCTGCTTCTTTGCCTCCGAATTCTGAAATGATTTGAAACGCAGTTGGCATTCATTAAATATTTGTTGACTTAATGAATGGATTCTTAATTGGCTACTACTGCTTAAAGGTCTACAAATACTGATTCATCCTTGTTGACAAGTTTTTACTTCTCACACGTATGCATATTAATCAGAATTTAAAACTAAGTCTTAAAAATAAAACAGCTTGGAAACGTGGGAAACATCTGGCAGAGAAATCATTCTTGCATTCGCAGTGACGGAAGGAAAATTTTTTCTCTGAAGTAAGCAGGTTGTTGGCCTCTTTATCGGTATCATTGGAAAATGCTTGCCTATTTTTGTTGGTTTTCTCAGGAACTGGGAACATCTGGCGTTTGGAACATAGAACGTTGTTCATTTTTAAAGCAGAGTCATAATAACTTTATGAGTTGAGGGTAAGAGAGAAAATGACCAAAGAAAATGAAGGCAGTCTGGAGAAAGAAGAGGCTCGTGTCCCTTTTAAGGAACAGGTTTCCTTGGCTCTTTGAGAGTGGTTCTTAAAGGAAGCTTCCTACGAAGTCCGCAGTTGGTATCCTTACTAAATGAGCCAACTAAATAGTGGAGGGGAAAAAAAGAGTGCGTGCCTGGCTCCTCCTAGTTCAGGCTCATACCGCCTCCTGAAAGTTGTGGCTACAGGACAGGCTTTGGCTGCTTTCTAGAACGTCGCTCGGATCCCTTTAAAGGTGGGGATCTTGACGGAGAGTGCGGGGGATGAAGGCGGGAGCTGAGGGCTGGAGAGTCTCTGTTGACATAGTAACTCTTCAGCTCCGTCTCCCTTGCTCTCCGCTCTTACGCTTCGCTACCACCAGCGGCCCCGCCTGTGCCCTCTCTGCCCGGGCGCCCCAGACGCATCCTCGCGGGGTCTCCTCGGCCTGACCTGCTCAGGTCAAGATCCTCTTTGCACCCCCTTAAGTGGTGACTTTTCCCCGGGCCAGTGGGCGAGCCACTTGCGGCGGGCGTCTGCACCCCCTGCTTCACCGTCGTCCCCTGGGCACCGGTCTGCCCAGGTCCAGTTCGGCCGCTGACGCGAACCCTCCGCACCGGGTCCCCGCTGGAACTGCCCACTCGGCTCCCCCGGGAGCGGGGCCCAGGCCAGTCGGGCGTTCCCGCCATGAGCCAGAGCCCGGCGTTCGGGCCCCGGAGGGGCAGTTCTCCCCGGGGCGCTGCCGGAGCCGCTGCGCGGCGCAACGAGAGCCAGGACTATCTGCTCATGGACTCGGAGCTGGGAGAAGACGGCTGCCCGCAAGCCCCGCTGCCTTGCTACGGCTACTACCCCTGCTTGTGAGTGCCGGCGACGCGGGGCGGATCGGGCGCGGGCTGCGCGGAGGGAGGTTGTGCGCTCGCAGGAGTGGCCGAGTCCGTCCGCGCGCGTCCTGAACCCGCGTGTGTACCTCCTAGGACGGTGCTGGGAGGTCCGCGAGAGCCAGGGCTGGGACCTGAGTGAGTGGAGGGGCGCGCGGGGAGTGGGGGAGGCGGGGTTGTCTAGGTTTGCTCCTCGTAGGTACGCATGGATATGTTTGCCCACGAGAGTGAGACCGCATAGTAACACCACCATTGCAGGTGATTAGATGGGTGGTCGATTTCTCCAGACCCCTTCATCCTGCGCTCTACAAGAGACAGGATCGCTACGTAACAGGCGGGATCTGAACAGGGGGCTGATTCAGATGTGCGCCCGGGTGACTCTTAGCCTATGTGGGGGAGAGATGACTAGAACTCCAAGGGTTGGAGCTGCCTGGGTGCTGGGTGCGCCCGGCGGTCTCCACGCTTGGCTTAGCGTTTCGGGCTGAGCGCTGAGGTCCTTGGACCGTGGGACAGCCAAAGTTAGACCAGGACCTCTCCCCGGTCCTGGGGCCTTGGAGTGAAGACAGAAATAGAACCAATAGGACTCTCCACCGGCGGCGCGAACCTTTTCACCCGGGGCGTCTGGGGAGACGAGCCTGTTAGGGGCTGGGAGACTCACGGGCTATAGAAGTGAGGGCGTCGGGTCGTTTGTATTGGGCTGTGGGTAACTGCAAGCTTTTGTTTATGAATCTAGGGTATTTTTTTTTTTAGCTGGGTGGGTGGCGGGAGGGGAGGTAGGGAGTAAGCAGAGTGGACTCCAGAAGAAAAGACTCCGCTTCCCCGACACCGCTGTGACCACATGTGCAGCGGGCAGATAGCATTTCTGTCCCATTGCCCCTTTGGGTGATTGGGTAGTCAAGTTTCCTGACTTGTCACATCCACCCGCAAGCGGTTTCCCGAGGTTCTCAGCTCTATAAACAGCTTTAGTTGGAGGGAGGATTCCACCCCATAGGCGCCTGGCAGACCCTCCTGATAGATGGGTGCTGTGTCAGGGCTGCCCAGCCTCAAGCCCTGCTGCGGTGCCCTTTCGAAGTAAGAGGTGAGCCGCAGTAAAGGGAGCATCTAACTTTTCTCAAAGATAAAGGAGAATAGTTAGAACTGGTTTCATTCATCTGTGTGCTGTGCAAGTTAAGAGCATTTACAATTATGTATATGTTTTTCTTTTTAAAAGTTCAAGACATAATTCCCATACCACGTAATTCCCCCATTTAACTTGTACAATGCACTATTTTTAATATATCCATAAAGTTGTACAGCCACCACTAATATCTAATTCCAGGACAATTTCATCATCCCTCAAAGAAATCTTACACTTGATGTGTTAAATTAGAAGATATTTTTATGTCTCATAGTACAGACTTTTCCAACTTTAATGGCTAGCATGCAAATCATGTGGAAATCTTGTTAGAATGCAGATTTTGAGAAGGCAGGTCTTAGGTACAGCCCAAGATTCTCCATTTCTGACATCCCTCAGATGATGACAAGGTTGCTAGTCCGTGGACCACCCTCTGAATAGCAAGGTGATATATGACAAGAAAAAACAAGAATAGAAAGAAAAATAAATAAATCTTGGATATTCTGAAATGCTGCTATTTTAAAATGTACTTTGAAGGTGTAAGTTTAAGACATAGATGGAATTTTTATTGGTTAAACTTGAGATCTCCGATGTCTGAGGGTTATAGGTTTGGCAACATTACCTCCTGGCTAAACTAGGTGACTAAAAATTTATACGGCTTTTTAAAAATTAGACTGTTCCATGAACAAAACCTTTTTTCATTCTGTAATCCATATAATCACTTGTCGCTGTGTCTGTCAAAAAATGATTTGATTAAAAACCTTGTGGTTATATATCAGTAGTGAGAGAGACTAAATAAAGTAATAATTCCAAGTTGTCCTGAAAACTCTTCCCAGTGCTTTCTTCAAATGTGGCTTACTGCCTAATTTGTCTAATTATTGTTATTACATTTTTTAGCTACAAGTTCTCACTATGTTACCCAGGCTGTCCTCAACATGCAGTATTTAGTGAATATTCCCTTAGTTCAAGAATCCTGGACTATTCTTAATAAATAGAACTGAGCAGCAGAGTGATGAACAGAAATATTTTAATGTGCTTCAATTCATAACATCCACCCTCTGCGTGATGTCAGAGGTACTATAATACATGTAAGAGTGAGCCATGCTCTAGAATTTGGGTTTGGTTTTATATGAATCTATTATTTCCAAAAGGTTCTATAGTTACATTTCATCCACTGTTTTCTCTGACAAGATTTTAAGTTTTTCTAGTTGAATAATCAACTAACAGAAAAATTTTAACCAAGAAACAAAAGTACTTCACACCTATGATGTATGAGAAAGAGCTAAAGAAAATTACTCCCTCTGGTAGAGTAGAAATCAACTCTTCCATATGCTTTTGACTTGTGATTTATACAATTTCATAGTGGGAGGTGTATCATTTCTGAAAGTGGCAATCACTAGTACATTTTAGATATGAATATTGCCATTTCTCAAATCATTGAGATTTTCCCTTATAAGATCCCAAGTCTTTGTAAGTTGTCATTTCTGTGGAATAAATTCTATGACTCTTGCCAAAAATTTCTGTTTCATAGTTTTCTTATTTAGAAAAATTTTTTACATATATTTATGGGGCTTCAGTAGTAATGGGGCTTCAGTAGTAATGGGGCTTCAGTTTTTATTTATATTTATGGGGCTTCAGTTTTCAGTAGTAAAACTGAAAATTATGGTAAATTATCTTATTTGTGAGCAATTATGTGCAATAAGGCCTTAATAGTTAAATAAGGCCTTAATAGTTAAAATAGTAATAAATTGAAATGGTGTTCAGAAGAAAATGGCTCAGATTTTCTCTTTATTCAACTTTCAATAGCAAATCAATTAATATTCTCTATTGTGATCAATTTGTAATGGTGATTAGCAAGAAAGGCCCATGTCCTGCCAAGGTCCCAGGAGGCATTTCAGATTTCCTTTATTTAGAACTTTAAAGGTATGTTTACAGTTCATCACTGCTGAACTTGGGGAAGAATCCCAGACATTTAAAAAAGTTAAGCATTTCTAAAATCTCAGGATCTGAAAACACAGTCCAACTAAACTTTCTGCTTGGGAAGGAGTAATTGATTGATTATGAATAATGAAACAGTAAACTGTAAACTAAAGCACTGGCAATTCAGCTGACTGAGACAATCTGAAAAATTTATGGTTACAGACACCTGGCAGTACTGGATAAAAGATTTTAAATGATTTTAAAACATCTCCCAATTTTGTGAAAAATAAAAGGGTAATCTACCATGTGCTAAGAACAAAGACATTAAAAGCGAGTATAGATTGTGAAGTGATGATGTGGTTGCCCTGTGAGTTATGCGTCCCAGTGACGAAGAAGCCTGGAATCTGATGTCCATATGAGACAGAAAGAAGGTAAACTCTTGGTGCCAGATGAGGCAGAGAGCTGGAACTGAGATACCCCTGTGCCCTGCATAAAGCCATTAAATAAAAATGTAGGCTAGAAATATATGCCCACCAGCATACAGTGAGAACAGGAAACTTTAACAGTAAGAAGAAAAGAACACTCCCCTTGAGAATATCGTTTTTGGGGTTTTTGTTTTTATACCCTACCTAACTAGCCTAGAAATAGTCAACATGGAAAATACTCCTGAGGTTCCTATAAGAGTAAAACACAAAATCATTATGAAAGACTAGTATCAAGCATCTAGATTGCCTAGGCTTTTCAAGAAGAAAGCAAGTCCTGCTAAAGATATGCTTGCTATAATGAATAACAAAACACACAAGGAAACAATCGACCAAGAGTGAGAGTCAGTGGACCATGGACTCAATCGACCATGAGTGAGTAGATATAAGACATGCAGTAGTTAGTGGATTTTTTAAAAAGTTGAGATAATACAACCACATGAAAAAGAATCTTTAAAAGTACATATAAATGTTGACAATATAAAAGAATAAATCAAACCTTAAGAAAAAAATGACATTTTTAAAGAAAAGGACAAATAGAACATCTATAAGTAAAAAATACAATTCTTAAAAAAAATTAATGGAAGGGCTAAATGCAGATTAGAACATAATTGATGATAATACCCAAAATGCAGAGACATAAAAAATATTTTGTATGAACATCGTTAAGAGTAATGGAGCTAGAAGGTAAGAGTTCCAGGAAAAGAAAACATATAGAAGTGGGAGAGGCAAGACTTGAATAGATAATGGGTAAGGATTTTCCAGAAATAATGAATTTTCATGTTTATGAAGTATACCAATATTATTGTAAAACAGAAAAAAAACCCCATTTAAACATATCATTTAAATTGCAGAACACCAAAGACAAGAGGAAATACTAAAAATTAAAGAAAACAGAGATTTGAATGAGAGAGTTTTAAAATTCAAAGTATTTACAGTGGAAATGCACTCATAATATATTTTGATATTACCTTGGTTAAAGAATGTATAGCTTGTAAGAACTATGGCTTTTCCATTACATAAAAGGTTTACTCTCTTGTTATTAATGGAGTCAGTGCTCCATTGCTGATAAGGTCTCCGATGGATATGTACTAAATATTTTTAAAAGGTGACTTATTGCATCACAGTCTTAGAGGAAACTCAAAGTGATTCTTAATTATATCCTCTCACATGAAAAAAACAAAAAATGACTTTTAAAAAATGGGTCACAGATCCTTTAAAATTTTTATTGACTTCAAGAGGGTTTTGGGTGACCTGAACCCCATTTATGAAAATAAGATCCAGAGTTTGAATTCCCAGTTTAAGAAAGGTAATGTAATGTTAGAGACCACAAGTAAAATCCCCCACATATTGTTTTCTTTTCTCCAGGCAAAAAAAGTTAGTATTGAACACATTGATAATAAGGGAATGAAAAATTCAGACTGTAGGCTAGAGAATCTTTCCTGATATTACTTGCCAATAGGATAACTAGTCTCTTAAAGAAGTTTAAGATTGAAGAACATGGACTCAGGCCTATGCATCATATTAAATTATTATATCCTTGTTATCTCTCCCTTGTTTTTGGCAACTATGTTCATTGAAACATCTGTTACACATTTTTACATTTATTTGTTCACACGTCCTTTTCCTCTGACTAGAATGTAAGCCACAAGAAGTGGGTCTGTCCTTCATCCCCCTATCTTAACACAGTGCCTAGCAGAGAGAAGGTACCATTTAATCTATTCCTCAACAAAGAGATTTCCTCCTCCTTGATATTTATTCAAATAAGGAATAAAATGATGCCAGCTACTTTAATGAAATAGCATCTGGATCAGCTAAGTTGGGCAGAAGAGTGAATGTCCATATCAAAAGAGATACCTATATCTTGTATTCCAGCTGCCTGTCACAAAGACTCATCTTTCAGGGAATCTTTCACCAATCACTACTGCCACCAGCATACTACTCTTCTTTTAGCTCTCTAGCCTGAGGCTCTTCCGTTAAAGTTCCCTCTGCACACCTGAGGCGAGGCTATATCTTTACCAAAGAGAATTAATAAAAAGGGAAAAACTCCTGGCTGGCTATAACTGCTCTTCCAGCTCATTTATGGAGTCTCCTGGGGATTGACCCTTGCCTGGCCCCAAGCATTATCTATCTGGCAGCGAGCGTTCTTGTTTTCCCTCTGCAGACCGTCCTCAATCAATCTAGTCCTTTGTCCTAGCCCAGACTGAAGAATGACTGCCTCCCCACCTCCCGCCACAACCTTTTTCTTTGGTGTAATATCTATTTTCCAAACTTTATTTCTTTTTAAAATTCTCCTTCTTTCCTAGATGATTGACATTAGATATGTCTACTCCTTTAAGCAAAGATACCACCACTGACCTACAGAAGTGTGGCTTTACTCTCTGACCCCAAAGGGGCAGTCACATCAGAACATGACAGTCCAGCAGCAGTACGAGGTATTTCCAAATAAAATTAAAGGGCTGATTTTCTTAACAAGACATATTTATTGAATGGTAAGTGAAATCAATAAAAGAGAACATGTGCGACACAATGATTTCTTATACATATGTAGTGGTCTAGAACGCAGAAAGAATCCTATAATCTAGTATACCCTTTGAAATGGCATCTATAACCATAAAGCCAAGACCTAGACTTTGGTGAAAGATTGCAGTGTGGAAGCTTGCTCTTCCAGGGGAAAAGCACGTGTAAAAACCACCTTCAAATCTGGCTCCCCTTCTATTAGGAGTAATCGTCTCCCCCAACCACTTGGATTAATGGTGGGTCTCATAGCTGATGACTTTGAAGCTCTGTATTCTGCATGGAAATGACCTGTTTTGTGTTGAAACCTCCCCTGGCTTGAAGTAATCAACTCTACTGGTAACATATTATTATCGTGAAGCATTTTTAGGGTGCCAGCATTGTAGGTTGTGGAATGATTGCCAGATGTGCTTAAAAGTCCACATTTATTCTGTAACAAAATGTTTGCCTCCAGGAAGACATTGCATAATTTTTTTTCTCTAGACAGTTTATGCTCCTTGAGTTGTAAGAAGTAACTTCATAAGGCAATTCATCTTAAAGAGGGTAAAAGTCATAAAAGGAAAACATTTTCTTGAGTCCATTCTTATTTTTCTCCCTCTTTCATAAAAAATGCCAAATATAATTGGTTCCAGTTGGATAAAATTACCATGTGTGTGATTGCTCTTTGTTTAGGAATCTTCTGATGGCTTTCAATACATGCAGAAGTGTTCATCCATATGCCAAGTTTCAATTAAACTTTGGCATCTAAAATTTGGTATGCTGCTCAAGAGGCTTTAAGCCATTGGAACTGACTGAATCACAGTTCTTATAGAATCTCTGTTTAGAGCAGAATACAGAAATGAGTGTTACACATACTCAAACAACCTATATGATTGCAGCATAACTGTTCTCCACCTAATTCAGCTCTCAGCCATGACAAAGAGGAGAAATGATGTTAACTAGAATTACATACAGTTTAATGTAAGTTGCTGTTTCTGTGGAGGACTAATCCAAAATATTTATATATATTTGGGGCAACTAACATTTTTTGAATACCTATTCTGTAGCAGGTTCTTTTCTAGTTGTCATACAAATGTAATTTGATCTTCAGAGCATCTACTCAGCTATTTTTAGCATCCGTTTTATAAAGAACAATGCTGAAATTTAGAAATGTTAAACAATGTGCAGTAAGTTACACAGCCAGTAGGTTGTTGTCAAGTGGGCAAAACCCAATATATTTGGGGCTGGAACACGTGGACCATGGGGCTGGCAGATTCTCTCAGTATCCCATATCTCAGTCCTCTATTCTCTCAGTATTCAGCCAGGCACAGCTGGATACAGGTGGATTATGCTCTTCAAAAGCGCACTCACCCCCATTCCTTCTCTTCTCCCTTTTCATAGGAATTTGGAAAGCCACACGTTGGCTCTGATCTACTGAACCAACATTCCTTGTGCTGTGCTCATTATATCTAAGTTATATCCTGGGTACGGATAGAAGACTGGAAGAAAAGGGCATAAATAGCAGTAATAAGTATGTTTAACCCCCACTTTCTCTTTCTGTTGAAATCTTAGCCATCTTTGGAGGTCAAGCTTTATATCTCACTTCTTTCATTAATTCATTAATCTATTTATTCATTCATCTCTGTTGATTTTATATGATTATGTCCAGCAAGAATAGAAATAATAGCTAGATTTATTAGCGACTTCTGTGTGCTAGGCCCTTCTCCAAGTGCTTTGTAGGTATTAACTCATTTAATCCGTATCACAAACCTATGAGATATGCATTTTTATAATCCTCACTTTACTGATAAGAAAAAAGAATGACAGTAAAAAGAAGGTAGGTGACTTGCCAAATGCTACACAGCTAGCAGTTGGCACAAATGGGAAGAAAGAAAGGGAAGAGCAAAGGATTTTGTTTTATCTCTTATTTCAATAAAGAGTGAAACTAGGTTTTGAAAAATTGCCAGTCTTTGTCACCAAAGGAAGACTATGAATGTTAACAAAATTGTGTCGATTGCTAATGTTACCAAAGATCCACAAACTGATCATGACTAAAGATTGCAAAAGGCAAGGCTTTCTTTTACTTTTCATTGCCATCATGTGGATAAAACTGCTTCTATGCTATAATGCAGGTTGTTTTAGAGACATTGACTCACATGACAGTGTGAAACTGGGGATTTAACCACAAGATTTGCATAATTTTTAAAGCATTTACATGGTATTCGTCTAAAAATATAAGTTGCCAGGAATCAATTACAGTGTGGATAGTCATGTTAAGATTGACTGCCTATTCAAAGCAGAGTTCATGTTTCCATTGCACCAGCTTTGGTTTGTGATACAAAAAGCATTTTGTCCTGACTTGTAGTAGCACAAAACCTTCACAAAAAAAAGAAAAAACAAAAAAACTAGGAAGAGTTCTTTTCATGGGAATCGCTAATAAAATTATCTTGAGAGTTAGGAGTCAAAATAAGAATTAGAAATGGCAATTTCTAAAGGTAACTTAAAAATTCTTTTAGGGAGCTAAACTGTTACAGATAAAAATCATTTTTGTTATTACTGAGTTAGCCTTCTTGAAACAGAATTTTGTATAGAGTAGATTGAAGGGTGGCAGAAGCAGCTATAAAAAGCTGATCCTGGGCAGTAAGAAAATCCCCACACTTAACCTAGGGGAGGGATTTCTGCAGGAACCCTTTTCTTGGAGGGGCATTCAGGGCCAGACACTGTATTCCATCTGGAAAGATTCTTAATTTATTTCAACAAACATTTGTTTAAGTTCCTTTGGTATGTTAGGCACCATTTTAGGGTAACCAATGAATACCATATAGCATGAAGTCTAAGCTTCTATCAATTGTAACCTGCTCTGACATTTTATGTATCTTTAAGAAATAAGCAAAAAGAAGTGTTATCAGTTAAATTATATCTTAGATTTTTATTTTATACCTCTTAAAACAGTTCTTTATACTCAATTAGATATAGATTTGGATCATATATAACTCTTATGCACATAATTAAAAAATAAACAAATTTGTTATGGTATTCCTAAGTTCCTTCACATTTGGGGATGGAGTCTTCAGAATCACTTTTCAACTCAGAAGCTTCAGTGCCCATATTTTTCCACAGGATTGTGCTCTGTGCCAAAAGGACATTGGTGATGAAGGATTTCTTTAAAACAATCTAAAGAATCCATAATAGACCAAAAGCTTTTGGTGCTAGACAATTAAACTGAGTTTGCAATTACATAGAGGTAGACTGTTTTGAGTAACAGTTCCAGAATGTTGCTAAACAAATCTGATTCAACACTGTTCCTTACGTACTCTCCACCCTTCTCAACACACACACACATACACACACACACACACACACACACACACACACACACGTATTTGTTTCTTAGGCTTGAAAGGAGCTTCACTACTGTTCCCAGGATTTTTTTCAAACCATGCCATTCATTCTGAAACTCTGGATGCCATTGTTATTAATGTTGGCACATGCACTGATGATGAAAACTATGTCACGGTAATGACTGACACTTGACTGACAGCGATTGCAAGAAGGCTTGGATTATAAGACATGTTGTATGTAGAAAAGTTAAAATGGGAGAAATATGTGTCTTACACTCAATGAAATATGATGTTCAGTGGGCTAGAGTTACTGTAAATGAGAAAGAAGAGGAAACATGAAAGATTACAAGGCAAACAGTATTGTTTATGATCTGTCCAAAAGCTAAGAAGTTTGGATTTTATTCTCTAGCTAACTTGAAAACACAGATAAGACTATGCCAGGCCCTAGCTTTATTTACATTAGCTTATTTGATCCTCACAACAAACCTGTGTGGTTGGTAATATTATTTCTACTTGTAAATGCAGAAAAAGAAGTTCAGAAAGGTAAAATAATTTGCCAAAGAATTAATGGTTCTTAAGTATCTCAGCCAGGATTTGGGTTCATATTTGACTGTTTTGTTTATTTGCTTGTTTGCTTTTACCTTTACTGTTCTACGCTTCCTCTGAAGTAGAATACCAGTTCGATGAGGAAAGGAGGTACTCTGTAAAAAAATGACTCGCATCTGGTAGGGACTCAAGAAATATTTGTGAAATGAATAAATTAATGCCTGCCTTATACAAAATGATTTCAGTGTATTGGCCTTATCTCTACAATTCTTTCCTCTATGGACGTCATACTGTATCACTAGATTTTGCCTTTAGGGTATCAAGTTTTCATCTTAGCATTTTTAGAAATACCTTATTGGAGTTTTATATTCTTGGAGCTTAGGTCATTTGATGAGTTTTTTTTTTAATTATACTTTAAGTTCTGGGGTACATGTGCAGAACGTGCAGGTTTGTTACATAGGTATACACATGCCATGGTGGTTTGCTGTAGCCATCAACCCGTCATCTACATTAGGTATTTCTCCTAATGCTATCCGTCCCATAGCCCCTCACCCCCTGAAAGGCCCCAGTGTGTGAAGTTCCCCTGCCTGTGTCCATATGTTCTCCTTATTAATCTCCCACTTATGAGTGAGAACATGCGGTGTTTGGTTTTCGGTTCTTGTGTTAGTTTGCTGAGAGTGATGGTTTCCAACTTCATCCATGTCCCTACAAAGGACATGAACTCATCCTTTTTTATGGCTGCATAGTATTCCATGGTGTATATGTGCCACATTTTCTTTATCCAGTCTATAATTGATGGGCATTTGGGTCAGTTCTATGTCTTTGCTATTGTGAACAGTGCTGCAATAAACATATGTGTGCATGTGTCTTTATAGCAGAATGATTTATAATCCTTTGGGTATATACCCAGTAATGGGACTGCTGGGTCAAATGGTATTTCTAGTTCTAGACACTTGAGGATTGCCACACTGTCTTCCACAATGGTTGAACTAGTTTACACTCCCACCAACAGTGTAAAAGTGTTCCTATTTCTCCACATCCTCTCCAGCATCTGTTGTTTCCAGACTTTTTAATGATCACCATTATAACAAGCATGAGATGGTTTTAATTTGTGGTTTTGATTTGAATTTCTCTAATGAGTTTTTTTTTCATATGTTTGTTGGCTACAAAAATGTCTTCTTTTGAGAAGTGTCTGTTCATATCCTTTGCCCACTTTTTGATGGGGTTGTTTGTTTTTTTCTTGTAAATTTGCTTAAGTTCTTTGTAGAGTCTGGATATTAGCCCTTTGTCAGATGGATAGATTGCAAAAAATTTCTCCCATTCTGTAGGTTGCCTATTCAATCTGATGATAGTTTCTTTTGCTGTGCAGAAGCTCTTTAGTTTAATTAGATCCCATTTGTCAATTTTGGCTTTTGTTGCCATTGCTTTTCATGTTGTAGTCTTGAAGTCCTTGCCCATGCCTATGTCCCGAATGGTATTGCCTAGGTTTTCTTCTAGGGTTTTTATGGTTTTAGGTCTTATGTTTAAGTCTTTAATCAATCTTGAATTAATTTTTGTAGAAGGTGTAAGGAAGGGATCCAGTTTCAGTTTTCTGCATATGGCTAGCCAGTTTTCCCAACACCATTTATTAAATAGGGAATCCTTTCCCCATTTCTTGTTTTTGCCAGGTTTGTCAAAGATCAGATGGTTGTAGATGTGTGGTGCTATTTCTGAGGCCTCTGTTCTGTTCTGTTGGTCTGTATATCTGTTTTGGTACCAGTACCATGCTGTTTTGGTTACTGTAGCCTTGTAGTATAGTTTGAAGTCAGGTAGCGTGATGCCTCCAGCTTGGTTCTTTTTGCTTAGGATTGTCTTGGCTATGTGGGCTCTTTTTTGGTTCCATATGAAGTTTAAATTAGTTTTTTCCAATTCTGTGAAGAAAGTCAATGGTAATTTGATGGGGATAGCATTGAATCTATGAATTACTTTGGGTAGTATGGCCATTTTCACAATATTGATTCTTTCTGTCCATGAGCATGGAATGTTTTTCCTTTTGCTTGTGTCCTCTATTTTTCCTTGAGCAGTGGTTTGTAGTTCTCCTTGAAGAGGTCTTTCACATCCCTTGCAAGTTGGATTCCTAGGTATTTTATTCTTTTTGTAGCAATTGTGAATGGGAGTTCACTCATGATTTGGCTGTCTGTTTGTCTGTTATTGGTGTATAGGAATGCTTGTGATTTTTGCACATTGACTTTGTATCCTGAGACTTTGCTGAAGTTGCTTATCAGCTTAAGGAGATTTTGGGCTGAGACAATGGGGTTTTCTAAATATACAATCATGTCATCTGCAAACAGAGACAATTTGACTTCCTGTTTTCAAAATTGAATACGCTTTATTTCTTTGTCTTGCCTGAATCCCCTGGCCAGAACTTCCAATACTATGTTGAATAGGAGTGGTGAGAGAGGGCATCCTTGTCTTGTGCCAGCTTTCAAAGGGAATGTTTCCAGCTTTTGCCCATTCAGTATGATATTGGCTGTGGGTCTGTCATAAATAGCTCTTATTATTTTGAGATACATTCAATCAATGCCTAGTTTGAGAGTTTTTATCATGAAGGGCTGTTGCATTTTGTCAAACACCTTTTCTGCATCTATTGAGATCATCACATGGTTTTTGTCATTGGTTTTATTTATGTGATGGATTACATTTATTGATTTGTGTATGTTGAACCAGCCTTGCATCCCAGAGATGACGCCAACTGGATCATAGTGGATAAGCTTTTTGATGTGCTGCTGGATTTGGTTTGCCAATATTTTATTGAGGATTTTCGGATCAATGTTCATCAGAGATATTGGCCTGAAATTTTCTTTTTTGTTGTATCTCTGCCAGGTGTTGGTATCAGGATGATGCTGACCTCATGAAATGAGTTATGGAGGATTCTGTCTTTTTCTACTGTTTGGAATAGTTTCAGAAGAAATGGTACCAGCTCCTCTTTGTACTTCTGGTAGAATTTGGCTGTAAATCCGTCTGGTTCTGGACTCTATTTGGTTGGTAGGCTAATAATTGCTTCCTTATTTTCAGAACTTGTTATTGGTCTATTCAGGGATTTGACCTCTACCTGGATTAGTCTTGGGAGGGTGTATGTGTCCAGGAGCTTATCCATTTATTCTAGATTTTCTACTTTATTTGCATAGAGGTGTTTATAGTATTCTCTGATGGTAGTTTGTATTTCTGTGGGATCGGTGGTAATATCCCCTTTATCATTTTTTATTCCATCTATTTGATTCTTCTCTCTTTTCTTCTTTATTAATCTGGTTAGTGGTCTATCTAGTTTGTTGATCTTTACAAAAAGCCAGTTCCTGGATTCATTGAATTTTTTTGAAGGGTTTTTTGTGTCTCTATCTCCTTCAGTTGTGCTCTGATCTTACTTATTTCTTGTCTTCTGCTAGCTTATTGAGTTTGTTTGCTCTTGTTTCTCTAGTTCTTTTAATTATGATGTTCGGGTGTCAATTTTAGATCTCTTATGCTTTTTCTTGTGGGCATTTAGTGGTATAAATTTCCCTCTAAACACTGATTCAGCTGCATCCCAGAGATTCTGGTACATTGTGTCTTTGTTCTTGTTGGTTTCAAAGAACATCTTTATTTTTGCCTTAATTTTGTTATTTA
The DNA here is from genome assembly GCF_000001405.40 of Homo sapiens. NCBI lineage: Eukaryota > Metazoa > Chordata > Mammalia > Primates > Hominidae > Homo > Homo sapiens. The sequence goes on along the minus strand of NC_000011.10, from coordinate 101,569,774 downwards.
CACAGTAGTCATTCAGGAGCAGGTTGTTCAGTTTCTATGTAGTTGTGTGGTTTTGAGTGAGTTTCTTAATCCTGAGTTCTAATTTGATTGCGCTGTGGTCTGAGAGACTTGTTTGTTATGATTTCCATTCTTTTGCATTTGCTGAGGAGTGTTTTACTTCCAATTATGTGGCCAATTTTAGAATAAGTTTGATGTGGTGCTGAGAAGAATGTATATTCTGTTGATTTGGGGTGGAGAGTTCTGTAGATGTCTATTAGGTCTGATTGGTCCAGAGCTGAGTTCAAGTCCTGGATATCCTTGTTAATTTTTTGTCTCTTTGATCTCTCTAATATTGACAGTGGGGTGTTAAAGTCTCCCACTATCATTGTGTACAAGTCTAAGTCTCTTTGTAGGTCTCTAAGAACTTGCTTTATGAATCTGGGTGCTCCTGTATTGGGTGCACATATATTTAAGATAGGTAGCTCTTCTTGTTGCATTGATCCGTTTATCATCATGTAATGGCCTTCTTTGTTTCATTTGATCTTTGTTGGTTTAAAGTCTGTTTTTTCAGAGGCTAGGACTGCAACCCCTGCTTTTTTTTTTTTTGCTTTCCATTTGCTTAGTAAATATTCCTCCATCCCTTTATTTTGAGCTTATGTGTGTGTCTTTGCATGTGAGATGGGTCTCCTGAATACAGCACACTGATGTGTCTTGACTCTTCATCCAACTTGCCATTCTGTGTCTTTTAATTGGGGCATTTAGCCTGTTTACATTTAAGGTCAATATTGTTATGTGTGAATTTCATCCTGCCATTATGATGTTAGCTGGTTATTTTGCCCATTAGTTGCAGTTTCTTCTTAGCGTTGATGGCCTTTACAATTTGGTATGTTTTTGCAGTGGCTTGTATCGGTTGTTTCTTTCCATGTTGAGTGTTTCCTTCAGGAGCTCTTATAAGGCAGGCCTGGTGGTGACACAATCTCTCAGCATTTGCTGGTCTGTAAAGGATTTTATTTGCCCTTCGCTTATGAAGCTTAGTTTGGCTGGATATGAAATTCTGGTTTGAAAATTGTTTGTTTAAGAATGTTGAATATTGGCCCCTCCTCTCTCCTAGCTTGTAGGGTTTCTGCCAAGAGATTCGCTGTTAGTCTGATGGGCTTCCCTATGTGGGTAACCCAGTCTTTTCTCTCTGCCTGCCCTTAACATTTTTTCCTTCATTTCACCCTTGGTGAATCTGACGATTATGTGTCTTGGTGTTGCTATTCTTGAGGAATACCTTTGTGGTATTCTCTGTATTTCCTGAATTTGAATGTTGGCCTGCCTTGCTAGGTTGGGGAAGTTCTCCTGGATAATATTCTGAAGAATGTTTTCCAACTTGGTTCCATTCTTCCCATCACTTTCAGGTACACCAATCAAACATAGATTTGGTCTTTTCACATAGTCCCATATTTCTTGGAGGCTTTGTTCGTTTATTTTCACTCTTTTTTCTCTAATCTTGTCTTCATGCTTTATTTCGAGTTGATCTTCTGATACAGTTTCTTCCACTTGATCAATTTGGCATGTATGATACTTGTGCATGCTTCACGAAGTTCTCGTGCTGTGTTTTTCAGCTCCATCAGGTCATTTATGTTCTTCTCTAAACTGGTTATTCTAGTTAGCAATTCTTCTAGCCTTTTTTCAAGGTTCTTAGCTTCCTTGCATTGGCTTAGAACATACTCCTTTAGGTCTGAGGAGTTTGTTATTACCCACCTTCTGAAGCCTATTTCTGTCAGTTCGTCAAACTCATTCTCCATCTAGTTTTGTTCCCTTGCTGGTGAGGAGTTGTGATCCTTTGGAGGAGAAGAGGCATTCTGGTTTTTGGAATTTTCAGCCTTTTGCGCTGGTTTCTCCCCATCTTTGTGGATTTATCTACCTTTTGTATTTGAAGTCCATGACCTTTGGAAGGGGTCTGTGAGTGGATGTCCTTTTTGTTGATTTTAATACTATTCCTTTCTGTTTGTTAGTTTTACTTCTAACAGTCAGGCCCCTCCGCTGCAGGTTTGCTGGAATGTGCTGGAGGTCCACTCCAGACCCTGTTTGCCTGGGTTATCACCAGCGGAGGCTGCAGAATAGCCCAGATTGCTGCCTGTTCCTTCCTCTGGAAGCTTCATCCCAGAGGGGCACCCACCAGATGCCAGCCAGAGCTCTCCTGTTTGAGGTGTCTGTTGGCCCCTACTGGGAAGTGTCTCCCAGTCAGGATACACGGGGTTCAGGGAACCACTTGCGGAGATAGTCTGTCCCTTATCAGAGCTCGAACACTGTGCTGGGAGATCCACTGCTCTCTTCAGAGCTGCCTGGCAGGGACGTTTAAGTCTGCTGAAGCTGTGCCTACAACCACCCCTTCCCCCAGATGCTCTGTCCCAGGGAGTGGGGGTTTCTAAGTTCCTGACTAGGGCTGCTGCTTTTTTTTTTCAGAGATGCCCTGCCCAGGGAGGAGGGAATCTAGAGAGGCAGTCTGGCCTGAGGGGCTTTGCTGAGCTGTGGTGGGCTACGCCCATTTGGAACTTCCCCAGGGCTTTGTTTATACTGTGAGGATAAAACCGCCCCCTCAAGCCTCAGCAATAGCGGACGCCCCTCCCCCCACCTAGCTAGAGTGACCCAGGTGATCTCAGACTGCTGTGTTGGCCAGGAGAATTTCAAGCCTGAGGATCTGAGCTTGCTGGGATCCATGGGGGTTGGACCCCCCCCACCCCGCCCCGAGCCAGACTTCAGCCCCCTTTCCAGGGGAGTGAATGGTTCTGTCTCACTGGCGTTCCAGGTGCCACTGGGGTATGGAAAAAAACTCCCGTGGCTAGCTTGGTGTCTGCTCCAAGGGCCACCCAGTTTTGTGCTGGAAACCCAGGGCCCTGGTGGTATAGGCACCCTAGGGAATCTCCTGGTCTGCGGGTTGCCAGGACTGTGGGAAAAGCCCAGTATCTGGGCTGGAGTGCACGGTACAGTCCCTAATGGCTTTCCTTGGCTAGGAGAGGGAGTTCCCCGACCCCTTGCACTTCCCGGGTGAGGTGATGCCCCACCCTGCTTTGGCTGGCCCTCCTTGTGTTGCACCCACTGTCCAACCTGTCCCAGTGAGATGAAGTGGGTACCTCATTGGAAATGCAGAAATTACCTGCCTTCTGCGTCTATCTCGCTGGGAGCTGCAGACCGGAGCTGTTCCTACTGGGTCATCTTGCCAGCAACCTTGATGAGTAATAAGACCTGGGTGATATATTCTTGATCTCTAAAATGGTGCTTGTTAAATATTTTTTAACAATCCTACAAACAAGATATGTAAATAAACATTTTTTCTTTTCATGTTGATAGAATACCTATGGGGATACATCTTTTTTGTTTTTATTTTAATAACAAGAGGAAAGGGGTATAAATTTTTATTTAAGTTGAAAGAATTTGTGAAAACTAAACTTCCTGAGACCAAAGCTCATTATCTCCAGAAAAAAAATCTTAAATACTGAAATGAAGAAATCCAACTTAAAATCAAGAAAGTTAGAAAAGAATGGGTAAGTAAAGAATGGTCTAAAAGTTACACATTATTGATAATATAATTTTGATTTGTACCATGTTGTGCCTGGGCAAAACTTACAAAGTGATTTAGTTGATTTTTATTGTAACCTGTCTTCTAGAAATGAGGTCAATCATTTTCAGATTAGATTACAATATACCCCATATACCCAAAGTGGCTTAGAAATTATCCTCATGTCACTTCTTACCTGCAAGAATCTAATAACCATTTACTAGAAACTTATGGCGAAAGATATTACTGAAGAAAGAGTGCTGTGCATTAAATGAACATAGAGAAAATATTAGTAAGTCCTTGTCTAAACATGTACACTGGATGATGGGGATTAAAAAATGTTTTAATTAGTGGTTTTCACATCTCGTTATGTTTCTGAATCACTGAAATGATTTTTAAAAATATAGTTTCCCTATGAAACAGTTACTGTGTATTTATCCAAGAACAAACATATGAGATTAAAAAATTATGCTATTTAGGGTACAATGATCAGGTATTGTCAAATAAATTAGAAAATAGTACATTCTAATTTAGCAAGTTTTCATCAAATACCTATTATATACAAGGTGCTATTCTTAATATATTTTAGGGGCAGAAATGATGGGTCTATATGATATGCTTGATAAGATGTCAGGAGAGTAATGTCAGAGAGTTGTTTTTTGAGAAAGTATATTAAAAAAATTCCCCTTCCAGTTTGTTTCTTAAAGAACAGCCTGTTGCAAAATTTTATATTGGAATTACAGGATAAAAGAATTTCTCAGAATTTTATTTTTATCTTAATGTTGACTTTCTTCCTCATTTGGATTCTCAGTGTAAACTTCAAGTCTGTAATTTCAGGAAGTATTGAGGAAATTTGTCCTTTTTAAAATCACCCAAGATTTTTAGGGTAAAATTTCCCCAAAGGATGAACATTTTGCTATTAACTAAACTCATTATCACTTAGGTTGGTTTCTTCTTTTTCTGAATATTATGTAGTTTTGAACACTTCTTTTCATTTGTTGATTGTTTTCTTTGCTGTGCAGAAGCTTTTAGTTTGAAGAAGTCCTACTTGTTTACTTTTGCTTTTGTTGTCTATGCTTTTGGTGTCATATCCAAAGAATTATTGTCAAGACAAATGTCAAGGAGCTTTTTTCCTATGTGTTCTTCTAGGGAAAGATCTTATGTTTAGGTCTTTAATCTATTTTGAGCTGATTTTTGTGTATGGTGTAAGAAGGGTCCAATTTAATTCTTTTGTGTGTTGCTATCCAGTTTTTCCATATCATTTATTGAAGAGACTATCTTTTCTTCCATTGTGTCTTCTTTGTACCCTTGTTGAAAATTATTTAACCCTATATGCTTCGGTTTATTTATGGGCTCTCTGTTCTATTCTATTGATCTATGTGTCTGTTTTTAAATCAGTACCATATTGTTTTGATTACTATAACTTTCAAATATAATTTGAAATTAGGTTGTGTGATGCCTCCAACTTTGTTTTTCTTTCTCAAGATTACTTTGGCTGTTTGGATTCTCTTGTTGTTCTGTATACGTTTTAGAATTTTTTTCTATTTCTGTGAAAAATGCTACTGGAATTTTGATATTGTTTTGAATCTCTATTATCACTTTGGGTAATATGAAAGGTTTAACAATATCGATTTTTCCAATCCATGAGCATGGAATATCTTTCCATTTGTTTGTGCCTTCTTCAATTTCTTTTATATTGGAAGCATCTCTTTTTAAATTCAGGAGGAAGACAATGATGCCTCCACTGCTGCTTCTATAAGCATGTACTGGAGCATTAACTAGCACAATAGAAAGTGAAAGAAATAAAAATAATAAGTTTGTAAAGGAAGAAATAAAAGTGCCACTATTAGCATAAGATTGTATAGTAAAGCTCAAAAATTCCATGGAAAAATTATTAGATACAGTAAGAGAGTTTAGCAAATTGCTATGTATATGATTGTTATATAAAATCAATCATACTCATTTATATCAACAATGAACTGTTAGAAAACATAATAAATATACAGTTCACATAAACAACAAAACTTAAGGAATAAACCTAGCAAAAAACATGGCTTTAATGGAATAAAATTTAAAATTGTATTGAAAGACATTAAAGAGTATTCATACAATGCAAAAGCATATGCCATCTTCACAGATAATAAAACTCATTATTAAAGATGTCAGTCTTTTTTTTTTTTTCTTTACGAACTGATGTCTCACATTGGATTCTTTACTGGGGAGGTGGGAGTAGGAAGAAGGACAAGTTTGTTAAATCCTGCAATGCGTGCAGTAACATTCTGTTTCTGTAGCTTCACGCAGTTAAACATATAACCCTGTTTTCCTCTGGTCATCTCTTTCTCACTCTAAATGTACAAGTAGAAAATGGAACAAAGAAGGAAAATACTTAATATGAAACTAGCTGGATGATTCTTGGGTAGACAGATGCGGAGGCCTGTACTGCCCTCACCTTGGCTTTATAGCCCCTCTGTGTGTTCACTTCCTCCTTCATGCTCTGCGTACTCAGTTTTAAACAAACCCACAGTGTCTCCTCCCATCCTGCCCCTCTCTTTTCTTCTCCCTCCAGCCCCATTTGCAGATATTCCCATCCTCTTTATCCTCACTCCATTCATACTGACTTTTAAAATTTATAAATTAAATGAATGTATGGTGAGTACCTATTAGGCAGTAATTATTGTACTAGGAACAAGAAATTAATAAAAAAAAAGATTACCTACACAGCCTACAGACAATAAACAGCTTTAACATTTTTTGTAATGTTTTCCTACCTAAAACCTATTCACTCTTCAAGACTCCTTAAGCTTCAGTTTTCTATCATATCAGCCCTGCCCCACTCTTGCAGACACATGGGAAAAGACAGACACGTACACATGCAAGCATCCTCAGCACTTCATGCAGCTTCTGGTCCAGAGTAAACCCTCACTCAGTATTTTCACAACTACCTGACTCAACACATTCTTATCCTATTCTATTCCCTTGGGTCTCTGTTATTCTTCTAATCAACCTTATAATCAGTTTCTAGTACAACACTATGTGGTAGAACTTTTTGAAGTGGTGGACGTGTTCATTATCTGCTCTGCCCAATGTAGCCACCACCGGTATTGAGCACTCGAAACATGGCTGGTGCAACTGAGGAACTGACTTTTCAGCATTAATTAATTTTAATGAATTTAAATTGTTATATATGGCTAGAGGTTACCATATATACTGGACTACACAATTCTAACCTCTTTACATGGATTAGTTTTCCAGATTACTGGCAGAAGAAACGCTAATGAAGAACATACTATCTGCCAGGCATGATGCTAAGCGTTTTACACGTAGGAATCCATTAATACCTCACGGCAGCCCCATGAAGTAGGCCTATTATTTTCTCCATTTTGCAGCTTAGGAAGTGAAAGCCCAGACATGAACTAACTTTTGCAAAGTCACGTAGGTAATTCGGAGAGCTGAGGTTCAAACTCAAGCAGTCTGGATCCAGAGTTTATATTCTTAGGGCTTATTCTTTACTCTCTTGGACAAGGTATTTTTTATACTTACTTTCAATGTCATATTTCACAGGGGTCAGAAAGAAGGACAAAGGCACTTTTCCTATTATGCTTCAGCTCACAACAGTAGGTAGCTACCTACATATGAGTAAGGCTCAGATTATTTTATTATGTAAACTAGGATTTTTGGTATGAGGTCTGTAGAGCAAAATTTAAATCACTGGTTCTACAATTTCAGGTTTTATAGAAACAAGCATTTTCATATAATATATAAAAAATATCTAGTGAAAAAGAGAACAGAGAAAGAATTTTAAAACATGGGATTTGCAAAGGGATTTACCCTGGAAATATTCTGGGACTCAAGATGAAGCCATAAGCTTTTTGAGGACTGTCCAAATTCACAGGTACTAAATAGTTAACTAAATTATATACTAAATACATAACTGCTCATTTAAATCCTTGCAAGTCCCACTGAAATTGAGTTATTTCCCCTAGTTTCTTATCTTCCTCTTTGTATTCCTTTCTTCTGTTACCATCTTTATTTTTAAGTCAATTATGTCTCTTTCTCTTCCATTTTATGACCAGGTTTATCCATTTTCAGGAGTATTAGAAGAGGATAAGAACTGAGAAATAGGAACCATCCCCAATCAAAGGTAGTTTGAATTTTTAGTTTCCCAGGATATTCATTTACCACAGGTTCACTTCACTCACCCAGGCAACCAGCACCATCTTTTTGTGATCCTACGGTATATCTTAGGCATTTGTGAGCTGTGCCCCAGGCAATTTGTTAGTAATCAGAACTAAAGAACCAAACTCTTAAAATGATTTACTTTTAAAAGCATTTTAATGTATATTCTTTAATATCTTTGTATTTATAAATACATATAAACTAATATGTATAAATATATAAACTAATATGTGTATATTTAATATATATTATTTAATGTCTTTCTATCTATATTACATATATTTTTAATGGGGTCATACTATGCTTGCTTATATTGTAATTGTTTTTCTTTCCCATTTAACATGATTATGAATTTTAGGGTGTTTAAGTTTAGCCCTGGAACTCTGATACTGGCATGCCCTCTCATATGTTTCCTGAGTAGAAGAGAGAGGAATAAGGCTTTTGAAAGTCCCAGCCTACACTGTCAGTGCCTCTATATAGCAATAGAGCCTCTATATATCCTCTATATAGTAAGGGAGCTCTTGGGTCAGATGTAGAGTAGAAGGATATAAAGGATGAGAACCACTGTTCTCAAATGTTCTCAACAGTTTCCATGAAAATTTAAAATAAAAAGTATGGAGAGGCTTCTAAGTGAATAAAAGAGTTGGCATGGAACTCATGTATACAATTTATAAGGGTGCTTATTCTAACTGAAATGAATGACTTACTTTATGTATATCTAATGAACTTGCTCTTTTAGCTTATAGTATATCAGAACAAATGAGAAGGAGGACAGTACTTGAGACTGAGTTTTTGTTGCTGTCAATTTGCCTAACAGCTTTATATTTTAAAAAGATGAGTTACTCAAGTGGAATATTATTAGTGTAGGAGGAAAAGTCCCATAACCCTCAAACCCACTGATAGAATTGATACTTTATCAGCAGTGTGCTATAATGATTGGATGACTCAAGGATACACTATGAATGTCAAACTCAATCTGATCATTGTGAATATAATTTAAGAAAAGAGAGATGTATCTGATATATTTTAGAAAGATTTTAAATCCAATACAACAAAAATATTCATGCAATAAGACATGGTATTAAACTGGAATGCTCTTTTATATGGATTAACTCATTGGCAACAATCTGAGACCCTATTGTGGGTAGTTCAGGTTGACTTCCACTCTGACTTCTGCCTTCCCTCACCAACATTAACTCTCCTTACCTTCTTCCCCATCTTTGTGCTCTAATAATAAATGATCAATGCTTCTGACGGCTGTGCCATTCCTACACTGTTCTCTGCCTAGATTACCTTTGACTCTGATTCTTTTTTCTTCAGGAACAGCCCTTCAGAGAATCCTTCCCTGAATTTTCCTCTGCACTCCGGGTTGCTTCTCAGAGCTCTCATAATGTTCTGGGCAGATCTATGCTATTTTTTTTTTAATCACACTGTAGTATGATTTATTTCTGTGTCTGCTGTATGGGGCTTTCGGGTATTTCAGGGCAGTGGCTATGGCTTAGTAATATACCTGTTAGTTACAAAACAGTTTGTCACACACATTATCTAAAAATGTTCAATGCATGGAAGGATGGTTGAATGAATCAGTCTTGCCAACTTAAATGCTTAAGTGCAAGAAATGAAAACAAGTAAAGCAAATCTGATGTAAAGGAGGGTTGGGGACATAGTGACCTTGAGAGCAGCCTTACATAAAATTGATAGTGTTCATTCAACCCTGACCAGTTGTTGCCTGGAGGCTCTAGAGGCTTGTGTTCCAAAATTCTCTGTTTTTTTTTTTAAAGAGAAGCCAGAATTAAGGTTTTATATGTGAAGTGTTCTGATTTTTTCAAATGCTAAATGGTCCAAAAGAAGTATATAACGGGCTCACCCACAGACTAATCATTTTTAAAATATTTAGAATGAATAATAGGTCAGTTTCCATGAAATTCTAATTGGAAATTGAATACATTTTGCCCACTCATATGCCACCATAATGAAACCTAAAACTCTGTTGATCCGAAACAAAATTGAAGTTATCTTGTTGTCATACAGGTTTTATTTTTATTTCAGAACTTGATCTGACAGATATTACTTTTTCACAAGATGGTCAGCTGTTGCTTTAAAAATGAACTGTAAGAAAACCTTTGTAGGGACATGGATGAAGCTGGAAACCATCATTCTCAGCAAACTATCGCAAGGACAAAAAACCAAACACCACATGTTCTCCCTCATAGGTGGGAATTGAACAATGAGAACACTTGGACACAGGAAGGGGAACATCACACACCGGGGCCTGTTGTGGGGTGGGGGGAGGGGGGAGGGATAGCATTAGGAGATATACCTAATGTTAAATGATGAGTTAATGGGTGCAGCACACCAACATGGCACACGTATACATATGTAACAAACCTGCACGTTGTGCACATGTACCCTAAAACTTAAAGTATAATAAAAAAAAAAAGAAAAGACATTATAGTGGATGCTCTTAGGTGTAGAGAAACAAAAATTTTGAAAAATCACTGAAATAAAAATTCTTTCAAATTGCCAATAAATTATCTTAGCTCCCTATGAAAAAAAGTTAACTTTTATTTAGAGGTGTATTCATGATATGTCATGATCATTATTTGTTTTGTTAAAACCTATGGTGACAACTTCATGGAAAATCACTCCCTAGGGAATTGCTGGGCTAGTGCTTCTCAAACTTTTTAAAATTGTAAATTGGCAATTTATAATTGTCTAATTTTATGGGGTATAAAGTATTGTTATGATTTATGAATACAGTGTAAAATTAGGGATTAGTCTAATCACTGAATAGACTAGCTCAACAGATTAGTGATGTTGAACATTTAAAATATCTCTGGCCATTTGGATGTCTTCTTTTGAGAAATGTCTATGTAGGTCTCTTGCTCATTTATTATCTGTGTTTTGTTTTGTTTTGAATTGCCTGAGCCCCTTATATAGTGTGGATATTAACCCCTTATATATATGGCTTGCAAATATTTCTCCCAATTCATAGATTGTCTCTGTACTCTGTTGTTTCTTTTGCTGTGCAGAAGCTTTTTAGTTTGATATAATCCCATTTGTCTGTTTTTGCTTTTGTTGTCTGCACTTTTGGGCTTAAATCCAAAAAAAACATTGCCTAGATCAATGTTGTGTAGTTTCTCCCCTGTTTTCTTCCAGTAGTTTTACAGTTTTTGATCTTATGTTTAAATCTCTAATCCATTTTGAGTTGATGTTTGCATATGGCATGGGATAAGGGCCCAATTTCATTCTTCTGCACGTGGATAGCCAGTTTTCTGAACACCATTTATCGAAGAGACTATCCTTTTGATAGTTACCATTGTGTATTCTTGGCACCTTTGTCAAAAATCATTTGACCATAGGCTGGGCATGGTAGCTCATGCCTGTAATCCCAGCACATTTGGAAGCTGAAGAGGCAGAATTGCTTGAGCCTGGGAGGTCAAGGCTGCAGTGAGCTGTGATTGCACTCCAGCTTGGGTGACAGAGCAAGACCCTGTCCCAAACAAACACACAAAAAATCAATCGACCATACATAAATCATGTCCTGGGCTTTCTATTCTGTTTCACTGATTAGTATATGTGTGTGTGTGTGTGTGTGTGTGTGTGTGTGTGTGTATGTGTGCGTGTGTATATATATGTATATATGTAGATATGTGTGTGTGTATATGTGTGTGTGTATATGTATACATGTATACATATATACATGTATACCCATATACATGTATACATATATACATGTATACCCATATACATGTATACATATATACATGTATACCCATATACATGTATACATATATACATGTATACCCATATACATGTATACATATATACATGTATACCCATATACATGTATACATATATACATGTATACACACACATATATATGTATGTTTATATATATTTGTGTGTTTGTGTATTTGCCAGTACTTTGCTCTTATGCGCTAGATTTTGAGGTCAGGTAGTATGATAACTTCAGTTTTATTCTTTTTGCTTATGAATTGCCTTGGCTATTTGAGGATTTTTGCAGTTCCATATGAATTTTAGGACTGTTTTTCTCTTTTTATGAAAAATGACATTGGAATTTTGAAAAGGATTGCATTGAATCTGTAGATCACGTAATCTGTAGATCACTTTGGCTAGTATAAACCTTTAATAATATTAATTCTTGTAATCTATGAACATGGAATATCTTTCCATTTATTTGTATCTTCCTCAATTTGTTTTATCAACATTTTATAGTTTTCCTTGTAGAAGACAGTCACCTCCTTGGTTAAATTTACTCCTAAATAATTTACCCTTTTTGTAGAGATTGTAAATGAGATTGTTCTCCTGATTTCTTTTTTTGGGTAGTTCTTTGTTAGTGTATAGAAATGTTACTGATTTTTCTGTGTTGATTTTGTATCCTGCAACTTTACTGTATTCATTTGTTATAACAGGTTTTTTTTTGTGTGTGTGTGGAATTAGTAGAGTTTTCTGTATGTAAAATTATATTATCTACAAGCAGAGAAAATTTAACTTCTTCCTTTCTAATTTGGATGCCTTTTATTTTTTCTCTTGCCTAATTGCTCTGGTAAGCTCTTCCAGTACTATGTTGAATAGAAGTGGTAAGAGTGGGCAACTTATCTTGTTCCAGATATTAGAGAAAAAGCTTTCATATTTTCACCATTGAGTATAATGTTAGCTGTGGGCTTCTCATATTTGACTTTTATTTTATTTTTTGAGACACAGAGTCTCACTCTGCCACCCAGGCTGGAGTGCAGTGGCACAGTCTCGGATCATTGCAACCCCTGTCTCCCAGGTTCAAGCAATTCTCATTTCTTAGCCACCCGGGTAGCTGGGATTACAGGCATGTGCCACCATGCCTGGCTAATTTTTGTATGTTTAGTAGAGACAGGGTTTCACCACGTTGACCAGGCTTGTCTCAAACTCCTGGCCTCAATGATCTGCCTACCTCAGCCTCCCAAAGTGCTGGCGTTACAGGCATGAGCCACCATGCCCAGCCATCTTTATTTTATTGAGGTACCTTTCTTCTATACGTAATCTGGTAAGAGTTTTTATCATGAAAGAATATTGAATTTTGTCAAATGCTTTTCCTATATCTAATTAGATGACCATATGGTTTTTTGTCCTTTTGTTTTTCAATGTAATGGATCACATTTATTAATTTGTGTATGTTGAGCCATCCTTGCATCTCAGGAATTAATCCCACCTGATCATGGAGGATGATCTTTTTAATGTGCTGTTGAATTTTGTTTGCTTGTATATTTTGTTGAAGATTTTTGGATCTATGTTCATTGAGGGTACTGGCCTATAGTTTTCTTTTCTTGTAGAGCTCTCATCTGGCTTTGGTATCAGGGTAGGGCTGGCTTCTTAAAAAGAGTTTGGAAGTATTCCCTCCTGTTTAATTTTTTGGAATAGTTTGAAAAGGACTGGTATTATTTCTTCTTTAAATGTCTGGTAGAATTCAGCTGTGAAGCCATCAGGCTTTTCTTTGATGAAAGACTTTTAATTATTGGTTATTTATTCAATCTCCTTACTTGTTATTGGTCTGTTCACATATTCTATTTCTTCATGATTCAGTCTTGGCGGGTTCTATGTATCTAGGAATTTATTTCTTCTAGGTTATCCAATTTGTTGGCATATAATTGTTTCTAGTAATCTCTCATGAGCTTTTGTATTTCTGTGGTATCAGTTTTAATGTCTCCTTTTTATTTCTGATTTTATTTGAATTATCTCTATTTTTTTTTCTTAGTGAGCCCAACTAAAGGTTTGTTGATTTTTTCTTTTCAAAAAACATACTCTTCATTTGTTGATCTTTTGGATTGTTTCCCTAGTCTCTATTTCATTTATTTCTGCTCTAATGTTTATTATTTGCTCCCTTCTGCTAACTATGGGCTTAGTTTATTTTTTCTGTTTCATTGAGGTATAATATTAGGTTGTTAATTTGAGATCTTTCTTCTTTTTTGAAATAGGTGTTTATTGCTATAAGCTTTGCTCTTAGAACTGCTTTTGCTGCATTCTGTAAGTTTTGGTATATTGTGTTTCCACTTTCATTTGCCTCAAGACATTTAAAAAATCCCCCTTTTAATCTTCCATTCACCCATTGGTTGCTCAGGAGCATGCTGTTCAATATCCGTGTATTGGCAAATTTTTCCAAAGTCCCCCTGTTACTGATTTCTGTAATTTCAGTCTTTTGAAATTTGCTGAGGTGTATTTCGTGCCCTAACAAGTGATCTGTCTTGAAGAATGTTTGTGTGCACTGTTCTTCAAGTTTTGTAAATAAATTTTATTTATATAAAATTCTCCACATTTTCTGTTCCTGACTACAGAAAAAAAATGACTAGTTCTCATAGAAATCTGGTACAGTCCACCATAAACACAAATATTCTTTGACATCTGTTTTACATTAAAAGTTTGCATTCTCTTACATAATGTTCCCATGTTCATCTAAAAATAAAGTTGTTTTTCTACCATCCTTTCTTCCAAAAAGATGAAATATGTTTATCCATAACTTCATATGTCCTTAGGTCACACTGCATGCTCAGGGGTATTCATACCAGGATGCGGAAAAGCAGATGACTCACATCGATAACTATGAGCAGAATATATCAGCTCAACCACTTACGAAGCTCAGGTCATGAGCAAATACATTGAGTACCCAGGACCCTTCCTAGACAGGAAAAGGAAGCCTTTTGGTGGTCGTTGTTAAATAATAGAAGTCCATTGCAGAATGGTGAAAGAGTAGGATGCCATGTGGCAAAGTTGAAAAGAAAGGTACAGCCTTTGGAACGGAAGAAATAATGTGGAGTCCTCGTATGTTCCATGACCCGTTGACACCAAGCCTAAAACATCCTGCCTTTGAATAATAGGTGAAGCCTGATTTCATCAAAAAGAGATTTAGTTGTATAATCATCTAGTGAATGTACACTTCACAAGAGGATGAGCTCCCAAAGCCTGAAACTCTCCTTCTCATGGCAGTGTCTCTTAGCCTACCACAGAGTGAGGGCTCAGTGACTATCAGACCGCAGTGTCATAGCACTGAAATTACCTAGGTAAGAAGAAAGAGCAAACACTAATGGAACCCAGAACAACTTTAACCCATGGAGTGGCATCTTTGTGGCCTGTTTTAAGACTCAGGCATAGAGAGCAAGACAAACTTAGAGAGGACAGAGAGGGAAGGGAGTCAAGCGGGTGATGTGCCTACACCCAGTGGGAGGACAAGCTAGGGCAAGGAAATAGGGCTGGGATTGATTAAGGGTGTTATTCAGCTTTGAAAGAAGATCAGCTGCTATCTTTCTTAGGCTGGAGTTTACAATAACTTTCATTAACTTTTAGTTAATAAAGAATTTTGTTGATTGGTTATTTTTCATCTTTGTTTTTTAAAATTTTTTCCTCACTTTTTGGGTGATGCAGGGAAAGAAATATAGTGAGGCTTATAACTTGATTCTTCCCATTGCCTGGCACTGGGCAACCACCACCTGAAACTGGCCAGGGCACTGAAGGATACTGTAGAGGTCAGTGTCTCACACTGAAACCAGGAAAACCCACCATATTCCCAATTTATATATATGTTTTATACATACATTCATGCAAACATGGGAAACATTAAGGATTCCAACATAATCAGGCCACTGTTTATTCTCTTAACAGGTTAATTTTTTTTTTTTACTATTGCTCTACTTTGAAATAAGCTTAGATGCCCAGTTAACATACCAAGCATAACATAAATGTAAACAAAAGTTTATATGCAAATCTAAAACTTTCTTTTGTTGTTCCAGCTTCTCTACTACTGGCCTCTTAATAAAAAGCAGAAGTGAAAAGGAACAATTTTCATTTTCAGTTCTTCCTATTGAAGAGACACAGTATAGAATATACTGTCTCACACATCCATTTCACTGAATATACTGGTCTGTCTGCCTGGAGCACTGATTTCTCCTTCCTCTTTATTTATAGAACCATTTTGCATCTGACCACGTGTTCTTTAAAAGTCACCGGCCAGTGAATTCAGCTTCAACTGATGCAGAGTCCAGTGTGTCTATTTCTGTATTTCCATGTGCATTGCACATACCTCTAGCATAGCATTTAAAGCATGTGTGAAATGTGTTCACATAAACATTTTCCCCACAGAACTATGAACACTTACAACGGCATCTAGTATAGAGCAGGGACTTAATTTTTTCTTTCAATTGTCTCATTTTCCTTTACATATACCCTATTACTGAGCTTGGTATCTGGGACACGATAAATCTTAAGAATCTTTTTGTGGAGAGAATGATGTATGAGTGCACTTACTCTTCTAAAAGTAGCTATGGGAGCCAAAAGAGATGTGAATAAAATAGAGGAGCTTATCCATACATGTGTGCTAGAATATATTATAATTCTTAGTGAATGTGATCCAGTGTATGCTAAGTTCTCAGTAGGTGAGCTGGTTGAGAGGGAGGAAAGCTGGAAACTATTAGAAACACAACCTGGGTGGATTCTAAAGTACTGATCAGCAATCTAGAGTATAATGTCCAAAGGCACGGGACTAACATTACTTGCTTTAAACTAACATTGGCATCCAAGAGGGGCTGATGCGATAGGTGAGGAACGCAATAGGAGTTAATAGGCCGGGAGATATTTGCATTTAGCCTATGGTTTCATCTCAATTATTCTTTTGTTTATCCAGTTTGAAATAGAATACCAGCTGTGATAAAGGTTCAGTGAGAGGGTTACAAAGCCTAGTCAGGAGGAAACAAAAGAAAAATTAAAAAAAAATAAGGCTGGTATCAGAGTAGGCAGAGATGGGATAGGTTACAGGAAAGAGTTAGCTTAGAACAGCATTTGGTTTCTGCAGTCAACTTCAGTGTTTCAATGGTAAACTTCACTGTCTAGAATTATTACATTTATCAGAGCTGGCTCAGGTTCACGATCTTGAATCAGATGAAGAAAGAGGGGACTGGCACTGATTCTTTGATTACATCACCTATCTTACTTCCCATTAATACTCTACCTCACCCTATCTTACTTCCCATTAATACTCTACTTCCTGAATTTCTGCAAACCCAGACTTTAAGGAAGCTTCTCTTTTCACATTAGCCAAATACCACATATTTCTCAGCCGTTATCTGATAAAAGAATAAACATTTATTGGTTATGATATTTTCACTTAATTTCTGCCACTTGAAACAGAAAAACCACACTGGATAAAGTTTGACAGTGTTTGTCACTATCATTTATATTTATGCCATATCATTTACTCATGTTATTCCAAACACTAACCAGAACCCAGAATTAGACCTGATCCTGAGCGGCTATAAGATGTATATTTAGTACCAATTGAAAAATAATAATGTAGGAATTATAGAGGAACTATGCAGAGTTTGAGACATTTATCATCTTAATTAGATGGAGAATTTTTTTTAATGGATAATCTAATAGCTAAGACTAAACTTCTTGTAGGATTTGTTGTTGGATCATAAACCAGTGTTCACTTTTTGATTTGGGCAACAAATAAACAAACCTAAACAGAAGAAAGATGTCTGAAGAGCAAAACTTGAACTTTCTGACTCACCTCCTTAGTTTGCCTTGTGTCAGAATGGATTGACTAAAGCTTTATTATTTGGTACAAATACTTTCTGGACCATTTTGTTTCTTGACATATAAACTGCTGAGACAGAAGGTGATGAAAATATTTAGAGCCAAGTAATTTTGGATGATTAGAAAAGCCAGCCTCATGTGGCTTTGTTATTATGTTTTCAAATATAGGCCACTGTGTGTTTCAAACATGGGTTACGTTGATTTCTCCTCTTCGTCATCTTTCTTGTTTCTTACAGCTAGAGGTGACCTGCTGCCCAGTGGAAAATGTGCAGTGAATGGCCCTGGCTTCACTTAACAAAAGAAAACTAAGTTTCTAAGTTCTGAAAATAACTTATAAAGGGTGCATCAAGTATATGATCTTATTGGTGTAAAGAACTGTGAAGGGTCTGAGATTTTTACTTGCAAACTTACAAGATGGCCCGCCATAGTTTCATGGATGCCGATAAAAGACACAAACCTCCTGGGCCAAAGTTGGACAACCTTTAATCATAGCAATAACAGGAGCTAGTGTATTCTTATTTTTGTATCAGTTCCCCAAGCCCCAGTTTCTACAAGGAGACACAAAAGGATGGGATGGTACCTGCACTAACAGTGAGTTGTGTTACAGAAAGGATCTCTGAGCTTAGAGAACCTAAATCTTTTGTAATGAGCAATAACCATGACAGCCCTGAGGCTCTGGTGGGAGACATTCTATCTTCCAATGCTGTTTGTTTGCTTTAGAGATGTCCTTGAAAATATAGTTTGGATCAAAGGGCAAACATTGCTTTGCACACAATATGTGTAGAAACTCTAGACCCATCTGTAAATAATTGAATTTTAGGAAAGTTTTTGAATCATTAATTGGCAGAGATAATTTGTTGGTGGGGGAGGGGGGAGTTGATTTAAACCTTGTTTAGAACTACAGAAAAAATGTGCAGCTTTATGACTGTATGAGAGAGTAATGAAAAGCAATTTCATGAAGCACTGGTGAATCAAGTTTTTTTTTCTAAAGAATGTTATTTCTTAGTAGAATAATTTGTATTAAGTTATTTTTTAAAAAGAGAAATTATGCCAACAAAGAAAATACTTTAAGTGGTCAAATCTGATGTATTTTTTGGCCTTCTTTTTGACAAACAGTTTATAAAAATATTTTGTTACTAAGATTGTCACTCCAGATTGGCCATCAATACTGTTTATTCTTTAATACTTTATGGTTGCAGTTAATAACTGCCAGTTCATAATATTCATTTAGTCCTTTGAATTCATTTAATAGTTTCACTGACTGTATTTAATGATTAAATGTTAAATACTCATTTCCAGGAAGTTTGAAATTGAACTATTTATTTATAGAAGGATGTTGACTTGAAGATATGCTCTTATATGGAGAAACTATTTTCTGATTCCTAAAGTACAGAAGCATTTTCTCTAAGCAAACTAGACTATGGATACTGACCACTTTGTCCTATGTACGTACGTATTTGTAGTCATATAGTTGCTCTTAATGAAAAGATTATTTTAATTTTGGTCATTGTAGCACCAAAATTAAATATTTCATTATTCAATCACATGGTTCAATTTACTTTAAATACCATGATCTAATAAACTATGGGAATCATCTTTTATATCACAATGATATTAGGTGAGCTCAATGAATGTATAGTTAAGCACATATATTATTTTTAAAATAAAAATGAAATATATAAATATGCAATATTTCAAAGTACTACATTTGATAAGAACACATTTTTCCAGTCCAGTGAGGTTATACCACATACTCTCCATGTTGTGTGTATTTTTTACTTAATCTGTTTGTGTTTTATAATGTATCAGACTACAAAGGCCTTAGGAAACATTTATATATAAAGAATAATATTGTTATTCAATTGCCCTTTATCCTTATTTATTAGTGCTTATGACAAATGTTACAGATTTTGCTGTTGAAATTATTTTTTCTTTAGTTCTGTTGCTTAAAAACACTACTGTGTGTTTTAAGGTTATGAAAATTATTATTATCAGTTGAACAAATATTTGCATAATAGCGTTAGCAGAAATAAAATTAAAATTAAGAAAAAAGTATCAATAAATCTGCACTCTAACAAATCAAATTATATTTCTCTCAGTTATGTTCTTATACCTATCCATATATATGCATGATTTTACATCCATAGCTTATATCCTTGCGTCTTTTTTAATTTAATGTAACATCATACTTGTGTTTTCATATGTGTAATATGTATTCTTCATAATAATTATGATAAAAGGCAGATAAAATTCTATCAAGGAACTTTTTGTTGAGGAATTAATTACATGATGATTTTGTAATTGTTGGGCATATGTAAGTTGATTCTAAATTTTTATTCTTATAATGTTGCAAAAAACATCTTAAAAAAATTTAGATTCTTTTTAGACTAAATTTTATCAGTAATAATTTCCAAAGCACAAAAACTGAATAGAATTATTTTCATGAGTCTTAGACTATAATTTCCAAAAAGACTGTTCCACTTTCTGTGTCATCAGAAAAAAGGGAGGTTATAATTTGGTATCAGTCTTGTATACTTTTGATATCATTCTTTATACTGCTAACTCAGTATGGAAAAAACAGTACCTCATATTGTTTTTAATTTGCACTTATTTGTCTATTCATTGACTAAATATTTTTCTAAGTATTGCTTTATTAATTATATTTTAAAAATTGTATTATATTTACATGAAATTTACCTATTTATCTATTAGGGCCATAATAGTTCTTTCTCAATTTTATTTTATTTTATTTATTTTTTGACATTTTTTCATTTGTGTTTTTATATTTTTATTATTTATTTTGAAATATTCCATTTTGCATACAAGTTTTCTTTTTTATCCCTTTTTTCTCTGTCAGTTTTTCTCTCAATTTTAAACATAACTCCTCTTTTCTCCCTTATTCAATATGTTTTTCTCTCTGCCACTTTTTATTGAAATGATTTTATCATAAACATTTAAATATTTCTTTTTATTATAGCCTCTTGTAACTCATCAAAGTTGGTAACTACCAGTATAAGATCTGATAAATGTTGACTTGCCTTTTTGCTATTTTCTTGGATTTGTTTTTATTTAGCTAGCTAAATAAAACATGTATAAATGTTTTATTCACATGTTTGTTTTGCTTTATGGCGTAATATGAGGTGTGGATATAAATAATTATTTTTCATATAGCTGACCATCCTCACATTGTTTCAATAACTATTTTTTAAATTTTATAATATATCCCTTTTTAAAATCAACCTAGTGAATAAGTTAGATGTATTTCTAGGTTTTGAGTTCTGTTCAACTTACAAAAGTGTTTGATTTTGTACTTCACTTGCTCTTAAATCACTTCAGGTGATTAAAGCAGGCATTTCTAATATTCAGCTCCTCCCATTAGTAGGCCTTTGTTCTGATCTGTACATCTCACAATCTTTTTAAAAATTGGATTGTCTTTAATTTTAAAAAGTGATATTTGAACATGAAACATCAAAAAAAAACAGAAGGATACAAAGGGAAAATGTCAGTCTCTCTGCATGAACCCTACCCTTGGTACTACCCCCAGAGTTACCCACTGACATTTCCTTGCACACTCTTTCAGAACTTGTCAATGCATATGTAACCGTATATATTTTTTGACAAAGCAAAATTATATGATATCTTCATACTCTTCTACACCATGATTTTTTTCACTCAATAGTATATGTATTTTGTAAAATCTTGCATTTTAGCAAATATAGATTTATTGCATTCTTTCTGAGAGCTGCACTATATTTCATTGTGTGGAAATGTTCTTAAAAGTTTTAAATAATCATTTCATCTCAGTTTTCTTTTTTATAAATAAGCATGATTGTTTACGGATGCAGCATCTCTTGAAGTGAGAATGGTACGAGCTTTGCTATCACAGAGAACTGGTGTCAATTAAAAAATAGAATTGGATTCTTACTTTGGTTAAATGGCTTGACACCTCTTTGGATAAGCTACTTAACCTCTTTCAACCTCACTTTCCTCATCTGTGAGAGACAGAGAGAGAGAGAGAGATATATATATATATATATATCAGTATATATAATTATGTATTATATATTTATATATTAAATATATTTTATATAATTATATATTATACATAATATATTTATATATTATAATTATAAGATATAATTATATAATTATATATTGTATTTCAATTATATATAATTATATATTATATTGTATTTCAATTATATATAATTATATATATAAATTATATATATATGTATATATATATGATCTAGTTCTTAGGCTGTTGGGAAGATTAAATGAGATGATAAATTTTAAATGCCTGGCATACAGTTCAAGAAGTGAAAAGAGAGAATATTTTAGAAAACCTTATTTGTTGAAGTTCTCTTAGATTATAGTTGGTGCATAAAAATCCTATTTTAGCCCCATTACTGAAATAATAGATTCACTGCACATGGCAAGACTTCCATACTCTCAATAACCTTAAGGAATCTTAAAGTCATAGTTGGCATCTCCTGGATACAGTTTATATGTGAGAAGTATGTGTGAATATATTTGCAGCATATGTATTGACATAACAGTTACATTTTGGTGTCAGAATTGTCTAGTAGTCTTATTTCAGTGTTCCTTAGTTGGCTATATGATTCTGAATGTTGAGAATTAATGAGTAGGAGGAGACAGGCAGCAGGCTAGGAGCATATAGTGCCTACTGGGATCAAAGAAGATACACACCTGTGTGCCCCTGTTCCATTCTCCATGTCCATTTGTTAGTGTATGCTGGACCTTCAGGCAGTTTTCTAGGACACAAGTCAGAAAGATTACTACCTGGATACCTGTTAACATAGTATGTCTTCTACACAAAATTTCTGATAACTTATTGCTTTCTAAATTACAGATAGGAAGAAATATTCATAACAGAAATCGATGATCTCAATTGATATACTGGGGGCATGGTTGACGTAATTGATAGGGCTTGTGCTAAATGCGCGGGGAGTGTAAGTTCTCCTTAGTTTGAACCAAGAAGGTTTTGGGAATTTCTAAATAAGCCAATAGATTCCTACAAAATGTTCTTGGCAGCAGAGCATTTGTTCCATGCTATCCATCCTATTTGTGCTTTAGAGTACTTGAGATGCTTTGTTATTCTCATATCAAAAAGGAAATATTACATTAATGTTTGTGAGTACATGGGAATCTCAGGGCCCATATAGACTTAGATGTCATGTGTTTGTGAAAGAAAAGGAACATTAATTAACTAAAAATAATTAATGCTTTGTAATAATAATGACATTTTTGTTCTCATTCTTTAT
Organism: Homo sapiens; assembly: GCF_000001405.40. Taxonomy (NCBI): domain Eukaryota; kingdom Metazoa; phylum Chordata; class Mammalia; order Primates; family Hominidae; genus Homo; species Homo sapiens. The sequence continues at coordinate 101,547,211 of NC_000011.10, read as the reverse complement.
TGGGAGACACAATACACATGTAGAAAAGTAAATAATACATATAAAGTTTAATAATTATAAAATGAATTCCATGTAGCAATGGCCAAGATCAAGGAACAAAATGCCACCAAACCCAGAAGATTCCCATGGACCTCTTTCTGACCTGACTCTTGTGAAGATCGTTTTTTTGTTTTTCATTATCACTTAACATTTATGTATTTATCCTTAAACAATATAATGTGTTTGAACTTTCTATAAGTGGATGATGTCATTTGTATTTTTTATTTCTTGCTTATTTTGTTCACCTGATAATTTTGACATTCATAAAATTTTAGTCTCTCTAGTTCATTTTATTACTGTACAGTATCCCTTGTATAAATATACCATCCTTTATTTATCCATTCTATTATTGATAGATATTTGTGTTATATGTATACAGTCTTTGTTTGGTAAAAGACATCTTTTTAAAAAAATCATGAATAGAAGTTAAATTTCATCAATTTTCCTGCAGCTGCACTTCACTTTTTTTGAAATCCACTGCTTCCCAAATGATATGATAGTTGCTTTATATACATCATGTTTAAAACTCAGATCAGTGTTACAAGTAAGTATTACAATTCCCACCTTGTACATGAAAAAGCCAAAGCTCAGAAAGGCTAAGTAGCTTGCCCAATTTTCTAGGTACTAAGTGGAAAAGCCAAGATTCAAAGTCAGGTTTCTCTGGTCACTTCATTCACTCATTCATTAACTTATGCATGTATTTATTCACTAACTTGTTACCGAGGAACCTCCATGTTATCTTGAAATCTTTGCAGTGGTTCCTTTATCTCATCACATGAGTATGAGGATAAAGAGTTATAAGGCCGGGTGCGGTGGCTCACGCCTGTAATCCCAGCACTTTGGGAGGCCGAGGCGGGTGGATCATGAGGTCAGGAGATCGAGACCATCCTGGCTAACAAGGTGAAACCCCGTCTCTACTAAAAATACAAAAAAATTAGCCGGGCGCGGTGGCGGGCGCCTGTAGTCCCAGCTACTCGGGAGGCTGAGGCAGGAGAATGGCGTGAACCCGGGAAGCGGAGCTTGCAGTGAGCCGAGATTGCGCCACTGCAGTCCGCAGTCCGGCCTGGGCGACAGAGCGAGACTCCGTCTCAAAAAAAAAAAAAAAAAAAAAAAAAAAAAAAAGAGTTATAAATGTGATACTAGATCCATTATTTTTTTATTTCCTGTGAACTCAGTTTATCTTCACTCTCTCTTCTTCTTTATAGCCCTATTCACAGAACGGAACAAGTTGAACATCATAGGCAAGCAAATAAATGAAGGGCCCATCTGTGTGAAAACCAGAAAACACCAGAAATGCTACACGTGTAAATAGGTCAGATAAAATTGATTCCTATGTTTAGTAGCTAATATGAAAAATGAAGTCTATCTCAAGCAAGTGGAAAGATGTCTTAATTAAAGGAAGGTAAATGATAAAGCCCTCTCCATCATCTACCTAAAAATTATTTTAAGAAATAGGGGGCAACTCCTAATGTGTTAGCTAAATTATAAGAAATGTATTAAGGCTGAATCCAGATGAGTGTTTTATCTGACTATTTGGTTTTTATCAGAGACTTAATAATGTTAACAGAGTATTGGATTAGCAGTCAAAAGACCCAGACGATCTAATAATCTCAAGAAAGCTATTTTATGGATTACAAAACTAGCTAATGTGCCTTGTAAAATAGAAGTTTTGTTTATATCAATTGTTGGGGCAATGTAATGGATAGATATACAGTTGTTCCTTACTATCCATAGGGGATTGGTTTTGGGTTCCCCACTCCCCACGCAGATAGCAAAATATATGGATGCTTAAGTCCCTGATATAAAATGGGGTAGTATTTTCATATAACCTAGGCACACCCTCCTATATACTATAAATAATCTCTATATTACTTACAAAACCTAATACGATGTAAATACTGTGTAATAGTTGTTGTATTGCTTATTTACCATATTTTAATTGTTGTATGGTTATTATTTATTTATTTCAAATATTTTTGATCCACAATTGGTTGAATCAGTGGGTGTAGGATCCATGGATACATAGGGCTGACTGTATATGATGTTTGTGTTTATGTGTGTATGTGTGTGTGTATAAAGACTAATACAGACCTATTTTTCATTCAGAACAATAACTCTTATAGGAGTCTCATACTTAAAGGCTAGGTGATCTTCATAAATTGAACAAATTCCTACAATGTTATTTCACAGGGCAGGGTTTCTACATATAGCACTACTGGTGCTCCAAGTACATTCCTAGAAAAGTTCAAAAAGTGTCAATTAATTTGAAGACCACTGAACAAACATTTTTTTTAATTATACTTTAAGTTCTGGGGTATATGTGCAGAACATGCAGGTTTGTTACATAGGTATACATGTGCCATGGTGGTTTGCTGCACCCATCAACCCGTCATCTACATTAGGTATTTCTCCTAATGCTATCCCTCCCCTAGCCCGCCACCCCCAACAGGCCCCAGTGTGTGATGTTCCCCTCCCTGTGTCCATGTGTTCTCATTGTTCATCTCCCACTTATGAGTGAGAACGTGTGGTGTTTGTTTTTCTGTTCCTGTGTTAGTTTGCTGAGAATGATGGTTTCCAGCTTCATTCATGTCCCTGCAAAGGACATGAACTCATCCTTTTTTATGGCTGCATACTATTCCATGGTGTATATGAGCCACAATTTCTTTATCAAGTATATCATTGATGGGTATTTGGGTTGGTTCCAGGTCTTTGCTATTGTGAACATTGCCACAATAAACATATGTGTGCATGTGTCTTTAGAGTAGAATGATTTATAATCCTTTGGGTATATACCCAGTAATGGGATTGCTGAGTCAAATGGTATTTCTAGTTCTAGATCCTTGAGGAATCACCACACTATATTCCACAATGGTTGAACTAATTTACACTGCCACCAACAGTGTAAGAGGGTTCCTATTTCTCCATATCCTCTCCAGCATCTGTTGTTTCCTGACTTTTTCATGATCATCATCCTAACTGGTGTGAGATGGTATCTCATTGTGGTTTTGATTTGCATTTCTCTAATGACGAGTGATGATGAGCATTTTTTCATTTGTTTGTTGGCTGCATAAATGTCTTCTTTTGAGAAGTGTCTGTTCATATCCTCTGCCCACTTTTTGATGGGGTTGTTTTTTTCTTGTGAACTTGTTTAAGTTCATTTTAGATTCTGGATATTAGCCATTTGTCAGATGAGTAAATTGCAAAATTTTTCTCCCATTCTGTAGTTTGCCTGTTCACTTTGATGACAGTTTCTTTTGCTGTCAGAAGTTCCTGAGTTTAATTAGATCGCATTTGTGTTTTTTGGCTTTTGTTGCCATTGCTTTTGGTGTTTTAGTCATGAAGTCTTTGCCCATGCCTATGTCCTAAATGGTATTGCCTAGGTTTTCTTCAAGAGTTTTTATGGTTTTAGTTCTTACATTTAAGTCTTTAATCCATCTTGAGTTAATTTTTCTGTAAGGTGTAAGGAAGGGATCCAGTTTCAGCTTTCTGCATATGGCTAGCCAGTTTTCCCAACACCATTTATTAAATAGGGAATCCTTTCCCCATTTCTTGTTTTTGTCAGGTTTGTCAAAGATCAGATGGTTGCAGATGTGTGGTTATTTCTAATCTGATTTCTGATCTGTTCCATTGGTCTATATATCTGTTTTGGTACCAGTACCAAAACAGTACCATGCTGTTTTGGTTACTGTAGCCTTATAGTATAGTTTGAAGTCAGGTAGCATGATGCCTCCAGCTTTGTTCTTTTTGCTTAGGATTGTCTTGGCTATGCCAGCTCTTTTTTGGTTCCATATGAAATTTAAAGTAGTTTTTTCCAATTTGTCTTGGAGTGGGATTGCATGGTCATAGAGTACATGTAAGTTGAACTTTATAAGAAATTGCCAAAGTGCTTTTCAAAATGGTTACACCATTTTGCATTCCCACCAGCAATGCATGAATTCTAGGTGTTCCACATGCTTGCCAAACTAGATGTGGTCAGTCTTTCTTTATTAGCTCTTTCCTGATTAATTATGTTGAGCACCTTTTCACATACTTAAGGACATTCACATATGTATGTTTTCATTTCTTGCCCTTTGTTTTGGGCTGTTTGTCTTAATTGAGTTGTAAGAATTCTTTATATATTCTGGATAGAGGTTCTTTACTGTGTATGTATTTTGTAAATATTTTCTGTCTATAATTTGTTTTTAGCATTTTCTTGAGTATCAAAGAGCAGAAGATTATAATTTTAATGAAGAACTGTTTACCAATTTTGAAAATAGTTAATATTTTTAATATCCTATCTATGAAACCTTTGCTAATCTAAGGTCACAAAGATTTTCTCATGTTTTCTTAAGGTTTTTCCTCTTATGTTGAAGTCTGAAGTTCATAGAATTTTAATCTGTTTAGATGTGTCTTTTATTTTCATTTAAAAATTATATATATATCACATTCATTATGCATAATAGATTATATAAATTTAGCTATAAAGATAGAATTTGTTTTATTCACTGGCTTTCATAATGGCAAATTATGCTTATTTTTTAGTAGATACTATTCTGTCTTTAGTTTTCTTGTGTTTTTTTTTTTAATGCTGTAGCTTTTTAGGATTCATGATAAATGGTTTAGACAATTAATTACTCATTCTGGGTAAAATGCAGGATGCAAAACCCAAATACATCATTTGGTTTCTGCATATCAGTTGGGTTTGACTGCTGACTTTAGTAGTGACTATCAGCTAGCTGAAATCAGCATTTACACAAGACAAACTTGCAAAACTACCTAACAAAGCTAGATCTGTCCCAGAAAGATGTATTTTAGATTTTTACTTAAGGGAACTATCTTTATCAGTGGGTCTGAATACAGTGGCCAATGTACATTTTTTCAGTCATGAGGAGTTAATTAGCACCCTATTTATAATTGATCCTGGTATTCATTTATTACATATTTAGACGGGTTGCCACAGGCAGGTGCCCAACAGACCTTGCACTTCTGTTTTACTCCGTGTCTCATCTATCCTTGAAATTACAATAGTCAAAACACTATAGATCAAGACACAATAAATACATTAAGTACAATTATGGCTCTAATTTCAGTTCTTTCAATTATTAAAAAAATTTATCTAGGAATAGTTCTTTTTCTCTTCCAGTAGAGAATGCGCCAGCCATTCTACCAATTACATTTTAGACCTAACAATTGCTGATTTCAATCTGAATTATCCAAGAGTTGCCTGATATTTTCCAGATATTCCAAACTTCTAGACATAGTATATATTTCAAGATAATAGGGTGGTTCTTGGTTGGAGGCTCTCTGCTTGAGTCCTCCCTGTAAGCCTCTTGAGAGCCCATTGTCGTTACCAATGTTAAACATGCATATACATTAGCATGCTCTGAGCTTTAGCTCTTGAATTATTAAGAAAATTAATAATGTAATACTTTTTTTTCTTTTGCACTGCATAGCAATTGAAGAAGGCATCCTCCAGCCTGATATCCTCCAAGGTGTTCTTCAGCAGTTGGCAAAAGTAGGCCTGTGTGGAGCCCTTAATCAGAAATTGCCCATGGAGAATTCCCTTACCATATCCATCCACTCGGCCTGCCTCTGGCCTAAGCTTTCTGTCTCATATAGACTATAAGAAACAGTAAAACCCTGTCTGTACTAAAAATACAAAAAATTACCCGGGCGTGGTGGCAGGTGCCTGTAATCCCAGCTACTTGGGAGGCTGAGGCAGGAGAATCGCTTGAAACCGAAAGGTGGAGGTTGCAGTGAGCCGAGATGGCACTACTGCACTCCGGCCTGGGCGAAAGAGCGAAACTCCGTCTCAAAACAAAAACAAAAAAATACAGTCATTTTAAGAAGAAATTTATTTGTTTAAAGCATCATAACTCTTCTACTCCATTTTGTCAAAAACCTCACATAATTGGATGATAGATAACCAGCGAGCTGAATGAGTTTAAACATTTTGGATATGTTTTCATCATAGAAAAAAACAAAAAGACTGGCTTTTATCTATCAAAGGGACTTATTTCTAAGGTTAATATAACTAAAGAATCCTTTAGCCTCATAAAAGTTCCAACCAAATTTCTTTACTTATGAACATTAATATACATTTTCTATTAATTCATAAAATATGTTTGTCTTTGTTTTCACATCCTGACTCTGTTAGCCTACGATGACTTGTGTAGCTGCATTTCTAGCCTGATTTTGTTTCTCCTATGCATTAAGCAAGTTTCAAAATACTCTTTTAAGTTAAAAAGTTTACATATGTAAAGGGTTTTATAGTTCCTTGCAGGTTTTTGTGTAGGTTATATTTAATCCTCACGATTCCTGCGTGCCTTTATCTCCTCTCCACAGATAAGAAAATAAAAACTCACAAAATTGAGTCAACAGAAACCAAAAATGGTGGTCAAATAAGGAATGTAACCAAAACATTTTGATTTTTAACTCATCTTTCTTTAGAGTTCATACTCAAATTGTTTCAGTATTTCAGAACAAAAAATATTATATCTGAATTAACTGGACTCCTTACATGAAAATTATTTTTAATATTAAGTTATGTGTACATGTTTTTTCTAACATCTTCACATTGATGAAATAAATGGCTGTGACCTCTGAATTATACATTGAGTTGCCTTGGATGTCTCTTTACATTACATATAACAGCACAGTTAAACAAGAATGAAATTCCATAGACTCCAAGCGTGTAGGATGCAGTCATTTAACACTACATATGCCCAGGAAATGCAAAGGATAAAATACTTTAAAAATACGCTGTGAAGAATATCACATTGTTCTTTTCCTCCATGTCTTTAAGAAAAATTAAAATATCAGAAGATTATTTAATTTGCTGTAATTTAATGTCCTGCTCTGAGTACCTAAGTCTGCTTAACTCTCACAATGTTCCTTAGACCCTGCATTGCTTTGTTTCCTCATCTGCTCTTGCTCTGCCTGTGCCCTTCCTATCATAGCTGAAGAGCAGAGGCCTCAGGCAGTCTTCTCTGTGTGTACCCCATTGGTGTTGCCTCATTTCCACTGCTGCGATAATTGTCTCAGCATTTCCTAGAGAACAGGAATTTTACACATATGTGTTGTTCACAGCTAAGAGAAGCTAAAGAACTTTTGAATAACTTTTTAATCTTATATAACTCGCTCAATTATTTGCTGTATTTTGACATAAGTAGAGGTTTAAAAAATGATTTAGTATTTCAAATCTATAATTAATTACATAATAAAAACAAATGCTCCCATTGAAACTTCCATGATTGACTCTGAATGGCTGTTCCTTCACCACCTGCCAATTCTCCAGCATTGATGTCTAGACAGGTGGGCTTCCTTTCACAAACACTCCCAAATTCATAAAACAGATGGCCTAGGACTTAATTAAATATATTTTAATGTAACGCTCCTAATGCAGAAACTTATTACTAAATTTATTTATAAAGACAATTGCCATTAGAAGATTGAAATATGGCCTGTTTTAATAATAATATTTATGAGCAATTTTTCTAAAGTATGTTTAGATTAGGCCCAGGATTCTGGAAAGATGCTGATGATGGTAAAAGAAGCATAGTTTTTAAAAATGTCTTCAAATTCCCTCATATAAACAGCCAAGGTAACTGTTTAGTAAAACCAAAAAATGATGGACAATATTTATGACAAAATTGGTGACAAGGTGTCTCCACAACCCCAAAATGAACGTTGATGAGGCAAGTCAGCAGTAGCCAAAAGGCCTGCTTGGAATAAGTGTCTTCAGAGGAAAGCTCAGTGTGGCGTCTGAGAAACTGAGAACAGGTTAGCTCCGCACAGCAATAGATATTTACTAGAAGGCCCAGGCAGTCTGAGAACAGCAGCTGAAACTGGGAGGGTTTTCCTCACTCTAATAGCAAAGTGCACAAGGCTTATGGTCAATTCTAAACATGAGAGCAGTCTAGCCTCAGAGTTGGAGCAGTCTAGTTCTAAGGAATCTGAAAACCGAGACTTTAGGGCTCCTTTCTAGGACTAGACCTCACAGTGAGGGTTGGAGTCAAAATTGAGCGTGATAAAGATGATGGAAAGAAACGAAAAACATTCAAATGAAAGTGGATGTGTTTGTTTTCAAATTACTAGTGTAAAACACTGCCACAAATTTAGTGACTTGAAACAACATACGTGTATTTCTCACGGTTCTGCAGGTTAGCAGTCTGGGTGGGCCTGGCTGATTTCTCTGTTCTGAGTTTCACGAAGCACAAACCAAGGTATCAGCTGTCTGGGCTCTTATTGAGAGACTTTAGAAATAGTTCACTTCCATGTTCATTCAGGCTGATGGCAGAATGTTGTAGCATGTAGTTGAAGGACTGAGGTCTCTGTTTCCTTGCTGTCTGTTCTGGGGATCATTCTTAGCTTCTAGGGCCTGGCAGCATTCTCTGGTTCATGACTCTCTTCATCTTCAAAGCCAGCAGCAGTGTGGCCTTCTCACGTGGGTCCAGTTTTTATCATGTTTCCAATCTCTCTGATCTCTCATTCTGCCTTACGTCTCCTGCCTTCAGTTGGAGAAAGTTTTCTCTTTTTAAGGGCTCATGTGATTAGATTGAGTTTACATGGATAATCCAGGAAAATATCTCCAGACTTTATTTCATAGTCTATAACCTTAATTACATCTGCAGAGTCCCTTTTGCCATGTAACGTAACATACTTACAGGTTCCAGGGATTAAGGCACAGACATCTTTGGGAGACCATTCAGCCTCCCACACAGGATTTGGTTGAGGGGGTAAGGAAAGGGGCCACAGAGCCAGGAAGTCTTGGGAAGCAAAACTGCCGTACAAAAATGACAGAAGAGGGAGCTTTGTGACATTAGAAAGTTACCCTGGACTATGTACCTCCTAAAAATTCAAAGAAACTAATTTCACAGGAAAACAGGCAATAGAAAAGTATAGAAATAGCTTTTTCAAAATAAGCTAAAATACTTAAAAAAAGATGATGTAAGAGCAATATTCACCAGAATGAGAAAAATTCAGAAAGGAGGTAACAGAACTGAGGTATTAGAAATAAAGAACAAAAATCCACACAAGAGAGAAGAAACATACTAGAGAGTGCTAAGTAAAAAAATTTTAAAAATGAAGAGATTTTAAAAAGAATTAGAAAGTTAACAATTGTGAACAGGCAAAGAAGAATCAACATAAAGGTAATTGAGATCTATGGAAAAAAATTAAAAACAAAGCAAGAGGACAGAAAAATATACTAAGAACTGCAATCCAAGAAAACTGCTAAAAATATGTATACGCTTAAAACTACATATTGATGGTACATGGAATACCTAATAATATCAACCCAAATGACAAACATCAGACACATTCTAGTAAAATTACTCATTTTAAAGAGAAAATAATTTGGCATCTAAGCAAAACCAGTAGGTGAATTATAAGGCAAAGAAATGTAAATTATCATCAGACTTTTTTTTTTGACAGCAATGTTTTTTTGCTAGCAGAAAATGGAATAACATATTTAAGATACTCTAGGAAAGAAATATTAGACAATGATTTTTATATTCAGCAAACTGACATTCAAGTAGAAAGGGTGCAGATTAACTGTGAACAACATACAAGAACTCAGGGAAATAGTTCCCAAGATCCCTTCATGAAGAAGTTTCTAGAAAATGTGCCCCAGATGACCAAAATGACTAGAGAAACATCCACATAAGGCCATGTGGTAGCATTAAAGATGTAGTTACTTATAGAATTCAGACAAGTGTTTTTGAAAGAGAGAGAGTATAGTGTATATGGCCAAATGTTCAGACAGAATATGGTGTAACTACAAAAAAAAATACAAGGAGAAAAAAAATAAACCCATTCTCAGTAATTGCATAGGCAACAGTAGCATTAGTGTAACAGTGAGACTGTTAATGATTGTAATGTGGGATAAAGTAAATGAATATATGTGGAATATTCTATCATCCCTTGTGTCCTTGGGAATCAGGATTCTTGGTGTAGTTGAAAAAAAGGTATAATATAAAAGAGGTTAATGTAGTCTTGAATTTGGTTTTAAATTGGAAGTACTATTTTGAATATTATCTTAAAATTTTCTAAACAAAGTGCGGTTCAAAGTCTGCATTATCTTATCCCAAAGTACTCCAAATGTAGATGGCAGCACTATAACCCCAGAGGTTCAGTCCAGACACTTGGTAAACACATTTAACCTTTTACATCCTTAACTCTTTGCTCACAGCCAGTCTGTAAATCCTATCAATTCTACCTTTCCAAGATTTCTCAAATTCATCAACCCCTTTCCATCCTAATGGTGCCATCTCTCACCTGGAGTACCGCAATAGTCTCCTAACTGGTCTCCTTGCATCTAGTCTTGCTACCCTCCCATCTATTCCTCAGATTGCAAAGTATCTCTGCAAAACAGATCTGATTGCATCACTCCAGGTTTTAAACTCATCAATGACATCCCAGAATCCTAAGAATGGTACAGCGGCCTGAATGCTCTCGCCCCTGACTAATGACTGAGCCCAGAGAGGCATCATTCTCCTTTCAGCTCTCTGATCCCCCAGCCCTACTGGACTTTTGGCTCCTCAAACATGCTAGGATCTTAAGGGCCATGATATTAGTTATTTTCCCTTTCTGGAATGCTTTCTTCTCCCCTCTACTACATCTTACTTTTTCTTTGGTTTTCATCTTAAAAATCATTGTCTCCAGGAAGATTTTCCTGATTCCTACCCTAGAGTAGAGAATATACCTGCGAGTGTATCACATTCTGCAGTTCTTACCACACTCTGAGCACTTGCAGTTACATTTTCTTTTCTTTCTTTTTTTTTGGTGGGGGGGAGGGAGGGGCTGGGGGATCGAGTCTTGCTCTGTTGCCCAGGCTGGAGTGCAGTGGTGTGATCTCGGCTCACTGCAACCTCCGCCTCCCGGATTCAAGCGATCCTGGTGCCTCAGCCTCCCAAGTAGCTGGGATTACAGGCATGAACCACCAAGCCTGGCTAACTTTTGTATTTTTAGTAGAGACAGAGTTTTGCCATGTTGGCCAGGCTGGTCTCAAACTCCTGACCTCAGATGATCCGCCCATCTTGGCCTCCCAAAGTGTTGGGATTACAGGCGTGAGGCACTGAGCTTGGCCTGCAGTTACATTTTCAATGTCAGTTTTTCTCATCAACATGGAAGTTCCATGAAGAGAGAAGTCTGTCTGCTTATTTCCCACAGTTTCCCCATTTCCTAGCACATAGCAATGCTGATTAAATAAATATTTATTGAATGGATGAGGGAATTACTGTCTAAATAGACAGAATTGGAGCATTTTAAACAGTCTGCCATTTTCCTTGTTATTCTTTGCATTAATTAAAATCAAGCATGATGTCATCTATTTTATTTATAGGAATATTATTTAAAGGATATTCTCACATTCTATAGCCATTAATCTGGTTACCAACTTTTTGTTATTAAAATTTTTCCAGGTAGGTCATTTCATTTATCTACACAGTATTTTATTCTTTCCATCCTAACTTCTAACTCCAATAAAAGCTCATTGGTATGCCTAATCAATAGTGCTTTTATGCTCTGCTTTTATCAGACTAGACAAATCACAAAGGAGAAACAGTCTATTATCAGGGATTTTACTAACAAGTAAACAAAACTATTAAGTCATATCCTAGTCAGCCCAGTTTTCTGTATGTTCTATATTTGAGGTGAACATAAAGGTTCAGAATAATGACCCTATAGTCCTCTGAAGTTCTGTGTCATTAAAAAGACTCAGAAAGTTTGAAAGAGAAATAGACAAATATCTTTTATGAGTACTTTCAGTAACAAAGGTTAAAGCAAAAAAAAAAAATAATAATAAGATTAGGGAATAAGTGGGCTAGTAACTAAGGTATCCATAAAAATAAGTTAACTAGAACATGCTACTTCTGAGCATTCTGGAAAGTTTTTACCTTTACTTTTATGTTATTATACATTTCTTAATCACTTTGTCTCCTCAAATGCTTTGTGTTTTCTTCCTTCCTTCCTTCCTTCCTTCCTTCCTTCCTTCCTTCCTTCCTTCCTTCCTTCCTTTCTTTTCTTTCTGACAGAATCTTGCTCTGTCACCCAAGCTGGAGTACAGTGGTGTGACCTTGGCTCACTGCAACCTCTGCCTCCCAGGTTTAAGCGATTCTTGATCCTCAGCCTCCTGAGTAGTTGGGATTAGAGGCATGCGCTACCATGCCCAACTAATTTTTTTTTGTATTTTTAATAGAGACAGGGTTTTGCCATGTTGGCCAGGCTGTTCGCGAACCCTTGACCTCAGGTGATGTGCTCACTGGGCCTCCCAAAGTTCTGGGATTACAGGCATAAGCTACTACGCCCAGCCCAGTTTGTGTTCATTTTCTCATATAAATCTTGCAGGTTTATATGAACCATATACGTTTCTGATACGTAGAAATCTCCTAATAAACCTTTTAAAAAATTTTCTGAAATGCAGATTGGATTGAAACTTCACTCAGCTATGAAGTAGTTATGTTAAAAAGATGTGAACCATCTCTTGCTAAATGAACCACTACTTCTAAATATGTATCAGTTGTTATTTAGTCTTTCTTTTAATTAGGAATATATGGAGTTATTAATCTTTTATCTATAGTATTATGTAGTGACCTGGGTTTTTTTTTTTAATAAACTTCCTTGTCATTATCAACACATAATTCTAGGTGAATTCATTTGTTTTAGGATTATGTTTACACCAAATCCTTACTGTTATATCTTGAAATGATACTTTAGTGTGGGCAGTAGTAGTACAGATTGTATAAGAAGTGAAGGGGTACCAGTCGCAGTGGCTAATGCCTGTAATCCCAGCACAGTGGGAGGCTGAGGTGGGTCGATCATCTGAGGTCAGGAGTTCGAGACCAGCCTGGCCAACATGGTGAAACTCCACCTCTACTAAAAATACAAAAATTAGCCAGGCATGGTGGCAGGCACCTGTAGTCCCAGCTACTCAGGAGGCTGAAGTAGCAAAATCTCTTGAACCAGGGAGGCAGAGGTTGCAGTGAGCTGAGATGGCGCCACTGCACTCCAGCCTGGGCAACAGAGCAAGACTCCATCAGAAAGAGAGAGAAGAGAGGGAAGGAAGGGAGGGAAGGGAGGAAGGAATCGGGGCCCAGTTCAGTATCCATCATTGAGGAAGGATAAGAACAGAGGCAACTTCCTGATGGCAGAGCCTGATTTTGGAAGAGTGGCCTCCTGAGCTAGATGGAATGGGAGCTTCCAGACAGGCATATAGCACACAGCATCAAGGAACGTATTAATAGCTAATGTGGAGTTACAGGAGTGGATGATCATCAGCTGTAAGCCAATACATTATGGAGCCCTCAGTTGCCTGAGTGGGGCTGTGAATACATCAAACAAGCTGGCCTTTGATATTGGGCTGAGGTTCAGGGTAGGATTAAGTCCCAGAAGGGAATGGAATCCTAAGCAGAAAGCGAGTTAGAATAAAGGAATGGGGAGAAAGATAGAAGTCCCTGTTTATAAACTGAAATACCTTAAAAAAAAATAACGGCCAAAACTTAAGCAAAGCCCCAGTTAAATTTAGGAGTGACACCAAGATCCCAGTATGGTCAGGCTCTTTCTGCTATGACTCCCTGAACCTGACACTTGAGTTTCACTTGGCACTTCAGACCTACAACTCTGATATGGTTTGCATATTTGTCCCTGCCCAAAGCTCGTGTTGAATTGTTGTCTCCAATTCTAGAGGTGGGGCCTGGCAGGAGGTGTTTGGGTCATGGTGGCAGATCCCTCATGGCTTGGCACTGTCTTTGTGACAGTGAATTCTAGTGAGATCTGGTCATTTAAAAGTGTGTGGCACTGCCCCGCTTCCCCCTTCTCTGCAACCAAACTCTCTCTCTCTTGCTCCCATTCTTGCCATGTGATGTGCCTGTTTCCGCTTTGCCTTCCACCATGATTGGAAGCCTCGTGAGGCCTCCCCAGAGGTAGATGCCACTATGCTTCCTATACAGCCTGCAGAACCATGAACCAATTAAACTTCTTTTCTTTATAAATTACCCAGTCTCAGGTATGTCTTTATAGCAATGCAAGAACAGCATAATACAAACTCTTACTCCCATCTTTTTCACCCTGATCACCTCCCAAAGACTGAGCTTTATTCATTGTTCATTTTCTATATTCTCAATCCCATTTTTCTAAGTGCTTCCTCCACCCTGACCTTCTCGGTTTGTGGCTCACCATGGCACTGTTGAATGTCTAGCCATGCAGCTCAGCCAGCTCTGAGGTTCTGCGATGCTTTTTTTCTCAGGAGCTCAGAGTGGCTGCTGGCTTGGCAATGAATCCTTGGGGCAGCTGGGAGGAAGAAGGATCTGAGGCTGCCGCATAGTCTCAAGAACCTTTGTTCTTGGAAATCTGATGTACCTTCCCATTCACTGCCTCACCCTCTTAACTCCCCAAGTGACAGGGAGGGGAACAGCTTCTCCCTTTCTCCCACACTCCTCTGTCATGCTACTGGGTGCTCTTGGCTAATTCTTTCTCCTCCTCAAAGTATCCTTCTTATCAGCTGAATTTCACCAGCAAAACAATGTTGGCTGAGGGCTGGAGTCACACTTTTCATCAGACCTCTTCTCTTTACAGGAGTTGCTTAAATTCACTACATTGTCCGCTCCCAGTTACTTCCACCTCTTGGACAGTCCTGATGAACAGGCCATGCATCTTTCAGTTGTTCTCATGCCATGCTATGAGTGACCCTCATGCACACTGACCCTAGGCTAGGACTCAAAATCCTGGCAAATCATTTTTATTCCTGGATGCTTTTAGGAAAAGAATAAGATCTATCTCAAACTCAGGTTAGCTTCAATAATTTATAAAACAAAGTAAGATTTCCTCAAAGGTGGAGTGAGGCAGGCTTTAGGACACCAGATATGCATTTTATCTGGTTTCCAATTTTCTAAATAGCTGAACCAAATTCCACCTTGAAGGTGTGATTAAAGCCATAGCTTCAATGAGAAGATTTAGGTTTTGGATTTTTGCACTTATATAATTTTAGGGACCTTTGCTACAGTCTCTCCCAAGACTTGGAAAGAGACCTGTACCATTGAGATACTCTGAAGATTGAGTTACTTAGCTTCAGGATACATGTGCCCTTGGGTTCAACTGTACAATGTTGTTGCTTGATCTAAACCCTGGACTTGCTTTTGCTTCAGCACCATGAGTGATCTCATTTTGGTCCCTGTCCATCTAACTGTGCCTCTGCCTCAGGACACTTCTTGCCATGCCTGGAAACTGCTGAGCCGACACCTTCCCAAGTCTCCTTAACCAGCAATCTCTGCTATGGCTAAAACAGGCAGATAGGAGAGGGAGAGAATGCTTAGGGCGGTTCTACAATAAACCAGGAATGGGCTTTTGAACCTCAGTGGAGCAGAAAGAACGGGGAGAAGAGAGAATGAACTCGATTGGTTATAGAAGATACAAAAAAATGTAATATATAATGTCAATACTAACTGGAAGTGGGAACAATGGATGTGGAAAATTTGCTGATTTGGGCCTTGCATATTTAGATTGGGTGAAAATATGGTAGGCAGTAAAATAGTATTAAATACAAAACGCCTCAAATTGTGCCTGCTTCATTCATCCTATTCATAAGATTTGGGAAGAGTAATTAGCAAATAATCTTTCAGTAAAATCAGATATTCCCAGAATCAAGATTGTGAGTCAAATTCTTTTTTAGAATAAATGTTATGCATGATGTTCATATGTACTAATACAGTCTTTCCTATCTAGAAAAAGCAATACTGAATGCCTACCAAGATAAAAGGCAATGCATTTGCAAGGTTTAGGATGCAGACTTTGGGTCCAGACTTCCTGGGGTCAAGTCTCTGTTCCACCAGTAAGCAGCTATGCTACCAAGACAAAGTTATTTATACTCTTGTTCTTCAGTCTTCCCACTTGTAAAGTGCTGGTACTAATATCATGTACCTCATAGAGTTCTTATGGGGATTGAGTTTTTTCCCAGATTTATTAGGGTGTAATTGACAAAAATTGTATATATTCAAGGTATACGACATGATGATTTGATGTATGTATGCACTGGGTAATGATCATCACAATCAAAGTAATCAACACATCCATCACCACACATTGTTACCGGTGTGTGTGTATGTGTGTGTATGCATTAAGCAACATTAGGTTACTCTGTTAGCAAAGTTCAAGTCAACAATACAGTATTATTTACTATAGTCACCATGATGTACATTAGCTTCCCAAACTGAAAGTTTGTACCCTTTGACCAACACCTCCCCATATCCCCCACCCCCAGGCCCTGGCAATGCTATGTGTTTGACTTTCCAAGATTCTACATTATAAGTGAGATAATAAATTTGTCATTCTGTTTGGTTCTTTTTTATGATTTCTATTTATTTATTAAATATCTTATTTTGTGGATGCATTGGTTTTCTGCTTTTGTTGGGTCCCAGGGCTGATGGGATTGCCTCCAGATCACAGTTCGTGGTTGGCAGGCCTGTTACCAGGGGCTCGAGCTGGCGTGAATATTGTTTGGTCCCTGGGCAGACTGGACTTCCAGGATCTTGGTCAGTAGGGCTGGTACTGGTACAAGGGTCCACTTCAAGGTCTGCAGAAAATGGGCCTGTTACCAGGTCTGTAGACAGGTGTGGCTTCTTCTTGGTTCCTGGGAAGGGTCACTTGGTGGGACCCTGGGTGGGCAAGACTGGCCCCAGACTGCAGATAAGAGGAGCTAGAACTGAGTTACAGGGCTGCTTCAGGGTCTACAGCCCAGCCTCATGTCTCAGACCTGCCTCTGGAGGCACAGATGGGCGTATCTCCTGCCAGGTTCCTGGACAGGCAGAACTGATCACGGATCACAATTGAAGGGCACTGGAGACAAATTTCTGAGCTGTCGTAGGATCTGCTGTGGGATGGAGTTCAGCAAGCCTGCTTCCCAGGGTACATACAGTGTGACTCCTGGCAGGTTCCTGGGTGGGCAGGACTGCATTCAGACTGCAGTTTATAGGGGCTAGAGCCAAGTTAGAGCTTTTTCAGGGTCTGCTATGGGACTGAGGGTAGCAAGCCTACTTCCCAGGGCACAGATGGGTGTGTCTCCCAGCAGGTCTCTGGGCAGGCATGATTGGTCTCAGACTAGATGAGGGGCTAGAGCTGAGTTACAGGGGTACTTCAGCGTCTGCTGCCAGGCCTGTGGGTGGTGGACCTGTCACTTTAGGCATGGGTGAGCATGACTCCTCCTTGGAGGATGGTTCTGGTGGCAGGACCAAGGTGAAACAGGATTGTAGCTGGGTCCACAGGGGATGCGTTCATTTTTGATCAATGGCTTACTCCATAGTCAGCAAAATTGCCACCCAAGTGTGGGCCTGCCCTATTAAAATGAGCCTCCTTGGTTTTGGCCTATACCAGAATTTTAACATCTGCTCCCTAGATCCCAAAGCTCCCACTGAGGCACTTCTATCAGTGGATGGCTGCCAAATGCTTCTTGCTGTGTGGGTATATGAGCAGGGGGCCTCCTATTCCATTATCCTGCCAACTGTGATTGACTTATTATTTATAAAAACATGTTTAAAATTGTACCTGGCCTGTACATAGGAAGCAGTATCTGTATTTCATAAATAAGTGCATTTTTTAAGGTCCCCCCTAATTCCAAGATTATCAAATTCTGTAGGACGATCTATTCTAGCCAGGCTTTAGCATTGGTTTACTGTGCATTCAGATGATTCTGCATTAAAACAAACAATTTTGAAGTACTATGTATGTCCGAAGTCCTAGTTAAAGGGCAAGAGATCACTCAGTGCACGCTCGTGCTTTTATCTAGGCAATTTAATTCTTTTTATGAAGCAGCAGCATCTCCTGTTTCCCTTAGGGGAGTGTTCCAAAGGCAGGAGCTTTCATTGCCAAGATGCTGCCCTGATATTTAGCCTAGACTCTGATTTCTTCTATGTCTCACCATCCCTCCTAGTTAATCGACTATATATGCATTATCCTACTCCCATCCTCAGGAGCAGATATTGGGCAGTGAACTCCCTTCATCCTTTCTGATCTTTCTAGGCTTTTAGTGAAGTTTGAAGCTTTTCTGAACTGTTTGATCTGTGAACCCCTGTGTCACAAAATGAAGTCTTGTGGATCCAGAAGTCTTTATTTAAAGTATGTGGGAATTCCTTAGAAAACACACTTAGTATTTCTTACTTTCAACTCACATTCAGTTCATGAGTTGTTCAAAGGAGAAAAATGGTGTCTATCCACTGTTCATGTCTCCTGCTTGCTAATGTGGCTGTGCATTCATTAGTTGGAATTTTCCAGAATATATGGCTTGGGAAGAATCATTAATATTTTCATGATTCCAGATGCCGATTGGCCTGTAGTATTTTTTACAGATTATTTCTTCATACGCATTCTTAAGTCAACTTAGCCTTCCAGAAAACATCTAAGAATCTTTCAGTCTGTTGAAATTCCATTTGGCCCAATGAATTTTTATTGGTGCAATTAATTCTTACCTCATACTGCTAAGCATGTTTATGTTTTTCAGATATGCACAGGCTAAGAAAGTACCACATGGCAAAGGTGATGGTCCTGCATCTGCACAGATTTCTATAAGAGAAAGCAGACTACACATAAGAGTTAGTACAAGCAATAATACAATAGTAATATACACATTTATTGAGTGCATATTATGTGCAACTCTATATAATGTGTTGCCTCATGTAATATAGATGCCAATAACCCTCTAAAGTAATATCTGTTTAAAGATAATTTTAAGTATTTCATAATAGATCATATCAAAAAATAAGATCATATTGTATATATTAAGCTTTGTGCAGTGACAGTGCCAATGAGGTTTGCAATGTGTAGGCAATGAGGTTTATCCAAGGCACAATATTGCTGATTGAAAACTCTTCCCGTATTGCATATACCACCTTATGATCTACTTTGTTTTTCCAGGTCCAATGTGGCAGACAATTTTCCATGTCAGTATCTTAAGTTCTAATGATTAGATAATACTCCACTAATCTGACTTTTACCTTTCCTATTACACATTCTTTAAGATAGTAAAGAATATGTAAATTTAACATAGATTTATTTATTCATATTGATAGACATAAATCTGTTTATAGATATGGATATACAGATAGACATAGACAAATATATATATATATTTTTTTGAGATGGAGTCTCACTCTGTCACCTAGGCTGGAGTGCAGTGGCACGATCTCGGCTCATTGCAACCTCTGCCTCCCGGGTTCAAGCGATTCTCCTGCCTCAGCCTCCTGAGTAGCTGGGATTACAGGTGCCCGTCACTATGCCCAGCTAATTTTTTTAATTTTTAGTAGAGACAGGGTTACACCATGTTGGCCAGGCTGGTCTCTAACTCCTGACCTCATGATTCGCCCACCTTGGCCTCCCAAAGTGCTGGGATTACAGGTGTGAGCCACTGTGCCTGGCTGACAAAAATATTTTACACTCCATCACATTCCAGAAAATGTTTGTACTATCATGAATTTTATCAGAACTATAGGAAAAAAAATCAATTATTTAGTTGCTTTATTTTAAAATGTCTTTCTGCAAATAACTTTATAAAGTTGATTAGCAAAATTCAAATTTTATACCATTGTTTTTATAAAGCCTTCAAAATGTCCATGAAAAGAATTAAATAACATGCATGTGTGCACACCACCCCCCAACCACACACACTTCACAAATGCCTATAATCTCCTGTTAACCTAGGATACGGTATTGGAACTGTGTCATCAAAAATGTAAATTTTGAAATCCGTATTTCCTTGAATGTTATGTAAGAACACTTACTAGCCCAGTCAAATCATTATGGGCATAAAATGATCAAGCAAAAGACTTGCTTCATTAAATTATTAAGTGTCCTAGAGGTTTGTATTATAATTAAATATAGTGATTTCAAGTATTGTTTTTCAAGCTTCAGAGTAATTAGTGAAAACATAAACATATTTAATCAAGACTTGGAGGCAGTAATTCAACAGAGCCTTGTCAAACCAAGAAACCCTATTTGGTATTTAACAGGGTGTATACATTTCAGAGGTAAATAATATATTGCAGTAAATGATAAAAAAATAGAAATTTTATTCCTGAATAAATAATTAAAATTGTTCATATTGCCAGCATGTTTTTCTTCTCCAGTGTTAGTAGTGTGCTTTATAAAATAGTACACAGCCTTGCAGCTATATAATATTTTTTGAAATTGTAGTCTTGTTAATTCATTAAACATTTATGTATACAGTGAATAGTATTGCTCACTGGAAACATGACTGGATCAGATATACTTTAAAAATACATTTTCTATTGTCCAGGAACTAAGACTATTTAATTTTTTTTTTTTTTTTTTTTTTTTTTTTTTTTTTTTTGAGACAGTCTCCTTCTGTCACCCAGGCTGGAGTGCACTGGCGCAATCTCAGCTCACTGCAAGCTCCGCCTCCCGGGTTGACGAGATTCTCCTGCCTCAGCCTCCCGAGTAGCTGGGATTACAGGCACCCGCCACCACGCCCAGCTAATTTTTTGTGTATTTTTAGTAGAGACGGGGTTTCACTGTGTTGGCCACACTGGTCTCACACTCCTGACCTCGTGATCTGCCTGCCTCGGCCTCCCAAAGTGCTGGGATTACAGGTGTGAGCCACTGTGCCCAGCCAAGACTATTTAATTAAATCATCTTCTGATGTTCAGAAAATTCTGGAAAGGATTTATATACACAAATAAAGAGAAAGTTTAGGAATAACACATCTGAAAAGATTCACTCAGTAAGAAAACAACTATACTTATTGATCTTGACTTTAAAAGAAGGAAGAGAAACTAAACTATGCCAAAATTTATTTTTTTAAGTTCAAAGCATGTATCTTATAGAAAAGTTTCTGAGGTCAGAAAATGTGCCATATTTAACTTAATGTTCAGCATGTAATACCATTTCGCATGGATATCGACACTGAGAGTTTCTGTAAGAATAACAGTGGTCTTCTCTCTACTGGAGGAAACAGTTCCATTCATTAGAGGGGTCTGCATCATGCCTATGAGTGGTCATTGTTAAAAAGAGAAGGACAAAGAGAGAGAGAGAGATTCATATTTATACCCTTTCATTAATGTACATATATGCAACTCTTCAGGTGCCAGAAATTGCATGAGGGACTGGAAACAAGACACATCTCTTGCCCTCTTGGAATCTGTTTTACCGTGTAATTAAAATATACTGTGATAAGCACTCTGCAATGAGGGCTATGAGTACAAAGGACTGTGGATCCCAAAGAAAAGGAGCTGCCCCGCCCATCCTATGGAATCAGGGAAGGTTTTCCTGATGTGTTCTCTTAGTTCCTGCTGGCGATGCCTCCTTTAGGCCACCACTGTGGCTTGTAGCCATAGTCTCTTGCCTGGTCATCCTGCTTCCTGACCCTGATCCTCTCAACTTCAAATATGATTTAGAAGTTTTCAGTGTCTCCACATTATGCTCAGGATAAAGTACAAACATTGCATCATAACTCAAAAGTTTCTTCATGACTGGCTGCCCTTTCCCTCCATCTTAATCTCTAGCTACCCTGTTGTACTTGACTGTCAAAGTGTATCAAAATACTTTGAGTTCCAAAAACGTGTTACGTTCTCTCTTAACTTCTGCCTTTTGTTCATGCACTCCCAAGTTCTAGAATAGTCTCTTTCCTCTTACTGAACATTTACCTGGCTAATTCATACTCATCCTGTAGGTCTCAGTTTGTATCTGTTCATCCAAGCCAGAACTATGAGTGTTGTCCTAGTCTCTTCCCTTTACTTCCTCCTTTCCATTCAATTCATCACCATGTCCTGAAAATTCTAAGACTAAGCATCTTTGCTGTCGGTTATTTTTAAATTTCTCCTACTTATTACAATAAAACCACACAGTTGGTATTTATGTTCCTCTTTTACAGGTGGTGAAACTGAAGCTAAGAGATATTAAGTTAGTCACTCAAGATCACACTCTTAATAACTCATAAGCTAGGATTCGAGCCAAAGTCCATTTGACTCCAAAGCCAAAATGCTCTACCACCTTGCCTTTCCATTGCCAGAGATATGCTAATGACCATTACATGCTTGTTCCAAAACAATAGTACTTTGATACTTTTCATTTTGTTTAATTGTTTCTTCCATGGTTATGAAAAAATCAGTGGCTAATGTAACTGGCACCAGACTTTTAAACATATTCATCTCTTCAACAATTCCTTTAAGATTTCTACTTAACGCAAAGGCTATTTTAAGTGAGGCAATGAGACTTGATTGATTGTTGCTACTTTATTTCTAAGGCATAGAAATGGAGAAATAGTTGGAAAGTGAATTGAAGCAGCATTACATTTTGTATCAAGGAAAAATGTATTATTTATAAAGTATTGCAGGCACACTGTAGGAAATTCATAAAATAATGACACAAAACAAGTGAAAGATAAAATCACCTGTACTTATTCCTTCCATGGATAACACTGCATCAAATTTTGCTGTCTATTTTTCTTAAATGAAGTCTATGTATCATATTGTATACAAACATATCATACCACCTACTACCTACTACTCACTGTTTTGATAAATGGGGAATATTGACATGGAAAAAACAGAGTGCTGAAATCAAAGTTCTTGCAGCATGGTAGAATTATATTTAACGGTAGAATTACATTTGTGATTTAAATACATTTAAATTTAAGGGATAAAAATGGCCTGGGCCGGGCACAGTGGCTCATGCCTGTACACTTTGGGAGGCCGAGATGGGTGGATCACGAGGTCATGAGATCGAGACCATCCTGGCTAACATGGTGAAACCCCGTCTCTACTAAAAATACCAAAAAATTAGCTGGGCATGGTGGCAGGCGCCTGTAGTCCCAGCTACTCGGGAGGCTGAGGCAGTAGAATGGCGTGAACCTGGGTGGTGGAGCTTGCAGTGAGCCGAGATCGTGCCACTGCACTCCAGCCTGGGTGACAGAGTGAGACTATGTCTAAAAAATAAAAAATAAAAAAATGGCCTGATTGAGACTGAAGCCACTGCGTCTCCATTTGTTGGTAAATTCACTTAAGGGACCTTGATCAACCTATAATCCCAAATTTGAAAATGGAAGGCTGTTGTGAATACAAAAAGTAAAATGAATGAGAGGCTACTTTTACATTGGAGGAATGTGGACTAAACAATGGGATGTAGGCAGCTGAGTATGTATGGGTAATCCTGTGTTGACTTTGACAAAGACAATGGCTATTCCTCTCAGAGGAATGCCTCCTAAATTAACAGCCATTATAATTTTAAAACCACAGAAGAATCAGGGTGAGAGGAATAACAGGGGACAATATGTTTTACTAAAATGTAGGCAGGGAAAAGAGCAGAAAATTTCACATGAATCACCATCTCCATTCTGAATCATTTTTTGCAATAATAGAAAAATTTTAAAACAACCTTGTTTCCTACTTGTATGTACATGCATTAAATGATGACTGTAAGTGAAGCAAAGTATTTGAGTAGAGATTGGATATATTTTATCTCAAATGTAGAACCACTGAAATGGTTTAGTCTTTTTCAATTTGCTGTATTCAATTTCAGCTAACAATAAGTATCTGTGAAATGAACTCCTGTCTAAACTAAGAGAAAATGTGGAATTCTTGCTTTTTTACTCTCCAGTGAAGTTTGAAATTGGTTTCTTCCAAGATTTAGTCTACAAAGTTTAGTGTAATCTATATTTTATTTCTGCTATTATTGATTTAAAATGTTTTATAAGAAAGAGAAAATTACAGATAGTTGAAGACAATGGCAACTGTTCAGTTCCATTTTCTCATATATCTTAGAAATGATATAGACTAAGAAAGGAGAAGTAAAACTTCACAGGTGTCATGCCCATGGCATAACTTGAAGACAGAGAATCACCAATTTCAAAATAACTGTGACCAGTAAAAGAAAAAACTCTGTTAAATCCTAATGCAGATCTCTCATCCTCCTGCTCCTTGCTTTCACTCTGACCTGTTTTGGGACAAGTAAAGACAGCTAGTGAACAGCCACAGGTTGGTCTAAAACCACTGCCAGAAAGACTCAGTTTACCTTAAATCTGAAGAATACTAAAAAAGTGCCTTGGTAGATCAGAGCATGAAGAGTAAGGGTTCTTTGTTTTGATGATGCCCAATTTGCCAAATTTTTAAATTCATGGGATCATAATTTTGGTGTCATATCTAAAAGTCCTTTGCCCATTCAAGCTGTCAAATGTATAGGCATAAATTAGTCCACAATATACTATAATCCTGACATCTCTAGACTCTGTGATGGTATCATCTCTCTCATTCTTGGTATTGGCTATTTGTGTTTTCTATCATTTTTGTTTCTGCTTAGTCTGATAGAGCTTTACAAATTTTATGGATTTTCTCAAATAATTCTATTGTAATGCTGGCACTGAAGCTATGCCTAACATTTCCTTGCAGACATAGATACATAGGTTATTTCTATGCATGCTTTCATGCATTCAACAGATATGTGCTGAGAACCTAACAGGTGCAGGCCCTGTTTTATGCACTGGGAATATTTTGGGGGAAAATAAATGCTTTCATAGAACCTACATTCTTATGAAAGAGACAAACAATAAACAAGATAAATAAGTAAAATGTACAGATGTTAGTGATAAGATGAAAAAAATAAAGAAGGGAATGTAAACCTGGAATGTTAGAGGTTGAGATTTTACTTTTAAATAATAACCAGGGAAGGCCTTAGTGAGAAGGTGACTGTGTTAGTCTGTTCTCACATTGCTATAAAGAACTACCTAAGACTGGGTAATTTATAAAGAAAAGAGGTTTAATTGACTCACAGTTCTGCAGGCTGTACAGGAGGCATGGCTGGGGAGGCCTCAGGAAACTTACAATCATGGTGGAAGGCAAGGCGAAGCAGGCACATCTTACATGACCAGAGAAGGAGGAAGAGAGTGAAGGGGGAGGTGATATACATTTTTAAACAACAGATCTTGTGAGAACTCACTCACTATCATGAGAATAGTAAGGGGAATATCCATACCCATATTTGATCACCTCCTACCAGGCCCTTTCTTCAACACTGGGCATTACAATTCAACATGAGATTTGAGTGAAGACACAAATCCAAACCATATTATTCTGCCCCTAGCCCCTCCCAAATCTCATGTCCTTCTCACATTGCAAAACACAGTCATCCCTTCTTAATAGTCCCCCAAGTCTTAACTAATTTCAGCATTAACTCAAAAGTCCACAGTTCAAAGTCTCATCTGAGATAAGGCAAGTCCCTTCAGCCTATGAGCCTGTAAAGTAAACAAAAAGTTACTTACTTCCAAGATGCGACAGGGGTACAGGCATTGGGTAAATACATCTGTTCCAAAGGGGAGAAATCAGCCAAAGGGAGGAGTTACAGGCCCTGTACAAGTCTGAAACCCAGCGGGGCAGTTATTAAATCTTAAAGATCCAAAATAATCTCATTTAACTCCATGTCTTACATTTAGACCATACTGATGCATGGGGTGAGCTCCCAAGGCCTTGGGCAGCTTTGCCCCTATGGCTCAGCAAAGTTTAGTTCCCATGGCTGCTCTCAAGGGCTGGTGTTGAGTGCCTGTGGCTTTTCCAGGTTCACAGTGCAAACTGTCAATGGATCTACCATTCTGGGGTCTGGAGGATAGTGGCTGTCTTCTCACAGCTCCACTAGGCAGTGCTGCAGTAGGGACTCAGTGTGGGGGCTCCAACCTCACATTTCCCCTTAGCACTGTCCTAGTAGAGGTTCCTCATGAGGGCGCAGCCCCTGCAGTAGACTTCTGCCTGGACATGGAATAGTTTCCATACATCCTCTGAAATCTAGACAAAGGCTTCCAAGCCTCAACTCTTGCCTCTGTGCACCTGCAGGCTTATCATGACATGGAAGCCACCAAGGCTTATGGTTTGCACCCTCTGGAGCAGCATCCTAAGACATATCTGGGACCCTTTCAGCCGCAGCTGGAGCTGGAGTGGCTGGGAAACAGGGAGCAGTGTCCTGAGGTTGCACAAGGAAGCTGGGTCCTGGGCCTGGCCTACGAAACCATTCTTCCCTCCTAGTCCTCCAGGCTTGCGATAGAAGGGGCTGTCACAAAGGTCTCTGAAATGCCTTTGAAGCATTTTCCCCATTGTCTTGGCTGTTAACATTTGGCTCCTCTTTACTTATGCAAATTTCTGCAGCCAGCTTTAATTCCTCTCCTGAAAAATGGGTTTTTCTTTTCTACACAGGGTCAGGCTGCAAATTTTCCAAAGTTTTATGCTCTGCCTCCCTTTTAAATATAAGTTCCAGTTTCAGATCATTCCTTTGCTCATGCATATGAGCAAATGCTGTTAGAAGCTGCCAGGCTACATCTTGAATGCTTTGCTGCTTAGAAATTTCTTCCATTAGATACCCTAAATCCATCACTCTGAAGGTCAAAGTTCCACAGTCCCCTAAGGCAAGGGCACAGTGACTCCAACCTCTTTGCAAACGCATAGCAAAAGTGACCTTTACTCCAGTTCTCAATAAGTTCCTCATCTCCATCTGAGACCACCTTAGCCTGGACTTCATTGTCCATATCACTATCAGCATTTTGGTCACAACAATTTAACAAGTCTCTAGGAGGTTCCAAATCTTTCCTCATCTTCGTGTCTTCTTCTGAGCCCTCCAAAACAATTTAACAAGTCTCTAGGAAGCTCTAAACCTTTCCTTATCTTCCTGTCTTCTTCTGAGCCCTCCAAACTGTTCCAACCTCTGTCCATTACCTGGTTCCAAAGTTGCTTTTACAGTTTTAGGTATCTTTATAGCAATGCTGTACTTCTCTGTTACCAATTTTCTATATTAGTTTGTTCTCACATTGCTCTAAAGAACTACCTGAAACTCAGTAATTTATAAAGAAAAGAGGTTCTGCAGGCTGTACAGGGAACACGGCTGAGGAGGCCTCAGGAAACTTACAATTGTGGTGGAAGGCGAAGGGGAAGCAGGAACTTCTTACATAGCCAGAGAAGGAGGAAGAGGGTGAAGCGGGAGGTGAGACACACTTATAAACAACCAGATCTCATGAGAACTCACTCACTGTCACGAGAATGGAAAGGGGAAAATCCACCCCCATGATCTAATCACCTCCCACCAGGCCCCTTCCTCAACACTGGGGATTACAATTCAACATGAGATTTGGGCAGGGACACAAATCCAAACCATATCAGTGACTTCTCAGTAAAGAAATACCTGAATGAATTGAGAGTGTGTGCTCAGGTATCAGGATAAGAGCTTCCAGGCAGAGGGTAGAGAAAAGTGCAAAAGCACAAGCAAGCTTGGTACATAGAGGATGAGCAAGCAGATCAGTGTGGCTGGAGCAGAGAGACTGAGTGAGGGAGTCAGAGAGTTAAGAGAATTAGTACAGGTGAGATTGTACTGATTATCTTAACTCTCTGACCCCCTCACTCAGTAAAGATCAGATTGTGCCAGGCCTTTCAGGTCATCGAATCTAGATCTAGTATCTAGATGCCTGGACTGGGGTGGTAGCAAGAGGTGTTCAGATTCTGGATACATTTTGAGATACAGCTCAGAATTTTGAAAAGTAAGCAGGATTTCCTGATTAAATGGTTTTGGAGTACGAAAGAAAGAAGCCCAGGACACCACCATGATTTTTTTTTCTGAGTAACTAGAAAATTGGGGTGCCACTAGCTGACATAAGGATCAAGATGGGTGAAGCAGATATTGGAGAGAACATCATTTTGTAGCATGTTTTCACCAAGTTCTCACCTGACTAGGTTATTTAGCTTAGTCTGTGTCCTCAAAGCGGTGGAAAATGAAGGTAAATATTCCACTTAGTTAAAACAGAGAAATAGAATTAAATGTTGTATTAACTGGAAGGGTCCTTAGAGGTTGCTTTATTTATCTTATTTGATTTTTTAAAATTATTTTTAAAAATTTTTGTGGGTACATAGGTGTATATATTTATGGGGTACAGGAGATGTTTTGATACAGACATGCAGTGTGAAATAAGCACATCATGGAAAATGGGGTATCCATCCCCTCAAGCATTTATCCTTTGAGTTACAAACAATTCAATTACATTCTTCACATTATTTTTAAATACACAGTTAAGTCATTATTGACTATGGTTAACCTATTGTGCTATCAAATAGTAGGTCTTACTCATTCTTTCTTCTTTTTTGTACCCTTAACCATCCCCAACTCGTCCCAAACCTTCAGTACCCTTCCCAGCCTCTGGTAACCATTCTTCTACTCTCTGTGTCCATGAATTCAATTGTTTTAATTTTTAGCTCCCACAGATGAGTGAGAACATGCAAAGCTTGTCTTTCCGTACCTGGCTTATTTCACTTAACATAATGATCTCCACTTCCATCCATGTTGTTGCAAATGCCTGGATCTCATTCTTTTTTATGGCTAACTAGTCCTCCATTGCGTATAAGTACCACATTTTCTTCATCCATTCATTTGTTGATGGACACTTAGGTTGCTTCCAAATCTTAGCTGTTGTAAGCAGTGCTGCAACAAACATGGGAGTGCAGCTACCTCTTTGATATACTGATTTCCTTTCTTTTGTGTATATACCCAGCAGTGGGATTGCTGGATCATATGGCAGCTCAATTTTTAGTTTTTTGAGGAACCTCCAAACTATTCTTCATAGTACCAATTTACATTCCCACCAACACTGTACAAGGGTTTCCTTTTCTTCACATCCTCACCAGCATTTGTTATTGCCTGTCTTTTGGATATAATTCATTTTAACTTGGGTGAGATGACATCTCATTGTAGTATTGATTGGCATTTCTCTGATGATCAATGATGTTAAGCATCTTTTCATATTTCTGTTTGCAATTTGTATGTCTTCTTTTGAGAAATTTCTATTCAAATATTATGCCTATTTTTCGATTAGATTATTAATTTTTTTTCCTGTATGGTTGTTTGAGCACTTTATATATTCTGGTTATTAATCCCTTGTCAGAGGGGCAGTTTGCAAATATTTTCTTCGATTCTGTGGGTTGTCTCTTTACTTTATTGATTGTGTCCTTTGCTGTGCAGAAGAGAGATTACTTTAAAAGCAAGGAAACAGAAGACCAAAGAGGGCAAATGATGCTTTTCTTTCAACTGAAATGGTGGCAAAAATCTGGCTGATTCTATTGATTAAGTTCCACAATAACATCTCATGAGCAGATATACCAGTATATCACAACTCTGAGCTCCAGCTAAGATCTGAGGATTATTGACTCAAACAACTTTTTAATCTAGGCCAATTCTTCTGCTTTCATTGGCCACAGTATAAATGGGAACAAATTTAACACCAGCTATGGGAATATCTAGAGAACAATATGTTGTTTATTGAACTGGATCTTCATCATAAGAAAATTCTCCTTAACAGGACCAGAAACTAATTTCCTTTCAATAACATTTGTTTTTAGGTAATAGCATTTTGGAATAAAAATGATCTAACAGCTGAGGGTTCTAAGTAGCTGTTTAACATTGGGCAAGTTAGTTTGTATCTTGGTTTCTTCAGGTAGAAATTAACTATATAATTAATAATTTTTATATATTCCCTCCTCTAGAAAAACTTAAAGCAGTTACTTGAAAAGTGATAAGGTTGAAACAATTTTAAATACCCTTCTGGAACTTAAAACTTGTGGTTCTATCATTATTACTTTGGTGGGTAAAGTGGAAGTAATGCAGAAATGTATTCCATGCATGCAAACACTTAAATAACTAGCATTCAGTCAGTGACTAATGGCAGTAATAAAGAATCACCGAGTAGGATACATAGAGGAAACATGAGCCTTCGGCAGAGTTCTCAAATTTAAATTTACTAGCATAGGAATAAAAAGACAATTAGTAAAAATGGTTTGAGTTATATCTGTAAAGACTGAAAACAAGCATTCTTAGCATAAGAGAAAAAGGGTAAGATAAGAATAATTTGTCCGTGGAAAATAGAACTTTTCTTTCATGTTATACCAAAACACCAGGGCTTTAGTCAACTAGATTTGCTTTATGGTGTACCAAAGCAATGGCTTCACTAGTTTGACTGAATTTGTTTTCCTTTTCACCTTCCTTTAGGGAAGTCATATAACTTTTATAGCTTGAACATACTATTGTAAGTAGAGGCACATTGATCACATCTCTGAAAACTGAATACAGCTGCAAATGGATATAGACAAATTCCATTCTGGTTCAACATAATGGGTAGCTTTCCAGCTACTGGCTGTTCATATTATGTAGCTTTCAGCGTAGTTCAGTGTTTTGCTTTTGTAAAATTGGTTTTAAAAAAATGTGGGCAAAAGGGGAAACATGGCAAAAAACCTTGATTGACAGCCTTACTCCTAAAGGCAATGTGGAAGAGTTCAGTGAGGGTGAGCCCTCTCTCGCCTCTGAGGTAATGTGTTCTGACCTGCTCTTTTATAGCAGAGAAGAGAGTAGACAGCAGCAGATGCATGGCCAGATGCCCTGCTGGCTACTCGGCTAGCTGCTGCAGCTCTGAGGAACCCTGCGTTCCCAGGATGAAATTCATGGTCACCCCCTGAGCAACCTACAGGGGCTCTTGCAAACTCTCAGGGAAGCTGGAGCCAGATAATGAACCACAGGTTCTGCTCTGCTTATCTCATGTTAGGAGCCTTCCTCTAAGAATATAGCAGTGGCAGTATTTCCCTTCCTTATTCTACCAAGTTTGTGCTAAGTACTTACTTTTTTTGAGCTAATTTGTATTGTTTAGGGCATGCAAAGATGGAAAAGCTATAAAAAATAAGAGAGTGCTTAACATAAAAACCAGATAATGGTTGGTCGTTGGGGTTCAGGGGAAGATAGTAATTTAAATAGGCACACAGAGGTCTTTAAAATGATCAGCGATCACATTCTTAAGTGGGGATGGGTAGGAAAATGGTGTTAATTTTGTTATTAATCTTAAAATTGTAGTTCTTTTCAGCATGTGTGCGTCACAATAATAAAAAATAAGATTTAAGAAATGAAATAGGACATCTGCAAACCTAGGTTTACAGTCTTGCCTTACCATGCATTGCTAGCATGAACTTAAGAGGGAAGTTTCTATGTATCAATCAGTTCATAACTAATCCTAGGTATTGTTGAAATCCACAAATTTTCACAGTTTTTGGGGAGGGGATATTGAAACTCTGCTTTTTTTTTTTTTTCCCAGCTGCATTTTAAAAGAAATTCAGAAAACAAAAGCCCCCAAACATTTTTCCTTATATATGCCATGCCTGTTCAGGAGTGATCTCCAAACATTTCCTCATGTAGTGAAATAACAAAGCCAACCTCACCAAATGCCGTGAAAATTAAATAAAATAACACCTATAAAGTTATTTGGTCATAGTAAAAACTTTTAATAAATATCAATTTCCATCCTCCTAGCCTTAGTGAAATTAATTTAATATATGTGTACCTACAAGTTTATATAATATTTTTATTGATAAAGCTAGAGAAACAGGGCTAAATATATAGTAAACTTATAATTTACTTGACATGATTAGTATACTCAAAATCAAACTCCATCAAATTGCTATATTTCATTTTTACTTAGGGTGGATAAGTACATTTCACTTTATGACAAGTAAAAATTTGTTTAAAATACTGTGAAATTCTAATTTTTAAAAAGTTTCTTGAAATGGAGTAAAATAATTTGAGAAACTCCTAAAAACTGTGACAAACTAGGGTGCTCTCCATTCGTTTTTCTTTTCATGTTGCTTTTTTATTCATTTGTAGATGCATAAAACATTTTGTGTCTGGCTCTGTGCTTGGCACAGGAATTCAATGATAAGTTCAGGTTTAAAGAATATAGGTAAGAAGGGAAAGGGAAATATATAGTCACAGATGAAGGTATAAGAATAGAATACACTTCAAGAATAGTGGCAGCAAAACAAAGCACAGAGTATTCCGAAGATTAAAAACATAATGCCCATTTGGCCATGTTGACATCACAGCAAGGGAAAAAACAAACGAACAAAAAAAACAAACGAGGTCAAACTGTGTTCTTTGGACACATGGTGCAGATGTAACAGCTGGCATTAAAGGAAGAGAAGCCATTTAATGATTTCTTAGTTTCTATCTCCTTTATTAAGCAGCACATCTTCAAACTGGAAAGTCTTGAATAATTATGATTAAGAAGGATTTAAAGTCCATGACAGATGAGGCATTGAATTACCTTAAGCAGAATTCCACAAATCACCAATTTCATAGTAACCCTAACAGGTAACTGCTATCCTTGATGCTGTTCCCTTTCCATTTTTACAGTTAAGGAATCCGAGGCTCAGAGGGATGACACAGGTAGTAACTGACAGAGTAAGGATTCCCAACTCAGCATGTCTTTCTTTAAAGCTTTGTTCTTCCAAATATTTTGCAAGGTTCCCCCAAAGTTTTCTCAAGTTTAGGTCCCTAAGGACTCAGTTCTCAGTTTCCCTCAATTTGTCCACAGTTATTCTCAACTTGAGATCTTGAATTATATAAGCTCCAAACCCTTCAGAACAAAACCTTTTGGGGCAGCACTCCAGTCTCCGAGTTTTGAAGCTTGAATCTCCTAAATTGGAATCCTGAGTTGTTAAGGAATTACCTTAATGTTTACCTTTCTGCCCTACAGTAGAAGTGCTAAGTGCTAAACTGTGAATATCAATGGATGTTTAGCTTCTAAACCTGAGTGCTAGACCTTTAGTTAAATTGAGCCAGGAACCAGAAATCCTGTTGGGGATGGGAACTCTTATGTGTTCCAGCCATAATAAACATGTTTCAGGGTTTTTTCTGGGCTGCTGACTTAAACAACTGTGATTTTCTCTGCCTGCGGGCTGAGTCTCCTCTTCCCTCCTCTCAGCTAACTCTCCTTCATTCTTAGGCTAAGTGACATGTCCTCAGAAGGCTTTCCCTGACCTTCAGATTGGGTTGAAAACTGTTCGCTAATCATTTATATGCCACACTACTTCCTTTTTGGTAACATTCATCACCCTGTAGTCTTTTGCTTATTCTCTTTTTTTCTGCCATACCCTTATTTTTCTGTGGCTGTACCCCCAATGTGCCTAGCACAGTGCCTAGAACATGTTGAAGCTGAGGTTCAGTAAATATTTGAATTGATGAATGAATGAATGAATGAACTGTTACGATCCCGGTGGTGGTGGTGGGTGTGAGGGTTGATAATGATGTCTGAAATCATATCACATCAGCAAAGAAAAGCATTTCACAATTTTGGTTTCAATAAATGAAAGCTATGTGCTGCATGGTCCTGCCAATTTCCCTATCCATGTACTCTGTTACACATAGCAGTCACATATAGAGTGAAACCTGTACTGTGAGCATTTGGAGCTATCCCCCATTGTGGAGAGTTAGAGCATGTTCCAGACCTATTATCAAAGTCTTTCTTCAGCACCATTATCTCTGGGAATCAGCAGCTTCAGCTTGTGCTCTTCACATTTTGAATGTTTCTATGACATCAGATTATCCTTGTTCTCCCCCTCCACATAAGAGTTGTTCATCCTAAGCCTCATATGAACATCAACTTAGAATTTCTATGGATGAATCTTAGTTACAAGTTAATTTTTTAAGATAATGGACTGCATGAACTTGAATGTGGGTGTCTTTCTTGACAGCTTAAAGAAGGGAAAAATAAGCTCAGAAAGGCGTGAACTGATGATGCCGTGGTTACCCATCATCAAAAATACACTTACCATTTTTTTGGTGCATATGTTTTCATCAGTAATTTCTTTTCCTCTCTCTCTCTCTAGTAGTTTAAAATCTTTTAAAAATTATTTCAGTAGGTTTTTTTGGGAACAGGTTGTGTTTTACATGTATAAGTTCTTTAGTGATGATTTCCGAGATTTTAGTGCACCCATCACCCGAGCAAGGAGTTAATTATGGCAAAGTCAAATTATTGTATCTAGAGCATATGCTGGGTGTTGTTGGCTTGGTCATCCTGGCCTACTCTTCATGTTTTGCATACTGTTCACTGACTGTGGAATAGCACCAATGCAGACCTGTGTGGACTGCATCAATGGGCTTCTTTGTCCCCCAGCACTAGTCTGAGTTCAGCCCATCAGAGGCACTTGTGGGACATCAGAGGGCAGGAGAGTGAGGTCAGAGTATCAGTTCCCTTGGCTCTCTCCTTGATGGTGGGCTGTCACCCTTCATAAAAGGTCAGGGCCACTGTCAGGTGTCCCTTGTCTTATGGTTATCCTGTTCTGGTAACTGTTCCCTCATTATGCCCCTTCAGACTTAAGCCTACATTGTCCTAGATGTGGGCACTTCATGGTGCCATGTTGGATTTCCCTAACTTCTGCACACATACTCCTAGAGTTCCTTCATTAAGTTTTTTCAGATTGTCTTATAATTGAAGTGTGTTTTTTCCTCCCCAGAATCTATCTTATGCAGAGGAATTGGAAAATGTGCTTGTGTAATACACATGATTATGGCAGTCATTGGTAATAGAAGCAAAGAATTTAAACCTCTTCTTTGATGAGATAATTTGGATATAGTTTGCTGGTATTACAAAGAAACTTTTTAATATTCCCAAGAGTACTCTATTTTGTTCTTAAAGCTTTGTTCTTCCAAATATTTTGCGAAGTTCCCCAAAGTTTTCTCAAGTTCAGATCCCCAAGGACTCAGTTCTCAGTTTCCCTCAACTTGTCCTTAATTATTCTCACCATAAATGTCTGGCCCCAGAACTCTTCCAAAGAGCATTTCAAAGTAGGAAGACATGACACATGAAATAAATTAAACCACCAAGGAGAAACTAAAAGGGAACAATGACATGTCAGATGTTGTTTTATAAAAAGGCAAGTTCCTATAACTTCCGTTATTTACTCACAATTTCATTCTCTCACACAGTTTGAGTTCTAATTTACACAAACAAGATGTCAATTGATGATACAAATGAAATGATGATACAAATGAAATGATGACCAAAAATTTGTTACATGCACCTGAGATTTTTCAGTCACACTTTTGCTGGCTCCCAACTGAAAGTGACAAGTAGCTCAGGCTCTTACCATTTCATTCATAGAATACTAAGGCAGGGTGTGATGTAGTGTGACTGATCAAACAGAAAGTTAGTATTTGAAGAAATGAGAAGAGTTCGTGAGGAGAATTGAAACTAATTGAATCAAAATGAAGAATTGCTATCTAGAAGACTATCTGGAAGTTCAAGGGATTTGGGAGTTCACTGTGAAGATGGGTGCTCACTCTCTCACCCTCTAAACAAGAGGGAGAGAGAACAGGGTGAGAAAATATTAGTTTTGCCTTTATTTTTATTTTTATTTGTTTTGTTTTTTGAGACTGAGTCTTGCTCTGTCGCCCAGGCTGGAGTGCAGTGGCGTGATCTCGGCTCACTGCAACCTCTGCCTCCTGGATTCAAGCTATTCTCTCGCCTCAGCCTCCCAAGTAGCTGGGATTACAGGCCCCCACCACCATGCCTGGCTAATTTTTGTATTTTTTAGTAGAGACAGGGTTTCACCATGTTGGCCAGGCCGATCTCAAACTCCTGACCTCAGGTGATCCACCCACCTAGGCCTCCCAGAGTGCTGGGATTACAGGCGTGAGCCACCGCACCTGGCCCTAGTTCCATCTTTAAAGTCAAGAAAATCTCTGCTTCTGGATCATGAACAAGTCACAAGGATGCCATTAAAAACACGGCTTTCAACTTCCTTTGTCCCCTGTTGAGCTCACTACTTATTTGAAATGAATATAAAATATTATATTTACACTAGAACACACTGTGGCTCAACCTTTATATTTTGTTCCTTTTTTTCTGTGTAGGGTTGTACATTGTAGTCGTTTGCAGTCAGGTTAATAGGGAACAAACAAGCTCTAAACTTTATTCCTTTAACGGGAGGGATTAATGTATTCCAGTTATGTACTGAGAGTTTACAATGTGTCCCTCTGCAAAGAGGGGTGAATTCAGTGTGAATAAGGCAAAATCATCATTGCTCTCATAGGACTAAGGAAAACCACTTTAATTGTTTATTGCTTCCTCAACCCCAGAGGAAGAGCATAGGGTATGTGCCCAGAGATTAAGTAGTCAGGGCAAAAACAGTGTCAGTGTTGTAAAATGAGAACAAATGACTTCTTTCATTCATCTCCCTAAAGTGGTTTGCAAACTTGCTAGTTGTGTATAATGTTAATCTCTAAATATCTGAGTCTAATTATTCCCATTGATAATTGTGCATGTAATAAAATGCAAATTCTGGAATTTCTTTTATTTCTACTTTCCTAGGATGAATCTACATTACGCTTACGGCTGACTACACTGCCTGGAATAGTTACATTCCATTTACAATTTTAGAACTTCTGCTGTAATAGAATTGCGCTTTAAAATATTTGTAAGGATTTTTAAAGCACAAAGTCAAAGTTAAGCTAAGAACTTAATATGGAGCTTAGTTTGTATAAAAGCAGTTCCATGTTATAAAAGTGTATCATAGTTGAACAGGAAGTAGAGAGAATTACTACACATGCTGTGGACTCTAGCATGCAATCCACTCTACTCAGAAGCTAATTTGCATTGCTGGCATTTTCAATAGAGATGGATTATTCCATCTCTCACTATCTGGGGCAACAAATACTAAAAGGACCAGGAAAATGAGGTATGTAAAAACATGGTTTTCATGACCTAATCTACATTTGAGTGCCATAGGGGTGGTGGCTAATTACTCTTTCTTAGAACCAGTATTTATATGTTGTGATAAACACCTTGTAAAAATACAGACATGAAAATGTAGGTTACTAATCTTTTAACCATGCTAAATGTGGCTAAATGGGTGAAGAAAATTTCTTAATAAATATTTTCATAAATAGAAGAGCCGAATTTGAAAAGTGTGCCCTTTAGCTGAAATGAAAATGTCTTTTGTTGAAGTAGTGCTATGGAGCTATGGGCTGAGTTGTTCCTCTTTTTAACAGATGATTTTGCTAGGTTTCATTTGCTATTAATGTAAAATTCTACAACATAGTTTTATAAAAACCATTTGCAGAGAGGTTTGTAATATAATCTAGTAACATCTAGTATCTTTCCTGAATTGCTTTCAAATATCTGTTACTTAAAAAGTTGTTTTACACATTTTGCTTTTGCATAGGAGAGGCAGGGAGTAAGCAACACCACTTGTGACATAAAAATACAAGTAGAATCTTTTATTGCTTCTCCAGGCTGCAGTTAAGAAAGATAAGGAGAGCAGCAAAGCATGCGTTTTGTTCTGTCAACAACATACAAGCAGCTTTTACTGTGTCTTACTACTCATGCAAGGGGTGCTGAATCCATTGGGCCTGCATTTGTAATATGCCTAAAACAATAAAAATTCATTGTGCCTGCTGTTGTAATATTCCTAAAGTAATCAAAAACAAACAAAAATGTATCAGATACATTCTGACTTTTCAGATACAGAATGACCAAGTTGTAATTCTGTCACAGACTCATATATAGTTGACAGAGTGCTAAACAGATTATGATAATCTAGGCCTTTTTATAAAAATGTATCTAAAAATTATATCATTGCATATGATTAATATGTGTGGTCACAACAACTAAGACAGAAGATGCTTTAAAACTGAAAAAAAAAATTCTACGGAAATATCTTTGCTGTTCCTTCAAGAAGTTATAGGTACAAAAGCCACAGTAATTTAGAAGGAAATAAGATACATCATTATGATTAGTGGCTTGCCAAGATAGAACTTGTCATTTTTCAAATAAATGGGCAGGAAAGTCATAGATTGTTATTTTAAAATCTTAGAATAAAAGATGTCACAACTCAGACATTCTATTTAGC
Source organism: Homo sapiens (assembly GCF_000001405.40). NCBI lineage: Eukaryota > Metazoa > Chordata > Mammalia > Primates > Hominidae > Homo > Homo sapiens. Next base: position 101,509,511 of record NC_000011.10, on the reverse strand, counting down.
TCAATGTAAACTTAGTATTGGATGAAAAAATAAAATTTTGTAAACCAGATTAAAAATTGAGATACAAGTAAAGTTGCTAATTCTTATTTTTCTTTCTTTAAAAAGACAAACAAAGGGCAGGTGTGGTGGCTCATACCTGTAATCCCAGTATGTTGGGAGGCTGAGGTGGGAGGATACTTGAGCCCACGAGTTTGATACCAGCCTGGGCAATATGGCGAGACCCCATCTATAAAAAAAATACAAAAATTAACTGGGTGAGGTAGCATGTGCCTTTAGTCCCAGCTACACAGGAGGCTGAGGAAGGAGGATTGATTGAGTCTGGGAGGTTGCGGCTATAGTAAGGCAACAGAACGAGATCCTGTCTCAAAAAAAAAAGAAAAAGACAAAACAACTTACATCAATTACCATCTCAGTCCTTGCCTTTTTTTCATGGGTCTTCTTATTGCATAACAGCTGAAAAATGATGAAGTCCAAGTGTCCTTCTTATTTTTATAAGTGCTATATATGTGCTTATTATTATGGATGTGGCTGTAAAAAAATTTAAATCCAACCTAAAATGCTTTCCACATTCATAATTTCAATTACCTCTGAAAGTAGTCCTTTGAGATAGGTCAGAATAATTATTTCTCCCATTTTAATGGATGAAAAAAAATGGAGCTTGTTCTTGATGTTTTGATATGTTACTATTTTGTGTCAGTTTTGTGTCATTTTTTTAGTTACATGAGAACTTATCTTGCAAGTTCTCACTCCCAGTACTTTCATCTTACTTTTATAGATCCCTGATCCTATTTTGTTTCTCCCTTAAATTTACAGTTTTTCTTTTTCAAAGCATTCTTCATGTTTGGAAGATACTGTCTCTCCCCCTAATCTTTGAACTTCCTCTTGTCTACAATAGAAACTACGCAAAGCAATAAATACAGAAGATAAGAGAGAGGAAGTGAAAGCCTAAAGAGGTTAGTAGAAGCCAGAAAAGTGACAGAGAGAAGGGAAGAGGGTTAAGAATTTCAGTAGGAAGATGATGTTTCCTCATGTAACAAACCTTGATGATCTCCTGTCTCTTCTACCTCATCCATCTTGTTAACTCAGAAATAATGTGATTCTTCTAGAAACTCACCGTAACTCAGACATCACCTTTTGCCAAAACCAACATTAGGCTCACTCTAGTTTTTATAAGGGGAAATTATACTCTCTTAGAAAAGACATTATAAGGAATATTTCTTTAAAAAGAAGCAAAGAATATCTACTAAGAATCACTAGCTATACGAGGAAAAATTCTACTATGAAATACAGAGACCAAAGCAAACAAACATAAAAAAGCAACTCAGGAGTAAGTTCTCTAAATTGTGATGTGTGCAATCTTTAACATCCCCAGAGAGAGAAGAAAAAATGTTTGTGCCTTTAAAAGCAGAAAAGTCTTATAAAAAGTAACATTTGAAAATAAAGGGTGTTTTTGAAAATTAAAAATATAATAGCAATTTTCATAGATATAATCTAAAGTTGAAGAAATTTCCCAGAATATAATAAATAATATTGAACATAAATAATTGGAAATAGAAAAGATAAGAAAATTAAAGGACAATTACAGGATGTCCAACATCAAAAAGAAGGAGTTCCAGAAATGGTACATTGAAAGCAGAAAACAAAATGATCAGATAAATAGGGCAAGACTATTTCTAAGAAAAGGACACTTTTTATTCCAGATTAAATGGGCAGCACTGTGGAGAAGAGACTCCCTTCAATAAACAACCATGTAATTTTAGGACACCAGAGACAAAGACAATATCCAGAATCAAAATTGCATCATGCTTCTCAATAGTAGCCACAAAACTATAATTTATTAGAGCAAGGCCTCCAAAATTATCCTCAACCTTGAATTCTCTACCCAGCCAAACTATCAGTTAAGTTTAGAGGTAGGACAAAGTCAGTTTTAGATGTACACGTTCTTTAAAAATTCACCTATGCATGCTTTATTAGACAGCTGTTGGAAGATGTGCTGTACTAGAACAAAGAAGTCAACTCAGATAAAAGAAGATCTGGGATACAGAAAACAAGGACCCCAATACAAAAGCAAAGTGAAGAGAATCCTTGGAATGATACCAAAGGAAGATTCAAAGAGAACATACATGCATCAAGTCTAGACAGCAACTGCTGTCTAGATTTTCCAAAATTGAAAAAAAAAAATACCCACTTAATATGTAGAATGTATTAAAATAAGACTTATATTGATGGAGAAGAGAGTTTGATTGAATTAGTCATATGTATATAGAGCACTGAGAAAATGAAGAGAATTTTTATCTATTAGGTTTAAGGTTATAGGGAAGCTGTACCTGAAAAGACACTATAGTATACCACTTAGCTATGATTAGCACTTGCATTGTCATGTTTTAAACAGTAAATAGTTATCTAAAAAAAAGTCATGATATAACAATTCTGGAATGATAAGGGACCATGAAGGGGGTCTGTGTGTGTGTGTGTGTGTGTGTGTGTGTGTGTGTGTGTGTGTGTTAGAGAGAGAGAGAGATACGTGAAGGTATGGTGTAATGGGAAGTCCATAGGTAATGCCAAACCTGAAAAATCAAGAAGTAACAATATAACCAAAGCTATGTGGTTATAACATTTAAAATTATAAAATAACCAGCTAAAATAGTTAAATTGAAATGTATCACCTCTGGAGATCAAGACATAGAATAAACTAAAATATGCACATGTATAACTTTACTAAAATTAAAAATGGAATTAAAAACAAAGTAATAGCTATGGGACAAAATAGTTACAGATGCTATTCTCTTATAATAAAAGTTGCATATGTATTATCTAATGACCCATTTTAGAAATTATTAGGTTGTATAACTTGATATCGGCCCTTCATGTCATTTTCGAAACTTACAAAGTTGTCTCTTTGAAAAAAACATCAGTTTGGTTGATTTTGAATAGGACTTGGATAGTTAAAGGAATCACTGTTGAATGAAAATCTATGAAAAATATTTGTCAATATGGTGGTATACTCTTCAAGCTCCTCCAAGAAGCAAAATCTGTTTGTGAGTTGCTGAAACTTTACTATCTTCCTTTCTATTCCTGTCCATCACACTGCCACAGACAGCACTGTCTGGAGATGTGGAATCAAGACTGATAAAGGCCAGTAGGGAAAGCAACTAAGATTCTCCAGACCTGAACATATTGGAGGGAAAGATAGCTTATGAGGCCCTTGGATCTTTTTATTGTCCTCTTTATACTGGGAAGTTTGTGACCGTTTTTAAAGAGGGATGCCTCTTTAGCCTCCCCTATAACCTGGCCCTGTTCCAGTTCTGCAAAAACATGCCTTCTTTGGGTTCAGTTAGTGATACTGGTAAGAGTTGAACCTCTAATTGTAATGAGATCCCTTGAAGCTCAAAAGACCTTAAGACACGAAGTTATGAATTAATAACGAAAAAATCTTCATTATAGCATTTTGATCAGAGGAAGAATCACAGCCCCCTTCCTTTTTTTTTTTTTTTTTCTTTGATATAGGATCTTGTTCTATCACCCAGGCTGGAGTGCAGAGGCATAGTCATGGCTCTCTGCAGCCTTGATCTCCTGGGTTCAATTGATACTCTACCTCAGCCTCCTGAGTAGCTGGGACTACAGGCATGTGCCACCATGCACCACTAATTTTTCTATTATTTGCAGAGATGGGGTTTTGCCATGTTGTCCAAGCTAGTCTTGACTTCCTGGGCAAGTGATTCGCCCACCTTGGCCCTGCAAGGTCCTGGGATTATAGGCGTGAGCCATAGCACCCGGCTCACTTTCCCTTCTTATCACAGATTGAAGGACTACGTTGAAGGCTGGCCACTGCTCTGACCACTGCCTGCACCATAGAAGTGTTTTTTCCTACCTGACAACTTGATTATAATTTTCTCCAGTCTGCAGTGATTTTTAGGACAGCAGAGTTCAAGCATTTATTGCCCATATTAATGAAACCTATACTCTAACATCTAGCCGATACCTCTGCTAGAGAAAACTTTCTACCTATACCTAACCCCTGTCTCACCCTCCTGAAGTACACTCTCACCTGACTTCTACTTATCCTTCCATTTTCAGCTTGTCATTTTCTCTCAGAATCTGGGATAGATGCCCCATTATAGGCTTATCATTATAATTAAGCAGCTGATAACAAAGCAGTATGCTGATTGCCCATCTCTCTCTTTGGTCTATAAGACTTGTAGAGGCAGGAAAAAGCATCTATTTGTTTTTTCACTATTGGCCTTCTTGGACCGAATATAGTTCCTAGACCTGGCATCAGAGGGACTCAATAAATATTTGTTAACTTGAGTGGATTTGCTATTGTCTCTACTTCTTAAAATGTAGTCTTATATTCTCTATCACATTGTGACTGCATATGGATAAGAGGGTATGGATATAGACATCTTTCCTAAGTCTATACCATCTATATAGTACATTAGTTTCTATCTGAATGGCACAGAGTAATTATGGCAATTGCTAGTCTCCACCCCAAATGGGAATGTTAAAATCTGCAAAGTGCTTGGCTTTCTTAGACGTGAAGTTCTTGGAATCCATTAACAAATAAATGCATCTTCATTTTATAATATAGTAGGTCTAGAGATGATGAGACAACATCTAATATACTTGAGGATTGTATTAGATGAATGGCAAGTCATTTGGCACACTAAAATGCTCTTAATGTGATTTGTTTACAATCTTTCTGTTTTATTGCAGCCGGGGATCTGACAACAGACTGGCTCACCGGCGGCAGACAGTTCTCCGTGAGAAGGGGAGAAGGTTAGCTAATCGAGGACCAGCATACATGTTTAGTGATCGCTCCACAAGCCTATCTATAGAGGAGGAACGCTTTTTGGATGCAGCTGAATATGGTAACATCCCAGTGGTGCGGAAGATGTTAGAAGAATGCCACTCACTCAACGTTAACTGTGTGGATTACATGGGCCAGAATGCCCTACAGTTGGCAGTGGCCAATGAGCATCTGGAAATTACAGAACTTCTTCTCAAGAAAGAAAACCTCTCTCGAGTTGGGGATGCTTTGCTTCTAGCTATTAGTAAAGGTTATGTTCGGATTGTGGAAGCAATTCTCAGTCATCCGGCTTTTGCTGAAGGCAAGAGGTTAGCAACCAGCCCTAGCCAGTCTGAACTCCAGCAAGATGATTTTTATGCCTATGATGAAGATGGGACACGGTTCTCCCATGATGTGACTCCAATCATTCTGGCTGCCCACTGCCAGGAATATGAAATTGTGCATACCCTCCTGCGGAAGGGTGCTAGGATTGAACGGCCTCATGATTATTTCTGCAAGTGCAATGACTGCAACCAGAAACAGAAGCATGACTCGTTTAGCCACTCCAGATCTAGGATTAATGCCTATAAAGGCCTGGCAAGTCCGGCTTACCTGTCATTGTCTAGTGAAGATCCAGTCATGACGGCTTTAGAACTTAGCAATGAACTGGCAGTTCTGGCCAATATTGAGAAAGAGTTCAAGGTAGGTCACTAACAATAGAGACTTCACCCTCCACAAGCCAGAGTCAAGGTGTATTTACCAGCTTCCCCCATGTGCTCAGCACTGTGCTAGTTACTGTGGACACTAGGTCATTTTATAAGTTTATTCAACAAGCTCTTTATTATAATCATTGTAGCAAAAGTTGTGATCGCTACCATTTAGTGATGCTCTACTGTCTGCCAGACATTTTGCATTTATTATATCTAATCTTTATCCGTTCCCCTTGAGAAGCTATTATTAGTTCCTGTCTAGATGGGTAAATGAAGGCATAGAAAGTTTCGCTAATGCCCAATATCAACAAATGGGAAATAACACAGCTGGGTTCAGAATCCAGGTATACTGCACTCTGAAAAGCCCAGGCTTTTTCCTCCCACGAAACACTATTTCCATGTTCAGAGCACAGTGATAGATGCTGTTGAGGTCAGAAAGAAGAATAAGCTTAAGGAAGTCACAGTTGACTAGAGAGACAAATGCACACATGAATAAAAAATAAACAAAACTACCAGGTAGAGGTAAAAGCAACATACTGTAGAAGTTCAGAGAAAACAATATTTAATTCCTGTTAGGCTGCAGGGAAGTATGTGTAAGATGGCATTTCAGCTGTATATGGTGGAACAAGTAGGATTTTGGAAGGCAGAGAATGAGGGAAAAGATATTTTAGGCCAAGGTGTACCAGCAAAAACAAAACATGATAGATATGAAATAGTAGGAAATTAGAACTTTGACCAGTCAATCTCTTAATAAGAGGTATCTGGAGAGATAAATGGTGTCAGATGCTGCCATTAACCATAAGGGCTGTGCTCCACGTGGAGAGGATGAAAGCTTGCATCCCTAGCTAAGATCTTCCCCACAGGTATCTCTAAACTCCCTCTACCTGTTTGAGGTAGTTCTGATCCTCTAATGCCCATCACCTTTTACCATGGATTATTGTTATTTATGATGCACTTATCTCCTTTACTAAATAATGCAGGTTGGAAACAGGTTTGATTCATCAAGTACAATGTTTTACAGAAGTGAATATTGGTTTCATTTTTTTTCTATATGCTGAGAGAATGCTTGTTTCTATACTCTTTTCTTGAGGGATTACAGCCCAGTCTTTCCTGGGCAGCTTCTTGGTGCCACTGTCACTGATGTTTCACCCCAGTATCAGATGTCATGTGTCTATCTATCCTCAGGTCCAGTCTATCCAGAAAGGCTAGAAGGAGGAAAATGGTTACTGAAACGCTCAGTATGTGCTTGGCTCCCAAGGTAGAGGAAGGTGCTTTTCCTCCAGCTACCTGGCAGCTAACAGGGCAAGACAAGTAAATGGTCCTTCTAACCCTGTCTCAGATTCTTACCTACTTTTCGCTTGACTCCTAGGACACAGAGACTTTCACCTGATTCAAATTAAAGCATTTTGAACTCTGATTAATATTAATTATTTTCAAAATCTATATTACTAATTTTGCCTAATTTCAACATTTCTGTTTCCTTTACTGTATCCTTGTTTACATGCTTTCTCTAAACCACTGAAGACTATTATATTCTTTATTTGTTCATTAATTCACTGGCCTACATCTTTGGAGTCCCTGCTCTTTTTTACTGGGGACAGTTGAGGATGAGGATGGCGAGGTAGTACAAAATACAAAGACAATTCAGTCAGCAATCCTGTCCTCAATTGGTTTATAATCCAATGTGATAGAAAAGATCTGTGTGTAGTAACTATCATATTAGGCATGACCTTATGGAGTGAGGAGGGGGCTAGTGGCTGAAAGGTGGGAAGAATCACATTTAACCAGGATGTAAATTCTTCATGGTCCCTAAATGCATTGCAAAATGTTGAGGCCTCCACACGATGATGAAGACGTAAAGATCTGGACATTCTTCTGTTTGTTCATCACACCCTTCTTTCTGCTGTCATCAGTGTGAAGTGTATGGATTAGCCACTTTCCGCCCATTTGTGCTTCCCTATTTGCTCCATTGTCTTGAGCAGTTACCTAGAGCCTCTGGACATGCATACCTTTTTGCTAATGCCCTGCCTCTATGAAGGTTTCAAGGCAAAGAAAGGATAAATCTAACTGAAAACATAAATGTATTTAGGAGTATGTTACTAATGTCTTTTAAAAATCACTTTCAAAAATTAGATTACTGTTAAACAAGAGTAGCAGTTTAAAAAATGCTTTTATAAAGTATATCCTAGAACTTGACAATTTTTATAATTAGAAACCTAACTCAAAATTACTGCACAAGGAGAAAGGGCAGTTACTGGCTTGATTTTTAAGGCCTTTTTACAAAAACAAACCAGAAAAGATTTCTTCCTTGCCAGGTATCAAGCATTAAAACAAATATTCTTTTTCTCTGAGATTAGTTTGGACAGCAGATGAAAGAACTGCCATACAAGGGTGAGCCTCCCTTGCCTTTGTGTGTAAACTCACAGGGAAATAACATTCCCCCACCACCCATGGCTACTGGGACACTAACTCTTGTCCCAGCATCCCAGTCTCAGTTTACAGCAGAGTGGGACCTTACAGGAATAGAGAAGTTGGTGTCTCTGAGGTGAGGTTTGCTGCTGAGTTTGCTGCTTCTACCCTTAAAAATAACTTCTTTTTTCTTACTTTAAAGTAATATATAGCCATGTTAGAAAAAAATAATATAAAAATGAAGGAAGTTTAAAAAATCATTCCTAATTTTAGCCATCAAGAAATAAACACTGATACACTACCAACATGCTAGCACATATCCTTTCAGTCTTTTTTTTTAAAATCTTTTTAAATAGTCAACTCCCTTAGAGTCTCAGGAAATAAAAGTCACTGAGGGCTGGATAGCTTAGGCCTGGTCAGCCTCACAGGGACCTGAGAGATTGTATTGGCCACAGGAGATCCTCCCTGTTCATGGTATGTATGTATGTATGTATGTATGTATGTATGTATGTATGTATGTATGTATTTTGCTCCCTTTCCATCTGAAAGATGTTTGAAAAACTGTGTTCATTCACACAGTTTAAAATTGATACCTATTTTTTGTCTTCTGTGAGTATAAATATTTTTAAGGGATATGATTTCTGCATGGTGTACATATTGCCATTTAAGAATAGAACTCTTCAATTCTCCTTCAGATATATGCAAAGGACTCTAAATGCTGTAATGATTTCATGCCCACCATCAACTAAGCGAACAACATCTTCTTTAATGTTCAGAATAGCTGCATCTTTCCTTTTACTCCTTGAGGTTATATTTTCAGTCCAATTTCCTTCATAAATGTGATTCCTCATATTATAGCTTTTATTATTGTAAAGTCTCTTAAAATCCCTTTATATAGATATCAACATGTATATCATATATAAATAAAATACATATAACACACACATATATATGAAATTTTAGAATTTGTTTCATTTCCTCTTGCTAAAAGGCTCTGGATATTGAAAATACTCTGGAAAGAGTTGTCTTTATATCTATTATTAGTATATTAGATCAAAAACTACAAAAATCAACCCAGCTGTTAAAAATAATTAATATGGGCCGAGAATGGTGGCTCACACCTGGAATCCCTGCACTTTGGGAGGCCGAGGTGGGTGGATCATGAGGTCAGGAGTTTGAGACCAGTCTGACCAACATGGTGAAACCTGTCTCTACTAAAAATACAAAAAAATTAGCTGGGCATGATGGCACACACCTGTAATCCCAGCTACGCAGGAGGCTGAGGCAGGATAATCACTTGAACCTGGGAGGCGGAGGTTGCAGCGAACTGAGATTGCGCCACCGCACTCCAGTCTGGGCAACAGAACAAGACTCCGTCTCAAAAAAAAAAAAGAAAGAAAAAAAATACACATTTTGAAAAATAAATTTTAACTATGTGACACAATTCTTATTGGATGTATTTTTTAGTGGTACTCATCATGTTCACACTTTGGCTATATATTTAAGGAAAGAAAAATTGTGTGTGTGTATATATATATATACACACACACATATTTTATATTGTATATATATACACATTTTATATTGCGTATATATATACACATTTTATACTGTGTATACATATATACACATTTTATACTGTGTATATATATACACATTTTATACTGTGTATATATATACACATTTTATACTGTGTATATATATACACATTTTATACTGTGTATATATATACACATTTTATACTGTGTATATATATATACACATTTTATACTGTGTATATATATATACACATTTTATACTGTGTATATATATATACACATTTTATACTGTGTATATATATATATACACATTATATATTGTGTATATATATATACACATATACACAATATAAAATGTGTATATATATATACACATTTTATATTGTGTATATATATATACACATTTTATATTGTGTATATATATATATACACATTTTATATTGTGTGTGTATATATATATACCATATATACGTATATATATACGTATATATACACCATTTATGTATATATATGTAGCTAAAAATTAGTTGGTATGGCAGCCAGTATGTTATTTTAGTCTTTGTTGATAGGATATATAAATTATTAAAGGTTTTATGGAATAAAATTAAAAAAGGATAAATAGTAGTAGGAATAAATATTTCTAGATATGATTTGATAACTATCTTACTAGATTAAAATTCTAAATCAGAAAGAAATCACATAAAATTTCATCCATGGGCTTTGACCATTTTCCTGTAAAAATTTTGAGTTCTGCAAACCATTCCAAGTCACATTTAAAAGAATCACTCTCACTAAGCTTTTCTGCCTTGCCTGTTTGAGATACTTTTCTAGTGAATGATACATCTGAAAGATATTAAGAATAATATAAGGAATCATTTACATTTCAATACATGACAAAGCATTGTTTGGTATTCAGTATTCCCTGCTGATGCTGTCTTTGCTTAACTTTTTCTGGACTCTCACTCAAGAAGCGTTCATTCTTTGACAATTGTTGGCAAATGAAGAGGCAAAGTCATAAAAAATGGCCCTTGTTTCTGTCTCCACCCTGCACTGTCCATCTGAAATCAGAACATCCCAACATGAGCCAAGGTGCTGCATTTCTATCATTAAGCTTCATCTTCAGCAGAAATGTGTATTTATTCAGGGAAGCCCTTCAGGGTTTATAGTAGCTGGATACTGTAAAAGGGGGACTCTCTGTTGTTTAAAGGGGGACTCTCTCTTGCTTGCTACATGGGTGGGTGGGCGAGCAAAAGATGTATTTTCAAGGAAATCCATTTTAGGAAAGTGGAGATCTGCAAATTGATTCCCTAAAAATTATCCATATTCTACAGCCACTTGGAAAGTATTAATGTACCTCTGTTTGAAGACGATTAATCTATTTTATGACAGAGAATGGGACTTTTCATAACGATTTTGTAAGCTCCAATACATAGCTTGCTTTTCTAAGCACCTTCCAAACTGTCCCCTACTACAATAACCCATAGTACATTAACAAAAGAGACCATGGGAGACGTTACTGGGTTTCTGAGGCAGTTTTATCCTGTGCCTTGAACCTTCTAGGCCTAAGTGTTTTGTTACTCATATCACCACATGTATAGCTGGTTCCAAGCAGAGGTGACACGAGACCTCAGCAGAGAAATCTAACAATTAGATGGAGCCACAGGAACAAGAAGAAAACCAAGAGATGTTGGGGAGTTGCAGGTTTTTAAAGAAAATGGGAGAAAACATTAATACAATTTTTACCCATTCAAATTCAGTTTTTATATTGAATCTTTATAAATAGTTTTAGGCTTTGGTAGCATGAGACCTCAGCCATCTTAAGCTTAAAATTGGGTTAAGACAATTTTGGCAACACAAAGTCAGTAAAAAACAGAAAACCCAAAACTTTGACTGGTTTTGATACCAAAGAAGGACAGCAAAAACTCTTGCTTTCTCTCCTTGACTTGAGTTTTAATTCAAATAAGGGACAACAGACTTAAAGACAAGGAGATCAATACCAGGGATGGTCTTGTCCACAAACACATTCCCCAGCATTCTTAATTTCATTTTAGTTCTCAATATGTGCCCAGGACTTATGTCTCTAATTCCCTCTTTTTTTGAACCTATTTACCTTTTAGGTTGTTTGTAGTAACACACAATGTTTCTTTTTATTCCTCTTAAAAATCCCCTCTTTTGGGAACATCACACACCGGGGCCTGTCAGGGGGTGGGGGGCAATGGGAGGGAGAGCATTAGGACAAATAATGCATGCAGGGCTTAAAACCTAGATGACAGGTGGACAGGTGCAGCAAACCACCATAGCACATGTATACCTATGTAATAAACCAACATGTTCTGCAAATGTATCCCAGAACTTAAAATAAAAAATAAAGGAAAAAAAATCCCCTCTTTTATATAGCAGGAATTGTCCTCTTCTCTGTCATTCTGGATAGAGAGTTTTTCTGGAGGTCTTCCAGCTCCTTTACATCTTCCTAGAGGTCTGCTCATGCATGTGCACATGGCCCTCCAGATGCCTCTGCTGCTGACACTGAGAAAGAGGAAGGGTAGAGAAACTCCCGCCGTGTCTGTTTTTAGACCGTTGCTATGTTCTAGTGTATAATATTCAAAAAATGCTTGGCATTGTTTCAAAGATAACTATCCTCCAAGAAAATGGCTGCTTTGAAAAGTACTTTTCGTTGGGACAAAGGTGGTGTGACTGTTATCAGACCTTAACAGGGTGACAAAGGGTGTCACAAGCAAAATAGTCTGCGAGGCAGAATCACAGCTCCAGAAGAACAGGACTTGGATCCTGACCAAAGAGGAAGAAGAAAGTGTACCTTAGCTGAGCTTTATGAATTATTCTGTTATTTACAGTCTATGCTATAGCAGAATTTAAGTTGTCCATAATGACGTGAAATTAGGAGAAGGCCAGCAAATGAAATAACCTTTTCAAGATCATATAGTTATATAAGTGGCAGGGCAGAAATTCAAATCCAGGTATGCTTTCTACTCAGCTATGTTCCTTTCTTTACATCGGTTAGCAAAATGTGTTGATTACCTACTACGTACCTCACACCATGCTAGGTTGGGAGGATTCAAAGACGACTAAGATATAATCCTTGTCTTGAAGGATATTGAGTCTATTCAAGAGAGGCAGAAACATAAACAAATAAATGCAGTAAGTGATATGGGGGTATGTGTATGTGTGTTCTTGCCTTTGAATATCCTATTGTAGTTTGAAACAGATGGGCAGAGAAAATCTCATTCTCACAGGACTGTAGGTCTATGACAAGTCAACAGTTAGGGAGGGAGTTAAGTGCAACAGTTTGATTGATGAGCAACCCCAGCCCCTGAAACAATCTGTTTACCTTCATCGCCGCTCTCCAAGCTTCGTAGCTTCAATGGGACCTGAAAATTCTTGTGCAAAGGGAAGAGTAAAAGCTAACCAGACATTATACTAAGTGTATATAACCAAACACTATATTAACTAAGCAGCCACTGCTGATGGCAACAATCAATAGAAAAAGGCTGACATATCTAGGAAAATGTTTTTCTTCAATTCTTGTTTTGAAATTGTATTCCATTTCTTTTTACCTTTTCTATAGAATAGTGCCGATTAACTTTTATATCCTCACAACCCCACATAGTAGATGCTTTATAAATGCTTGTTAATCATCACCATAGAGCTCCATGATCAGTGTGCCATCTGGTGACAATTATCCTGAGGAGCAGAAGAGCCCCAGAGTTACACTTGGTCCCAAGAAGCATGGTTGGCCAATGCAACACTGTATATATCATAGTATAATACACTTTTCTTACTGATATGGTTTGGATTTGTGTCCCTGCCCAAATCTCTTGTTGAATTGGAGGAGGGGCCTGGTAGGAGATGACTGCATCGTGGGGATGGATTTTCCTCTTGCTGTTCTCATGCTAGTGAGTGAGTTCTCATGAGATTTGATGGTTTAAAACTGTGTGGCACTTCTCCCTTCACTCTCTCTCTCTCTCTCTCTCCTGCTGCCACATGGAGAAGGTGCTTGCTTCCCCTTTGCCTTCCGCCATGATTGTAAGTTTCCTGAGGCCTCTCCAAAAGCAGAAGCCTGTATAGCCCATAGAACCATGAGCCAATTAAACCTCTTTTTTCTAAATTACCCAGTCTCAGGTAGTTCTTGAGTGTCAATGCTTCTATTGCTGACTGTGAGAAAGAGGAAGGGACTAATATGCTTACTCCTCACATGTAGAATCTTATTTTACAAACTCCCATCTTAATAAGAGAGTGGTATCTATCTCAGTGCTGTGTGTAAAAGATTTGTTGTGAAAATATATGAATAATTGTTTTATTTCCAACACCTGCAGATAATATCCAGGAATTCCAACATGACTTTCTATATGATAGCATAGCTTTGTGATGGGGACTGCAAAGAGCTAGATACTGTTTGTGAAATAATGAAAACAATGATAATAATAATAATAATAATAATAATAATAATAATAATAATAATTACCATTGATCTGCACTACCCTGTGCCAGGAACTTGGCATTCATTGTCTTGTATGATCTTCACAGCAACACTAATTCATGGGTACTAATATTATTCCCTTTTTAAACATTAGGGTTAGAAGCTTTAAGATACTATATCATTTATCTAAAGTCACATAGCTAGTAAGTTTCAAACCCAGGTCTGCCATCTCCAAAGCCCACATAGTAGATTACTGAGAATCAAGACATGCATTTTTCTCTACACTGTTAATTTCTATGAAGTAAACTTCATTCTTTATATAGAAAGAAGAGCCAGAGATTAAAATCACAAATCATAACATCTATTATTTAAAATCCAACTAAGAGGAACTTCCGAAAGGATCATTTTAACGGGTATCTTTTATAGTTTCTAAACTGTGTTTCATTAGCCCACTGTGAGTTATCTCTTTTCAACTTTTCAAAGGTTAATAGGCAAGCACCCATATTTGATTAATGAATGAATGTACAGTGTAGGTGTGTGATCCAAAGACATGACCCAGAATTAAGTTAACCCATCAGCTTCACTTTTCCTCTCAAGGAACCAAAATCATAGAGCTGCATTCTGGCTAATGAGCTACCACCAACATTTTATTTGAGTGAGTTCACATGTCAGTTACTTAAAATATGAGTTAATAGTAATGTCAATAACTGAAAATATGAAAATATTTGTAAATGATTTCCCAAGTAGAAAAAGTGTGTATTTCTGAAATCATAGTCTTATTCTTTCTTTCTCTCTCTCCTTTTTAAATAGGTATTTTTGCTTAAGAAAATGTCTTAGGAATTAGTGATGAATTGGACAAAAATTTATAGATTAAGGTTATTAAATACCACAAAGCTCTTGCACTTTACTTTTTCAGTCCATGTGGGTTCTGCTTTAAAAAAGTGTTACCTACATTTGAAAGATCATACTTTCTTTTCAAATATCTAAATATATCTGAGCTTTCTTAGAATTCTAGAGAGCACTGCTTTTGACAATTACTTTGTTGCTTTTAAAAGGACTAAGAATTCACTATACTTGAACTCTACATTCAAGAGAAGCCAGGTGCGTTAAATTTTGTCTCAGCTCCATGGTATTTTTTTAATGTCAAGAGATGGCCTGTTTCCAGATCTTCTCTTTGATGATATAAAATAAAGTAGTTACAATTTATCGAATGCTTGCTAAATGCTCACAACCTTGCTAAGTCCTTGGCATGCATAATCTCTTTAATACTTATTTAATCTCACTAAGCCTCAGTGTTCTTACCTATAAAATGAGAGTAATAAGAACCCCTACTTCATAGACTGGTTCTAACATATTAAAGGTCACATGGCTCGTAAGTAGAAGAGTTGGGATTGATTACAGGTATATCCAGCTCTAAACTACCAAGTCGTAACTACTATACTATAGTATAGTGGACATGGACAAATATGTACCTCCAAATCTAAGAGTTCGTCCGCATGGCCCTAACAGACCATTTTATAAAATGGGCAAAGCCGTTTCCTTGTAACACTCTAGATGCTATCTGCCCAGACGTCTGTTTATAAGTAGTTTGAGCCATTCTCAACTAGCCATTCTCAGGTAAGACACAATTTGCTTTATTAATTTGCTTTTCTGGAATCTTTTTGGACCTGCAGTTTAGCAAATTGTAGCCTCTTTAATAGTTACTAAACTGCAATGATATTCACTTTTGGCATAATTTACAGAAAGGAGCCCAAGTAGGTACCTTACACATACCTAGTATTAAGCTGTTCTCCATACAGACACCCCCCACATATGGCCTTATTGACTGACATCCAGAATCACATACATTTCTCTTGAACTTTCCAAAGAAATCTTTTCATCCTACAACACACTGGTTTCAGGAAGAGAAGACAACTAACTTTAAATCTGCAGTTCTGGGTTTAAGAGAAAAGTCTGTCACTGAAGCTGTGTGAGAACCTTAGTTTTTTCATGTGCAAAATGGGAACGGTATTTGCCCAGCTTGCCCCCTCAGTTGTTTCAAAAATCAAAGTAGAAAAGTACTCTACAAATAAGAGAGATAAAGTGGCATTATCTCAAAGGCAAAAGGCTTGGGGCCAAGCAGATTTAGGTTTAAAGCTCGATTTTGGTGCTTACTAGCTGCATGATTTTGGACACATAATTCAACCTGAGCAATTGTAAAGATTAAATGAGATAATACCATCCACCTGCAATACAACAAGCTCTAGCTCAAGCTTGTCCAACCCACACCCCAAGGACATGTGGGTTGGACATGAGGCCCAGGATGGTTTTGAACACAGCTCAACACAAATTTGTAAATTTTCTAAAAACATTATGAGATTTCTTTGTGAAAATTTTTTAAGTTCATCAGCTATCATTAGTGTTAGTGTATTTTATGTGTGGCCCAAGACAATTCTTCTTCCAATGTGGCCCAGGGAAGCCAAAAGATTGAACACCCCTGCTAATAGGCTTTCTTGATTAGCATTTGGTTATAGGTGGTCTTAGTGTAAGAAAATAGAGGGAGGAAATATTAGAAAAAGCATGAATGAAGATATAAAATGATGCCTTATAGAAGCATGACATGAGTTTACGGTAATCTGAATGTGACCTGCATGATTTAAGTCTTCCCAATAGAGTATTAGATTATCAGCAACAAACTACAAAACTACAACAGTGTTTCATTAAACTTTCTTTTCTCTAAAGAGAAGAGTCTCAAATTGCAGACTCTATGTCTAGATTTCATCTTTTGACCCTGTGCCTGCCATATAAAGTTCTTCAATTAAAATCTGTTAAATAGACACGTACTTGCTCTTCTCTGGAAACTTTCCAAATGTTCTATGCTCCTCAAGTTTACTAACACAGTTTACAAGGTCTTCCAAAGACCTATTAAATGTATATTGTATGCCTAACTGATGAAGTTGTGCCCATGAAGGAGATGATATATGCAAAGTCCTATGATCATGCTGTGGAAAAAGTTGGTTATATTTCTTCCGAATCAACAGGTGAGTTTGGTACACCATACTCTTTTTTTTTTAGACAGGGTCTCGCTTTGTTGCCCAGGCTAGAGTGACAGTGGCATGATCACGGATCACTGCAGCCTCAACCTGCCCGGGTGATCCTCCCATCTCAGCCTCCTGAGTAGCTGGGACTTGACAGGCACACATCCCCACTCCCGGCTAATTTTTTCTGTATTTTTTAGAGACAAGGTTTTGCCATGTTGCTCAGGCTGGTCTCCAACTTCTGGGCTCAAGCGATCTGCCAACTTCAGCCTCCCAAAGTGAGGGGATTACAGGCGGGAGCCAACACACCCGGCCAGCATACTCTTTTTTAAATAACTTTGATTATGCTTTAGATAAATTTCCTTTTTGAGGGTATGAAGAAAATCTTCATGTGCTAAAATATTTTAGAGGTCAGTCAGCAGAAACTGCAATTGATATATGATAAATGAACAGTAAAACTAAAAATAGAATGTTTCTCGGCTGGGCATGGTGGCTCACGCCTGTAATCCCAGCACTTTGGGAGGCCGAGGCGGGCGGATCATGAGGTCAGGAGATCGAAACCATCCTGGCTAACACGGTGAAATCCCGTCTCTACTAAAAATACAAAAATTAGCCGGGCGTGGTGGCGGGCGCCTGTAGTCCCAGCTACTCGGGAGGCTGAGGCAGGAGAATGGCGTGAACCCAGGAGGCGGATCTTGCAGTGAGCCAAGATTGTGCCACTGCACTCCAGCCTGGGCAACACAGCCAGGCTCCGTCTCAAAAAAAAAAAAAAAAAAAAAAGAATGTTTCTCTTAAAGTATAAAATCCTTCAAGTCTCTGAAGCATAGTAAAACGTGGTATTCTCCATTATTGCTTTTGTTTTGCTTTGTTTTTCCTAGAATGACTACAAAAAACTGTCAATGCAGTGCAAAGACTTTGTTGTTGGACTCCTTGATCTGTGCAGAAACACTGAAGAAGTCGAGGCCATTCTGAATGGGGATGTTGAAACGCTCCAGAGTGGTGATCACGGTCGCCCAAATCTCAGCCGTTTAAAACTTGCCATTAAATATGAAGTAAAAAAAGTAAGGTCAGGCGTGAAGCCCGTTTACATTATTTTGGTTCTTGTTGGTGCTAAATAAGGATAAAGGGTTGATATTGTTAGATTAAGCTGGGATTTTCTTTTCTTTTCTCTTTTTTTTTTTTTGAGATGGAGTCTCGCTCTGTCGCCCAGTCTGGAGTGCAGTGGTGCGATCTCGGCTCACTGCAAGCTCCGCCTCCCGGGTTCAGGCCATTCTCCTGCCTCAGCCTCCCAAGTAGCTGGGACTACAGGCGCCCACCACCACGCCCGGCTAATTTTTTGTATTTTTAGTAGAGACGGGGTTTCACCGTGGTCTCTATCTCCTGACCTTGTGATCCGCCCGCCTCGGCCTCCTAAAGTGCTGGGATTGCAGGCGTGAGCCACTGCACCCGGTTAGGATTTTCTAATTAACAGTTGCACTAGGCAGATTCTCTAACAAATCATAAGCATCTGTACTAATTGTGAGGCACTCTACCTACACTAAATGCCAGTCTTTAAAATCTAGACGTATTTATATAGAATCTTACAGGGATTGCCATTTTCTTACTGTGCTAATGATATAACAATGACTTTATGAATCCAAATTCTAAAACATTTGTTATAAGACAGGAACATCACCATTTGAGACTCAACTCCATTTTCCCATTTGTTGCTGTTTTCCAATAATGCCTTCAATTCCTTCTTTACCGCATTAGAATTTCCACCAGCTGCATTTTTATTGGTGGAATATTTTTAGTCTCTCTCTTCAAGCACTGGCCCCATTCTCTGCTTTCTTAGATTATGTGAGGTATCTTTTAAAAAGCTGGCCGGGCACAATGGCTCATGCCTGTAATCCCAGCACTTTGGGAGGCTGAGATGGGTGGATAACTTGAGGTCAGGAGTTGGAGACCAGCCTAGGCAACATAGTGAAACCCCGTCTCTACTAAAACTACAAAAATTAGCTGGGTATGGTGGCGTGCACCTGTAGTCTCAGCTATTTGGGAGACTGCAGTGGGAGGATCACTGAACTCTGGAGGCAGAGGTTGCAGTGAGCCAAGATCATTTCCTGCACTCCAGGCTGGGTGACAGAGTGAGACTCTGTCTCAAAATAAATAGATAGATGGATAGACAGATAGATAGCTTTTAAAGGTAGATTTTTCCAATAAAAGTAATATATGTTTATGGTAAGTTTTCAAATAGTATAAACATGTCTCCTCCCAATTTTTCCAGTTCTGAATGGAGAATAATGAACCATTGTTATATTTCTATACACAAATTTCTTTCTTGGACAACTTTATATAACAGTCAATAAATGTCCACTTTATCTTTTTAAAGGTTGCATTGTTACTTCATTATATTCACATAATCTGTTTACTATTTAGGGATGTTTATTATAATTTTCAGATTTTTGTTATTAGATTTTTATTTTTTATACAGTAAACATATTTGTTGATATAGCTTGCTTACTTGCATGACTTTTACTCGTAAACAAAAATTCTTACATGTGGAATTAATATGTCAAATTTTTATTTTTAGGTTTCCAAACATTTGCTAGGTTTCCCTTCAAAAATGGTGTACCAGTTTCCATACACACCAACAGTGTGTGACAGGGCTTATTTCTTCCACCCACAGTGGAATGGGTTTTATCCAACTTTACCATTCTGAGTAGATAAACATTCTATCTTGTTTTAGACTCAACTCCTTTTCTACCTATCTCTCAAACTACCTTTGAGGTTAACCACCCTTAAGATTCACTTGTAGTTCTTCTATATAACCTGTCCTTTGTAATATTTTAATATTAATATTAAATATTGTAACTTTTTAATATTCTTTACCAATTTTTATTTTGGGATAGTGCTTTTTGTATATTAACTCTGCCATATGTATGGTTCAGTTGTAAAAATAAATACATGAAAACTTAAAGATTCCCTCAAAAAAAAAAAATATTGAAAATTAAAGTCTTCTTAAGTGAAAGAGTTTTTGGCACAAGAATAAAAGGAGAGATCAATAGAATAAAACAGGCAGTCCAGAGACAGAGCCATATACAAACGGGAATTTAGTATAAACTCTGTGACATTTTAGATCAATGCAGGAAAGGTGGTATTTTTAAAAAAGTATTTAGGCAACTGAGTTAATATTGATCTCTTTCTAGATGAAAAAACTATATAATCATAAAAGCCGTATGTAAAATTTAGATTAATCTTTTTATAATATTCAATTAAAATTTTTTCTGTGCTTTGAAAGAAAGCTTGTTTGTCATAAAGGAAAAGCTTGATAAATTGAAATCTTCAAATTTATGTAAAACATATTAGAACTTTTTGCCATTTGTTTGTTGCCTGTTAATTTGATGTTTTATGTTTGTTCTTTAATTCTAACAATGTATTTCATTGGAAAGCATGGAACTATTAGAACACATGAAAATCGTTTATGCTGAACCTTTCTTTAGTCAAATTTAAATATTTTGTCACTTCCCTGCTAGTTTGTAGCTCATCCAAACTGCCAACAGCAACTTCTCTCCATTTGGTATGAGAATCTTTCTGGTTTACGACAGCAGACAATGGCGGTCAAGTTCCTTGTGGTCCTTGCTGTTGCCATTGGACTGCCCTTCCTGGCTCTCATTTACTGGTTTGCTCCATGCAGCAAGGTATGTATGTGAAGCCTGGACCTCTATTATCTACTAGAAATATGTTTTAAGTGGGGAAAAATCTTATCTCCAAAGTGAAAATTTCAGGGAATCACAGTTGGGTTTCAGTAATCTTTATTGTTTTTAACATTACAAAATAATTCCTGTTTGGGTTTAAATAATTTGTATTGCTTTTATTATCAAAAAGTAATACATGTTTGCTATAGGAAACAAAAAAAACGGAAAAGATAAAATTCACCTGTAATATCACCACTGTTAATGTGTGAAAGGATACTCAGTAACTATATTAATTTCCTTTTACTCTTTTCTCTATGTACATCTATGCATATACTTTTATATTTCTTTATGAGGTCATAGTACCATTGAGCATATATTTCAAATGACATCCTAAAAGATGAACACTTTTTCTGTTTCTCCTCTGGCAAAATTTGAGATGAAAGTTTTGTCTTGTATTTATTTTAGCTAATATGACCAGATAAATCTTAAATAAAAGGCAGTCATGTAAATACTAATGTAATACTTGTTTCAGTAAAGAATATACATTTTTTAGGGACTAAGTACACCAGAACCTGACAGCAAAAATAGCCTATTTTCTTAGCAAAAGCTATCTACCCATGCTTTGGTAAAAATGCTATGTTCAGATGGATCTAGCCTTTCATTAGTGTGACAGGATAGGTTTGAGAAATATTGACCTATCATTCTGTTAACAAGTAGAGAAATTTGTGTCTTGCATTGCTAACAAGCCTATTCTTCACGTTTTTGAAGCCACATTTCTGGATCTGTTTAACTCTGAGAGGCAGATTGAAATAATTCTGAAGCTTAGTGCCTAAATGTCTTTTGGACCATCTATTAATGTGCTATGTAGAAAGAACTATCAGTTGGGTTACTTCCAGTGCTTAAACATGGGCATGATTCATTTTCAAACATTCGTAATATGTGGGCGCAAACACAAACATCACCATTACTAACATATTGTTTTCTAATTATTTTGTCATATTTTTGGTGTTTTAGCCATATTAGGGCTGTTCAAAATGACTCATGCTAGAAAGCTTGTGCAAAGCCTTTTAGACAGTGGAAACATCCTAATTATTTCTAGTGATGATAGGAATTACAGGAAACTGGACATTTTCTTATGAGAGTAAAATCCATCATCATAGATATTTTCCCCTTAAAATATATAAGGCCAAAATTTGGTATCTCAGATTCATAATATAAATGAGGAACATAAAATGAAAATAGTGCAATTTACTAGAAATGACATCTGTAGTACAGATTTTCATCTAGAAAATTGACTTTTTTTCCCTTTTTACTAAAAATGACAGATTTTGCCTGGAAAAATAATGTGTGTACATGGACATGGAGTGTGGAATGATAGACATTGGAGACTTAGAAAAGTGGGGGCTCAGAAGAGGGGAGGGACAGGTGGTGACAAATTATTTAATGGGTACAGTGCATATTATTTGAGTGACTGGTGTACTAAAAGGCAAGACTTCACCACTATGCAGTATACTGGTGTAACAAAATTGCACTGGTATCCCTTAAATTTAGACAAATACATTTCTAAATTGTCCTCCCTAGAACATGGGTTATATCTATGTAGGTAGTCTCTTTGTTCTTCTTCTCCTTATATTTCCTGAGTCATCTGAGATTTTAACTGAATTAAAATGGGGGGAGTTTTTGAATTCTCCCTATTCTCATTCTGTGACCAGTTAAATTATAATCTCTTTCCTAAACTGAATAATTTTCCTTTTCCATAACCAGTGTGTTCGAAAGCATAATGTATTCCAGAGTGTCTGGTGCTTTGACACAGACTATTTTTGGCAATCCTTAGAGTTACACATTTCTTAAATTTTGATTGAATTCTAATTAAACTGATTTCCTTTACTATTTCTTCTTCCCTGGCCATATGTCTTTCTGGCATCTGTTTTCCATCCTTGTTTATGAACATTGAGGCAAATAATCAAATTAAAAGGACATTGTCAAGGTATTTTTTTTCTCCTATCCAAAACCTATTTTACTGTTTTTATCTTTGAAGCATGATGATAAAATCTATTTTACAGTTTTCCATTTGCAGTGAACATAAATATGCTTTACAGGCCACAGGATTTTTTGTGGGAGGGGATTGCTTCAGCTAAATTGGTGCTTTTATTCCAAATATATTTAAAATATTTTGGATTTTCCAATATATCCATGAACATCAGTAAGATCAAATTGCAGGCCTATGCACTGTGACTGAGTCCCCATTTTTGTTTAAAGTTGGTTTTGCTGTAGGAAACAAAAGTTGGGTTTCTTCTTTCCCCATTCCGAAATCCCTTTTGTTTTTACTTGCTCTCTTTCTTCTACTGTAATCCAAATATCAATTGTTTTTGTTCATTACAATAAGAATAGTCATACTGCAATTACAAATCATTTTAGTTTAAGCTAGTCTCAACCTTTTTCATTTCTAAGTGGTGTTGAGTAGCTAGGTATTTAGTCATCAATAAATACCTAAAAAGAGTATCACATATCATATTTAAAGACAAGTATTTATTTCAATGCTTACCCTCAGTAATTTTCCAGGTACATAAGTTGTTCAATTTCTTCATCTAGCTCTCCTCCTTTATAGTTATTTTTTGGAAATTTGTCTATATCCCAGAGTATATAGATGGCAAATTTTACCAAAAAGGATAACTCCCTTCAATTCCTAAAGTCTAGTGAGAGATGCCAAAATCTCCCTCAGTTTGAAGAGAAATACAATTCTCAACTTTTGTAAGAAAAATAAAGGCTACGAGGTTTCAAACATGCCCATTTTAGTTTCTAGGCAACCAGCTTTTTGTTTGATTGCTAAAACAAAACAAAACAAAACAAAACAAGAAAACACCAACAAACAAACCAAGAAATACCCTAAGACTTTTAATAAGCAGAAGAAGATGCCTGGATTGATACTCCCTTTAGAATAAAATAAAGGAAGAGTAGTGTTACATAAAGGTCAGTAGGCCAGTGGAGAAAGAAGGGAAGCCAGGTAGGGGCCAGGCACACAGATCAGACACCTTGCCCCGAAAATTGAAGATTGACTTTAGAGTTGTTCAGGACAGTGAAACTAAGGTTCCAGAGTTTTCAGATTTGTGGCTCATTCTAAGGTAGATAGCTTTATTTCAACTCCATTTTATGTCCCCAACCTCGTGTTTTCTATTTATGTTATTTATTTGGTTCTACTTTAATTTACGCTCTACTGTATGATGTCCTTGAAAGCTGCTTCTTATTCTTCCTGGAACCAGGCAGGTGATAAATAACTTTTTCATGAATTTCACTAACAGTCATTGCCTCTAATCCCAGGTTTCCTCAAACAGTCAAATAAATTGAGAATTAAAAAAAAAAAAGTTTAGGATTTATAATGGATTTTCCCATGAGAAAGATATGGATTCTTGCAATACATTTTCACTTGCTCTAATACACGGTTAAAATAAATCATACATAAAACATTATAGAATTAAAATTTTATGTGAAACATATCATGGAAATATAACATTGATGTTTATTTTTAACTATTTATATTTAAAAAGAAAAATAGCAAAGGACAATAGGCAGAAGAAAATCAAACTTACTTTTTATACCATTTGTTTTAATTTTGCCATCGTTTGATTGAGAGTTTGATTTTAAAAGGATCTAAAAAAAAAAACAAAAATACTCCTTGAATCAATTCAGTAGGTGATCTTATCTAAGCATATTTTTACAGCAAACTTTTACAAACTAACTTTGGATTGGCTCTGCAATTCTAGAATCTATTGGCTTTAAAACTCTGTGTGTGTGTGTGTGTGTGTGTGTGTGTGTATTCTTTGGCCCTCTGTATATGTGGGTTCTGCATCCCCGGATTTAACAAACCGCAGATTGAAAACATTTGAAAAAAATTGTGTCTGTGTTGAACAGGTACAGACTTCTTTTGGCATTATTCTATAAACAGGATATTGAATATTCTCAACACAAAGAAATGATAGATGTTTGAGATGATGGCTATGCTAATTACCCTAATCTAATCACTATATGTTATACGTATTGACACATCACTATATACCGCCCATAAATATGTACAAATATATGTCAATTTAAAAGTGTATCTTATAACAAAAATTTACATAGCATTTACATGATATTACGTATTATAAGTAATCTCGGCATGATTTAAAGTATATGGGAAGATGTGCCTAGGTTATATGTAAATATTATGATTTTATATCAGGAACGTGAGTAGCCTTAGATTTTAGTATCCACGGAAGGACCTGGAACCAATCCCTCATGGATACCTAGGGACAACTGCACTCATACACACACACACACACACACACACACACACACACACACACATAGCATGAGAGAGAGAGAGATACAATACAATATCTCCTGATATTCTGTGTCTGGCCTAACATTCAGAATGTCAAGATAAGTTAATTGGTTCCAGCTCTAAGTTTTATTATTTTGAAAACCATATAGACAAATAAAGGTAGGGAAATAGAGAACACCGATTGTGTTCCTTCCATGATAGCATTTATCTTTTCCGAGTCTTAAAAGATAATTCCTAATAATTTACATATGTAGGCCCATTGATGAGAAAGTATGAAATTATTCTGTAAACCAAATAGAAGTATTAACTTAGGAACAAGAATGCCTGGGTTCAAGTTCCAGCTCTACCACTTATGAGATATGTGACCTTGAACAAGTTTCTGGACTTCACTTCCTCAGTTTCTTCATCGAAAGTGGGCATTTGAGTGCACCTGCCCTTTTGAATTGTTGTAATGATTACAAGTTAACAGTGTAAAGCACTTAAAACAGTGCCAACTAAGTGTTGGTTGTATTTTATTAGTTTTCAAAGTTTTCTGTAATAATAAACTCACTTGAAAAGCAGTTGAAAGCTATGGACCATCTCCTAAAGGGTGGGGGAAACTGCACACACAGCTTAAGTTTTGTTCATTTCAGAGGATGTCCAGACCCCTTAGTCATATCCTAGATCCTCACTCTGCCTAGGTGAAGATCTGTACCTCTTAGACAGAGATGAATCGTGTACTATAAAAGGCACACTAGCTTTTTTTGTCCCCCGTATTTCATATAAAGAATCTGGTTTTCACATAATTTAGGAAATGTGCTCATTGTCACTCAGCTAATGAGGGAATGAAACTGGAACCTGAACCTAAAATGTTGGACTTTAAATCCAGTGTCCTTCCAGGAGATTGTTTCAATACACTGTAGGAACTGTCCTGCTGCCCTGTCCTCAGCTGGGAGTTCTCTTCTTGGTACTCATGACTTTTACTGCATTTACAAGATCACCAAAATAACAACATCCACTCAGGCCTGAATTGCATGCCTGTCAATGAAGTATATGTGAGGACACCCACCAAGGTTCTATACCTGGCAAAGTAGACTCAGTTTCATATTTTCATTGCCACTTCCTCAATACCTCAGACCCACTAAATTAGTTTTCTTTATATGAATAATGCTGATATTATTATGCTCTATATTTTGTCAACGATATTATATATTTTAAGAATTTAAATATCCTTTATTAGAAAAATACATGTATTTAGTTATTAATCAAGAACATCAGCACATGTAGGTGAGGAACGTGAACAAAATTTTGTAACAGCATAAAGATATTACTCTATCACGAATTACATAAATATAAACAATTATCTCAGGAGATCATTGGAATGTGCAGATGTTTATTCTTGCATGTATGTATGTGTGTTTTGCAAAGTGTACAAAACAAAGTTAAGATTTTATTTTGGTGTGTGTTGTGGCAGATGGGGAAGATAATGCGTGGACCATTCATGAAGTTTGTAGCACACGCAGCCTCCTTCACCATTTTTCTGGGACTGCTAGTCATGAATGCAGCTGACAGATTTGAAGGCACAAAACTCCTTCCTAATGAAACCAGCACAGATAATGCAAAACAGCTGTTCAGGATGAAAACATCCTGCTTCTCATGGATGGAGATGCTCATTATATCCTGGGTAATAGGTAAAGACTGATTTTCTGTCATGTTTTCTGTTTGCAGTCTTAGCAGTTGGACTGAATGACACTGATTCTTTCACACATCAGTTATACAAATGTATGCAGCATGATACAGTGCACCACACATCATAATTTTCTTTGTGTTCCTAAAGTACAGTTGCCTTGGGTTCATTATCAGTGCCATAGTCTTCTCGCATGCTGTGCGCCTTTTGCATTTCCAAGGAAAACCCAGGAAGAAAACCAACAGGGTAGTATCAATCACATCCCACCAGTGACAAAAAGCTATTATACTATTCATATTTTGAGAGCGAGCTATGATTTCAAGCTTAAACACAACCACAATTTTACATTGAGATTTGATAGGAATTGAAGCTAACAGCCACTTGCATTTATTGAGCATTTATTTTGTGCCAAGAATTATTCCAAGCACTTTATATACATCAAATCACATCATTTCTTTGCACCTCAGTTTTCTAGTCTATAATGTATAATCACATCTATTTTATAGGATTTATCTAAGGATCAAGTAACTTTCTTTAGGCCTCTTGGGTGGTAAGTGGAAGAGAAGGAATATGATCTTAGTTGCTATACTATTTGTCTTTAGAATCAATCATACATGTAGCTTGCCATTAAATATAATGCAAACAATAAAGATACTTCAATTAGATATTTATGAATAAATAAATCCAGTGGCTGTTAAGTGCCTTTGTTAAGTAACGAGGATACTAAAGTGAATGAGACAGTCCCTGTGTTCAAGGAAGTTAAGTCTGGGAGGCAGGTCAGTAAGTAAATCAATAATTAAAATTCAATGTGACAAATGCTATAATTGAGTTATTGGGATATTATGAACATACACAGATTGGGCATCTAAATCTGAGGTGGGATGTGAAATGGAAGGGGCAAGAAGCCCTTCCTGGGCAGTATCTTCAATGTGGTACTTTGAGGATAAAAGAATGTTAAACAGACCTGTTTGGGAGACAAGGATGGCATGGGAACATTAGAGATGTGGAACTATGGCAATACCTCGCACACTCGAAATATGATGAGTTAGGCAGAGAAGGAGCCAAGGTGCATTTATGGATGCGAGTGATGGGAGATAAGGGTGGAGAAATGGCTAGAAGATGCTTTTCAGCAATTGGTGATTTGATCTGATCATGTTTTAGAAAGGTCACAGTGGTTGTGAGATAGACGGTGGCTTTAAAGAGTCCAGAGGCTGAGACTCAATGGAAGTGCTCCCTGCGAGGAGGATGAGGCCTGGCACTCAGGAGATAGGGGAAAGGACTCGAGAGCACCCTAATAGGTAAACCCCAAACAACTTGGTGATTATTGCACATCAGAAGGGAGAGCTGTGGATTCTGCCTTGGATCAGCAGGTAGTGACTACAGTCTCTAAGAGGGAGAATACAGAAGGGAGATCATGCCTGGGACTGGAGGAATGAAAAGCTGATTAAAGTTTAGGTTATGACTGACTTTGAAGTGCCCATGGAATTTCAAGGTGGAAATGTCCATTCGGTAATAGAAAGTATGATCCCTGGGAGTATTTGGGTTTTGAATAAAGTTCCAGCCATCCTCAATTCCAGATGGTACTTAAGGCCCTGACTATGCATAAAATTATGTAGGGTTAACATATGCAAGATGTAAAGAAAATTAGGCTCAGGGATTTTCATATAAATCCTTTAATAATCCACAGGCTTCTCCATTCCCTCCCCCCAACATCCCACCTCCCTCTCTAGGGACCTGGAGAAGCACTGACAGTCAGTTTTGTATCACTTCTAAGGCAGGACATGTCTTCTTGGCTTCATGCTGGAGCTTGATGAGATGATCAGTCAAAATATTAAGACGCATTTTTCAAATTACCATAGGAATATTTTAAATTTAATTCAGTAGCATTTGAGTTATTCAAAACTTTCAAATCACTTCATTTCCTGAATATGTTTTAGGGAAAAATATGGATAGTGGCATAAAATGTGAATTGTATCACCAAAGTAATGATAAATCTTGGATACAGAAGATGGCTTTGATTTTATTCTATTTCTTTTCTAATTTAATTGATGAGACTAGAAAAAGAAATTATATTTCACTTCCAATATCTGATTTAAAATAAGAATAAACAATCACTTGTGCATGGCCTTTATCTTGTTAAACTAAAAGCCCATGTCTCATAGTTTATTTTTTATGTCTTAGTATATGTAAGGTAAATAATACAGTACTTGGCACAACGGACATGTTCAAGAAATTTCAGATAATTACAATTATTATTCAACTTTTCACTGAGCATTTATATGTCACTTTTACAAGAAGTGCTATTTTCCTATTAGGCAAAACATGACTGTTTTAGGACAAGATGAAACTTTGAAAAATTAAATTTTCTATAAGGGGTAAAGAATTTTAAAAATTAAATTTTATATAAAGGGGCATGAAGAGAATGATTTATGGTAAAGAATAAAATGAACATATTATATTTTATATATAAAATATGTATAAACTTGAGAGCACCCTAACAGGTAAACCCCAACCCACTTGGTGATTACTGCACATCAGAAGGGAGGAGCTGTGGGTTCTGCCTTGGACCGGTAGGTAGTGACTGCAGTCTCTAAGAGGGAGAATATAGAAGGAATATCACGCCTGGAACTGGAGGAATGAAAAGCTTTGAAAACAACTAGACTGCATGAGTTCAGTGAGTTATATTTTATATAACATGTTCATTTTATTCTTGACCATAAATTATTCTCCTCATACTAGTCTTAGTTTCATTGATTTTTTATTTTATTTATTTTGAGACGGAGTTTCACACTTGCTGCCCAGGCTGGAGTGCAATGGCGCGATCTCAGCTCACCGCAACCTCCACCTCCCGGGTTCAAGCAATTTTCCTGCCTCAGCCTCCCGAGTAGCTGGGATTACAGGCATGAGCTATCACGCCTGGCTAATTTTGTACTTTTAATAGAGATGGGGTTTCTCCATGTTGGTCCAGCTGGTCTCAAACTTCCAACCTCAGGTGATCTGCCCACCTCGGCCTCCCAAAGTGCTGGGATTACAGGCGTGAGCCACCGTGCCCAGCCGTCTCAGTTTTATTTTAAACTTTATATATATTTTTTCCTTTTTCACTTAGCAACCTAACAAACACAGGAATATTAAATGAGGCTCTAATCAAAAGCATTTTCCTTGTAACTTTTGTCCCACCAGCCTTTGTATTTGACTTCAGAGACTAGCTAACACTGTTTATTTAAAGGGAAAATAATGAACAACTCAGGATAGCTGATGCTTTTGTAGCCTATGTTAGATTCCTGGTTCAGTTTCTGACATTGGTATTTATTTTCTTCTTTGAAGTTATTCTTGAAAGAAAGTTGTACTTTCTGGAAATGTTAATAAGAAGTGGCCTACTTAGATGAGATGTTGGGTGTGTTATCTGGGCTTGAGGGAGAGGATGACACTATTAGTCACAAAACAAATTTATCTCATTTTTAGTTGACAAAAAGTTGAAAGGTTAAATGACAAAACTGATGTGTTAGGAGATGTTGACAAGGCAGAACAGTGAGCTCAAATCAATGAGAGGACATGTAGGACATGTAGCAGGAACACAGGGAGGAGGACGTGCTTGAAGACACTAGTGAAAAGGGCCTTAGGAGCACTTGTCACTTAACGGCCAGTCTGAGCTGCTGAGAAAGCAGATGCAGTCCTGGGCTGACTCTTCAACAGAAGGAGAGGACGGCAGTCCAGGCAGTAATTACCCAATGGCGAGACCACATCTGCAGGCCCTGGGTGCCACGTGCAGCCAATTGGCAAACTAAGGAGCGTTTCAAGCACAGCAGTTAGTTAGGAGAGTGAGTGGTTCTCAGAACAGCACTTGAGGGGGCTGGGGAAGCTTACCCTGGAGGGTGAGGCATGGTGTAAGACCCAGTGGAATCTGAGGCTTGTTTATTCAGAGGGCCCCATTTAGTGAAAAAGAAGACAAAGTGACGACTTAGCAGGAGCCTGGGCAAGTAAAGGCATCTTGAAGCTTCAGTTTCATGGTTAACCTGCCTCTGCTAGAGAAAAACAGATTTAATGAGCACGCAGGTGGGTTTTTTGGTTGTTTTTTGTAAAAAGAAATTTGAAGGCAGAGGGAGCTGACTCATTTGCTACCTGTCTAGAGGGCAAAAATAGAACCACTGCATCCACGTTGAAGGAATATTCTGAAAATTCAACAGTGGAATGAGCAGCCTTCAGAATTAGTTAAGCACCTTATCGCAAGATCTATACGAGCAGAGGCTTGATCCCTGTGAAGTCTCCTGCCTGGGGCAAGCTTGGACTTGATGCGGGATTTCAAACTCTCCTTGGCAGCTCTCAGGGGTCCTCAGGACAAATGAGACACGAACTTTTCCTTCAAGCAGAATAGCTCACTTGTTTTAGTTTTTAAGCTTCAGGAAGACATCATTTGTGCCAAGAATTCTATTTATTTCTTAAAGAGAGAAAGAGAAAAGAAAATGGAAAAGTGGGAGGAAGCTTTGAAAACAACTAGACTGCATGAGTTCAAATGTCCCTTTAGTCCCCATGCTTGTTACTCTGAACCATCCGCATCTCCTCGTGAGGCTGACAGGAGCCCGGGGACCACAGTAGGGGGAAAAAAACTGCCGTATTTCCTGTTACAAATTTGATCCCCCAGATTATATATGAATTCAATCCTAGTCCCCTCTTAACTTGAAACAACTCAAAATAAGTAATGAAGTCTTCTCTTAAATCCATGTCCTCTATGCTGCACTTAATGCTGGCTTTAAGAAAAGGCACATGACGTGCTCTTGGAAATTAGAGACGGGGCATTTCCTTAATCCCCACAGGGCTCTGCAGCTATTCACATAGCAGGTTTTGTGACTGACATTTAGGACAAATGTGAGAATTTGAGGCAGGTGGTTGCTGAGGGTAAGAGGAGAAGATTATTTTCAACTCGAGGCTGTGAAGGACTTCTTGATGGAGGCAAGTTTTGATCAGTTGTTGGTTTGGGTTGTATTTCTCCAGATGGCTCCAGCAGGAGGCAGGATGTCAGAGTAGAGTATCTTAATAGGGATAAAGCAACTTCTTTTTAATTAAAAAAGTGGGATTCTTCAAATTAAGAAAAAAATACATGTGCCAATCATGGAAAATTTTAAATAGTAAGCACTCAATAAATGTTAGTCATACTTTTTTCCAAGTGCCAGACACTGAGCTGTGTATTTCACATGAACTATTTTATTTAAGCCTCATAACAATCCAATGAAGTAGGAATGAACCAATATCATTCCCATTTTACAAACTGAGTTTTAGATAGTTTAAATACCTTATCAAAGACTTCATAGCTGACAAATGGAAGAAGAAATTCTCGAATCCATGGTAGCCTGATCTCAAATCCAGTGTTCCTAAATACTACGTTAAAATTTTGAAGAAATATGCAGTACTATTAATAATTCTACCAGAAAAAGACAACTACTATTAATAAGTTCCTGTCATCCCATCTAGGCTGTCACTGTGCTGGTTTTAAACATAAACCACACATCATAACATTTTAAACATTTTTACTTAGCATTACAATATAAAGATTTTTCCAGTGTATGTTAGTCCGGGTCCTCCAAGAAGCAGGCACAAAGATTAAATGTTCAACAGGTTTATTAAGGGAAATGGGAATTTTATTAAGGAACATTTCTTGTGAGAGGAAATGGCAAGAGAGCTGAGAAGGGTCTCAAGGGCTCTCAGGCAGGGATACAAGTCAAACCCCAAGGGACAGAGAGCAGGCAGGAAGGTTGGGTAGAAGCATCCTAGATCTTTACACAGTCTAAGGAAAGGTTGGCAAGGCTGTCATGAAATCCTTGAGCCAAAGTCAGCCATCAGAAGAGTCCCATGTCTCCCAAGAAGGGGCACCCTCAGTAATTGGCTGAGAGCAGCCGGGGGGAGACACGGCCTTGGACAAAAGTGGCAGTGGTTTTCAGAAGGCAGTAGGTGAGGCCTGTGATCAATCAAATTCCTGTAGTTGGATGTCACTGAGACACATTCTCATGGTCACTGTCCCATGGTAATTAATAAAATATTAAATGGCTTGATAATACTCCATCTGCGGAAGTCCCACTTCCATTTTACTTCTATTTTGAGTGTGTGGGTGTGTTTGGGTTATTATAAAGTATCCTACAATAAACATCTGTTAAATATATTTTTATGTGTGGAATTAATTGATCAGCAGGACATTTGTTATTTTAAGGTGTTCAATGAACTTTGTCAAATTGCTTTCAGGTATGCACTGATATTTCTGGACTAGGATATTTGTGAGGATATGGGAATTATGGTGGGACGGCAGGTTGGGACCAAATTTTGAAGGGTTTTGTAATGTCAGGCTGAGACCTTTCAAACATATTTTGTTTTATAGAACAGCTAAGGCTGAATGCGATTGAATTGATATTTTAACCCCTTTCTGATGCAGGCATGATATGGGCTGAATGTAAAGAAATCTGGACTCAGGGCCCCAAGGAATATTTGTTTGAGTTGTGGAACATGCTTGATTTTGGTATGTTAGCAATTTTCGCAGCATCATTCATTGCGAGATTCATGGCATTTTGGCATGCTTCCAAAGCCCAGAGCATCATTGACGCAAATGATACTTTGAAGGACTTGACGAAAGTAACATTGGGAGACAATGTGAAATACTACAATTTGGGTGAGTTTACAGTACAGTCAATATAAATAAAAATGCAGAATTTTCTTGTAAAACAGATGTCAGTAGTAGTTCGGTTACTGCACAATTCTCATAAAATTGTTTGTGAGTTTCCAACATCTGTATCTGAAGAATGAGCATCTATATGTGAGGAAGCATGCTTTCTGCTGCTTCATTTGATTTTTCTACTCCCTGGAAAACTCTCTTAATCACAAGACTCATCTCCCTTTATCTCTTGGATCAATTGGCTACTTATCAAACTTCATGGAGAATACATGTCTTATGTCCTGGATTTATTTTTCCCTCTTTTTTAATTAAAAATAGTTCACGTTTGATCTATCTCTCTGTATCTCTCTCTCTGTATACATATATATGTATATGTATATATACACGTGTGTGTATATATGCACACACGTGTATATATGTATATGTACACACATGTGTGTGTGTGTATATATATGTGCAATGGAATAGTATTCCACCTTTTAAAAGAAGAAAATCCTGTCATTTGTAACAACATGAATGAACTCGGAAGACATCATGCTGAGTGAAATAAGGCAGGCACAGAAAGACAAATGGTATATGATCTTACTTATTTGTGGAATCTAAAAAAAGTCAAACTCAAAGAAGTAGAAGGTAATGGTGGTTGTCAGGGGCTGGGGTAAAAGGCACAAAATGGGGAGATGTTGGCCAAAGGTACAAAGTTTACAAAGGGTACACGGATAGGATGAGTAAGTTCTAACTTATTAGTTAGAGCTTATAATAAGGGAGCTTGTAATAAGCTTATAATAAGGGAGATATACAGTATAGTGGCTAGAGTTAATAATCATGTACTGTACTGTATACTTGAAAATTGCTGAGAGTAAATTTTAAATGTTCTTACCACAAAAATGTAAATATTCGAGGTGATGAATATGTTAATTAGCTTAATTTAATCTTTGCACAGTGTAGACAGACATATATGAAAACATCAAGTTGTGCCCCATAGATATATATAATAAAGTTCACATTTGAGTGCCATTTTCATTTAAGATATATAAAAAGTATTTGAAAACGAAGGAATTGTTGGGATCTCTGAGAGGTTCCCCAATCAATAACACCACTGTTTCCCAACCAGGCTTAGAATTAGTTGAGAAATAAAACAAGAAATTAATATGGAGGCCAGATCATCACCTCTAACACTGATAAAATCCAGGGTGGATGACATAGTTCTATTAGCTAATGGATTCAGTAATACTGAACCCCAGAATTAGGCAGACATATCCTCCAGTTTCTAGATAGCAATGGGCCAGGGCAGTCCTCCTCACAAAAAGAGGATGGCAGCAAGTGCCCGATCAAGTGAGATCTTCCATGGAGGACCAGAGGAGAATTCCCAAGAGAGAGAAGGTAATGCCGAGCTAACTATGTCCAGTTATTCATCCCAATTTAGCAATCAGATAAGTCATTCCAGCTTTCCAGGAAGAAAGTGACTAAGGGATGGAAATTGGTCCAGTTATGTACTTAAGGAGACTACCACCTCGTAGAAACCTGGATGGGGAAAATATATTCCCTTTGAATACTCATTTCAAACCCTCTGATAAGAAATTAGTTAACATTCACTTGTGAGTTTATTGGCAATATCACATAAGGCCTCCATTATTATTATTAATGTTTATTTTAATGTTTAATTTTAAGATTTTTTAAAATGCACTTAATTAAAAAAATTCAAAGCTATTTGTAGATAATACTTATATTCAAAGCACTATAAAAAAGGAAACTGCTTTTATTAGTTTCTTGTTATCCTCTCCTAATTCCACTTCTCAGCAAATAAGCAAATACAAATTTGTAATTATGTTTTTCCCCTTTCTTACACACTGTTTTGTGTTTTTCTTCATAATGGTTTCTTAGTTGCATTTTTGATGACCTGATGTAATAATGCCAAAAAAATCCATAAGTGAATAATTGCTTCATTTTATGGTAAAAATAGACTTGTTTGAGTGACCAATAAAAGTTACTTCTAATACATTTAAATGACTACAAATATGCTACAAGCCTAAAATTATATTATAGTGTAATTATAGTTTAAGACTGAATAATAAACGCTACCATTTATTAAGTGCCAGGCACTTGCTAAACGCTGAACATATGCTGACTTACTGAATTCTCACGAAGACAAGAGAGTTAGAAGGGATATTATCTCATTTTCAAAAATGGGGAAACAAAACTAGAGAAGTAGTTTGCATAAGTTCTTTGTTATACGTGTGTGTGCGTACATACATACATGAATTTTTACAGATACTGAGTCTATAGTCTGAACTCTTAACTATTATGCTATCCCCTTATGGGAAATTGCTAGTAAACCAGGAGAGTCATGTTCTCAATAAACTAAGAAGCTCAACTCTAGCAGACACTTAAGAAGCCCTTTAAGATAGGAGACTTCCATTCGAAAACCGGATTCTAACATAACTATATTTCTTTCGCAGAAAAAGAAGTTACCTAAATAAAAAACTTGAAGAAACTCACACAACTCTTTGTCTTTGCTTTTTCCTAGCCAGGATAAAGTGGGACCCCTCTGATCCTCAAATAATATCTGAAGGTCTTTATGCAATTGCTGTAGTTTTAAGTTTCTCTAGGATAGCTTATATTTTACCAGCAAATGAAAGCTTTGGACCTCTGCAGATATCACTTGGAAGAACAGTCAAAGACATCTTCAAGTTCATGGTCATATTCATTATGGTGTTTGTGGCCTTTATGATTGGAATGTTCAATCTCTACTCCTACTACATTGGTGCAAAACAAAATGAAGCCTTCACAACGTATGTGATCTCAGATATTTTGATGATAGTTATTGCAAATTAAATAAATATTAGTTTAACAGCGTTTATGTAAGTCCATGGGATAATGTTTTGGTAAAGACTTCATCTCTAGTTCCTGTTTTGCAAAATGAGGGGATTTTACAAATGAGTTGGAGGGACTCTAAAATATAGGAAGCTTTCTAATATTAAATAATAACTTACATTTTTAGAGCCAGGTAAATACCTTGCATGCCTCCCTTTATTATCTCTATTTCACCAAGAGGCAACTGAAATTCACAAAAATTAAGTAATTTGCTGAATATTCCATAGCTGTGTGTGGAACAAGCCAGGCTGTAACCCTTGCTTGCTGACTCTAGGGTCTGTTGCTCTAAACTCCCTTACCCTCCTGCTTACAGGGGACTCACTCCTGGGGATGCTAACTATGAAAACAGCTACTTTCCTAATTGAATTTCTCAGATCTTATCACTGAGTAGATATGACTTATCAATAGTGGCAAGAGTTTTGACTTATGTTCACCATGGACACGTGTTTTTTTTTTCATAAAGTGTGTTTGGAATAGATTATTTAAATATTAGGTCTTCAGTGTTATAATAAGAAGCAACAACTGAAATGTAAGCCTACTGTTTTCCATATTTCTCTAAAATACAGTTTGCCAGGGAAGTGAAACCACCTGAGTTAAGCAAACTGGCTTAGCTTTGGTCAATAATTAGGCCTAAAGCATTGAAATTCCTACCTAAGACATGTCAGTGATTTTGGTAACATTGTCTGTTTATATTGTATTTTCCATTAAGATGTATATGATTATTATCTATTGGATATGAGTAGAAGTATAGATCAGGAGGAAACCTAAAAGGATTCTAACAATTCCATTGCCAACGCTATGGATTAAGTGTTCATATCTGTGGTTATGAAATTATGTTAATAGCATTTATTGAGTGCTTATGTATTTAGATATTGAGCTATGATTATGTACTTCATATGCACAATATTACCCCATCCTTGCAGCAATCCTATTGTAACCATTTTACAGAAAAGAAAAGTGAGCTTCAGAGAAGTGAAGAATTTTTTTTATACTCACTAATTTGCAGACACTAAACAAACTCACTTTTATTATGGTAATATTGTTATTTATTTATACACTTTCTTATTTCTTTTCTTCTGTTATTTTTTCCCCAGAGTTGAAGAGAGTTTTAAGACACTGTTCTGGGCTATATTTGGACTTTCTGAAGTGAAATCAGTGGTCATCAACTATAACCACAAATTCATTGAAAACATTGGTTACGTTCTTTATGGAGTCTATAATGTTACGATGGTCATTGTTTTGCTAAATATGTTAATTGCCATGATCAACAGTTCATTCCAGGAAATTGAGGTATAATCTCAATACATTTTTATAATTTGTGCCTTCATGTTTTAACTATTCCAAGGGCTAACTCAGCAATGGGGATGAAAGCATGGACTGCTCTTCGCCCTTTGTTCATTCCCTGTTTTATACACTCGTTTGACCAGTAATCTGGAAAATTTTAACTCTTTGCTTCCAAATGCAACATCAGTAAGGTGTCATGGGGCAGAGACGTAAGGCATAAGAAGCAGAAATGCTGATTTGATACTAATTTAATAAAAAACTTTAGAAATACTATATCAGCATGAATTTATATTTTATTCAAAAAATTATTGCTTATGAATACCATCATTCTCCAAGTCTTTTTTGAGTGATATTCAAAAT
Source organism: Homo sapiens (assembly GCF_000001405.40). Classification (NCBI taxonomy): domain Eukaryota; kingdom Metazoa; phylum Chordata; class Mammalia; order Primates; family Hominidae; genus Homo; species Homo sapiens. Next base: position 101,471,782 of record NC_000011.10, on the reverse strand, counting down.
TGACCTTTTCTCAAGTTGAGATTAATAGTGTAAATTTTTATTCCAGAAATCTTGATCTGTGTCCCAAATAAATGAGTGGTATATTTCAGAATAAAAGAGAGAATAATTTTTCATAGCATTTTTCAGAAAGTAGGAAAATACATTTATATCTATCAGGTATTTATAAACACATGGGAACTTGGAGATTAATAGTCTTGCAAGACTGTCAAAATTTTAGACAAATTTAAGAAAGAATATGTGAATAGAATGTTAACATTTTGAAAAAATCTTGGAACGATCACTGGGGTCTGAGAGTGTTTATAGGCATTGTCCTCCATCTAGCTACACAATGTTAAAAGCATCCCAGTAATTCTGTTTATGCATTTCCTTGCTGAACTGTCATGTGTATTTGTATAGGATGACGCTGATGTGGAGTGGAAATTTGCAAGGGCCAAACTCTGGTTTTCCTACTTTGAGGAGGGCAGAACACTTCCTGTACCCTTCAATCTGGTGCCGAGTCCAAAGTCCCTGTTTTATCTCTTACTGAAGCTTAAAAAATGGATTTCTGAGCTGTTCCAGGGCCATAAAAAAGGTTTCCAGGAAGATGCAGAGATGAACAAGGTAACTTAGCTTGATAAGTTATCATTGTATTCTTAAATTTTGTGACTACTGTAACCACTATGCCACATCCCTTTAAAGAGAAGCAGTTCCTGATGACACATCCATTCATTCCCATATGCAGTCACTTCACACAGCACAGTCCTTTGGCTTGTGTCTGTTCAACATGAGCACACTGGACATTTCCTACTTAAAAGAATGTAAGAAAAATTCATGAAATATAACTAAAATAATATGTTATCTGGAGTGGGTACTGAAAGAAGAACTATTCTGGGCTGCTTTTTTGCTGTTATGGCTACATGTCCCTCACTTTTCCTACAATTTATACAGCCCAGTAAATCGGCAGCAGCTTGTTATGACTCGGGGAGGGGGGGGGGGCGGGGCAACTTGATTAACTCTTAGATAGCTTCTACATTGAAAAGTTCAGAAATCAGTTGCTCACATAGAATTTGGGAGACCAGGCTTGGCAATAAGTAGTTCAAGAAAGAAAGAGCTAAGGACATTGATTGAAAACAGTAATCCCACAAGGTGATGCAATCTTTAAAAAAAATAAAAAGATTTAGTGCTTAGATGAGGCAGTAGGGCGATCACAGCATGTTCAGATATGTTTAGAGAACATGTGGAATTTGTGTCTCACTGGAGGTGGAAGGTGAGGGCTTATGCTATGCAAAGATCTCTGCTGAGCATTTAGACCTCTGTACTCAGAAGGAGCACTGAGATACCAGGTGTATCCAGAGGAGGAGGACCAGAATGGAACACATATGGATAAAGTGTCATATGAGGGAGGACTGAAGGAGCTGGCTGTTTCTTCTGAAAAAGGAAGATTGAAAGTGACTAAAAATATCTTTGTAATTTCCATCTTTAATTAGGAAGTACACTTGTTTTTCAAAAATGGGAAGAAAAGCAATGGGCCAAAAATTCAAATTGTTAAATTTTAATTCGATATAAGAGCAAACTTTTAATAAGAAAATCTGCCCAACAGAAGAATGGGCTGCCTTTAGAAGTAGTGAGCCTCCCACCATTGTAAGAAGTCAATAAATGCCAGATGGCTGACAGTGGGAATGTATTGAAGATTTTTCCTTCTTACACTGAGTGGGCAATTGGGCCAAATGATTATAAAGTTTCCTTGCAATAAGATTCTATCATTAAATAAAAGGAAAATGTTGTAATTCCTGCACTGTTTCCCATTTACTATTTAGGGTGCTCAAGTAAGTAGCACATTCTCTGAGTTCTAGTTTCCTCAACTGTAATATGTGAAAAAAATTATATCTACATCCTGAAGATCAACTCAAATAAGTATATAAAAGTACTTTGAGAATTTTAAAGCTTTCTTTAAATGTGATTATGATTAATTTGTGTAGGAATTTTGGAAAAAATACAATCTATGATATTCTTCCAGAAGTATAACTTACAGAACTCAGTGGATTGAGTGGCAAAAATTTCCCTTCCTTTATTTTACTTAATTAAATGGGTGGTTTACAGGTCTGGTTAGAACTGCAACCTGAGGGAATTCAGAGTCCAAAGGAAATGTCTAAGCAAGCACTTGCAAAGGGAAGAACCCCGTAAGAATATGTTTCTCTCATTAAAACTTGTTGGAGAATTAGACGAAATGGCTTTTAAAATACAGAATGAAGAGTGAAATTGGTTATGCAGTTATACTCATTTTACTATCTATCTTTAAAAGATAAATGAAGAAAAGAAACTTGGAATTTTAGGAAGTCATGAAGACCTTTCAAAATTATCACTTGACAAAAAACAGGTAAGCTCATATTTGAAAATATGAAGTCATGCACATGATCGGGCTTATCTTTTCAAAGAAAGGGACAGATGTTCAGAAGCAATTTTAGCAAGTAGAGAACAGACCCATTAAATAATTCAACTATTTTAACAAATCTCAACAATTCTGTTATTGAGAGGTAGAAATAAGCTATGTTTGATAAGCAAAAAAGAATAGCATGTACATTTAAGACATATACTAAGCACATATATATACTTATGGTGATGGAATAGAAGACTGGTGATATAAAGAAGGGAATATTCTGTCAGGAACCTGATGGAGGGTATGATTAACTTCACTCTTTGCAGCTCAGGTAGAGAGCAGGCATGGTCCCCAGTGCCTCCTAATTTGTCAATAATCAAGAAGCGATGGAAAAAGGCACTGTGGGACCTTAATGGCTATTGTGGTCGACACCGTGTATAATGAACAATGTACTCTAGAGATCTATCAGCTCCTTCACTGAGAGTAGCAAAATCCTCAACGATGAGGATGTTTCCTTTTTTGTGGCCTGTACATAGTAGGGCCACAATAAATGCTTGTTGCTGAAAAGAAATGATAAAGGAATGATTAGGAAAAGGGCAATGTATCAGGTAAGACCTGCATCCAATTACACATAGTAATATAAAATCCAAATCATGGTGGTTTAAACAAGACATTTGCTTTTCCCCTGTCTCATTTAACTCCCCAGATTTATGCAGTATGGGGCTGTTACCAGGCAGGAGTTTCTGTGATTCTCCTGGATTTTTTGTCATAGTCAGATTCAAGAGGACAGCTTTACTTTCAGCTATTATACCCACTTTTCAGGCATGTAGGAGTAAGGGCAAAGGAAAAGTCGGGGATGCTAGCTGAATCTGCCACCACCTTTAGAAGAATCTCCCAACAATTTCTGTTGTTATATCTCATTGACCAGAACTATGATATATGGCTATCCCATGGAATACAAATGACAAGGAGGGAGACCATTTTTTTGTTAAGCTGGTTATGTTACCTCCCCCAACAACATAGGAATCCTCTTAAGGCCTATCTGATATCCAACCTCCCAGCTTCCTTTCTAACCATCCCTTCCACTAGCATGTCAACCATCGCCCATTACAAATCAGAAAACAAAGGAGAGCTTTAGGTAAGGGGAACCCTAAGCCATTAGCCCTAGTTAAGATTAGGAATTTTGATTGGGAAGAAATTCCAAAAAACAATATTACAGGTGAGAAGGGCTGCAGTGGGAGGTAACATGTGGATGAGAGACCTGTGCATGAATTCTGTGAGCCCTGCCACAGCAATGGGGCCGCATGGGCTGAGAGTAAGACAGCAAGAAGGCAAGTGGAAATCGTCCCTGGTCATCCAAGAGAGTCAGCAGATTAGGGTCATTGCAAATTGGCACATTCTTGCTGTTCAGACAAGTTTTGTTTGGCTTGCCTATCCAGGTGAATCTAGATTGCATTTAAAAATGATTCCAATAAAGGAAATTTAAGAAATGGAAAATAAGGTATTTAACAGAGCTACAAAGTCATTTCACTCTAGAAAGGATAGTTCAGTGGTTAGGAGGCTAGTGTATGGGGGTCAACAAGCCATAGCCCTCAGGCCACATTTAGTCTTCAGCCTGTTTTCAGACTGAGAGTTAGATATTTAAAAAAAATTACATTTCTAAATAGTTGTTGTGAAAAAAATAAGGATATGTGAGAGAGACCATATGTGGCCCACAAGTCCTAAAATATTTATTATCTGGCTCTTTACAGAAGAAGCCTACCACCCATGTTCTCATAATGATGGTTATCATGAATAGAATACATAGGAAACACGGAATTAAGTTCAAATATTTTGTGAGCAATTTCTGCCATTCTAATGCATGCCTGTGTGTGTTGTACTTAAAATGTTGTCTCATTAAGACTCTTTACTTGTTCACAGGATGTAGGCAGTAATCACACCAACATCCAAATGTTCTTTTGAATATTAAATTACTTAATACTATAAAGTTCTGACAACAGGGCCTGGCACATAGTGGGTATGTAATAGCTATTTATTATTTTTATTGCTATTACTAGAGAGCAGGAAGAGTAAGTATACTACATAATTTGGTAGTGATATTAATCCAGTGAGGACAGAGAAATAATACTAGGCCTAAAAGCCCTATAAAAAGAATGCAAAAAATAAAGAAGGGGTCCAGTTAAAAATCATAAATGGGCATATCTAGAAAAAAATAACTTGAAATAAATGAAGTAGTGAGTGGAAGAAACAAAAACAGGATTGCTGGCAAGATGGCCGAATAGGAACAGCTCTGGTCTGCAGCTCCCAGCAAGATCGACGCAGAAGGCAGGTGATTTCTGCATTTCCAACTGAGGTACCCAGTTCATCTCATAGGGACTGGCTGGACAGTGGGTGCAGGCCACAGAAGGCGAGCTGAAGCAGGGTGGGGCATCGCAAGGGGTTGGGGAATTTCTCCCCCACCCAAGGGAAGCCATGAGGGACTGAGCCTGAGGAACCGTGCATTCTGACCCAGATACTGTGCTTTTCCCATGGTCTTTGCAACTCACAGACCAGGAGATTCCCTCTGGTGCCTACTCCACCAGGGCCCTGGGTTTCAAGCACAAAACTGGGCGGCTGTTTGGGCAGACACTGAACTAGCTGCAGGAGTTTTTTTTGTTTGTTTGTTTTTTCCCCATACCCCAGTGGTGCCTGGAATACCAGTGAGACAGAACCATTCACTCCCCTGGAAAGGGGGCTGAAGCCAGGGAGACAAGTGGTCTGGCTCGGTGGGTCCCACCCCCACGGAGCCCAGCAAACTAAGATCCCCTGGCTTGAAATTATCGCTGCCAGCACAGCAGTGGTCTGAGATCAACCTGGAATGCTTGAGCTTGGTGGGGGCAGGGCCATCCACTATTGCTGAGGCTTGAGTAGGCAGTTTTACCCACACAGTGTAAACAAAACGGCCAGGAAGTTCAAACTGGGCAGAGCCCACTGCAGCTCAGCAAGGCCACTGTGGCCAGACTGCCAGATTTCTCCTCTCTGGGCAGCAGATCTCTGAAAGAAAGGCAGTAGCCCCAGTCAGGGACTTACAGATAAAACCCTCATCTCCCTGGGACAGAGCACCTGGGGGAAGGGGCGGCTGTGGGCACAGCTTCAGCAGACTTAAACATCCCTGCCTGGCGGCTCTGAAAAGAGCAGCGGATCTACCAGCACAGTGTTTGAGCTCTGCTAAGGATCAGACTGCCTCTTCAAGTGGGTCCCTGACCCCTGTGTATCCTGGAAGGTGCCCCTTTGGGACGAAGATTCAAGAGGAAAGAACAGGCAGCAATCTTTGCTGTTCTGCAGCCTCTGCTGGTGATACCCAGGCAAACAGGGTCTGGAGTGGACCTCCAGCAGACTTGTAGCAGAGGGGCCTGACGATTAGAAGGAAAACTAACAAAGGAATAGCACGTCCACTCAAGAGACCCCATCAGAGGTCACCAACATCAAAGACGAAAGGTAGATAAATCCACAAAGATGGTGAGAAACAAGATGGTGAGAAACCAGTGCAAAAAGGCTGAAAATTCCAAAAACCAGAATGCCTCTTCACCTCCAAAGGATCACAACTCCCCACCACCAAGGGAACAAAACCAGACGGAGAATGAGTTTGACAAATTGACAGGAGTAGGCTTCAGAAGGTGGGTAATAACAAACTCCTCTGAGCTAAAAGAACATATTCTCACCTGGTGCGAAAAAACTAAGAACCTTGAAAAAAGGTTAGAGAAAGTTCTAACTAGAATAACCAGTTTAAAGAAGAACATATATGACCTGATGGAGCTGAAAAACACAGCACGAAAACTTTGTGAAGCATACACAAGTATCAACAGATAAATCGAACAAGCCAAAGAAAGGATATCAGAGATTGAAGATCAACTTACTGAAATAAAACATGAAAACAAGATTAGAAAAAAAAGAATGAAAAGGAATGAACAAAGCCTCCAAGAAATATGGGACTACGTGGAAAGACCAAACCTACATTAGATTAGTGTACCAGAAGGTGACGGGGAGAATGGAACCAAATAGGAAGACACTCTTCAGGATATTATCCAGGAGAAATTCCCCAACCCAGTAAGACAGGCCAACATTCAAATTCAGGAAATACAAAGACCACCACAAAGATACTCCTTGAGAAGAGCAACCCCAAGACACATAATCATCAGATTCACCAAGGTTGAAATGAAGGAAAAAACTTAAGGGCAGCCAGAGAGAAAGATTGGGTTACCCACAAAGGCAAGCCCATCAGACTAACAGCAGATCTCTCTGCAGAAACCCTACAAGCCAGAAGAGAGTGGGGACCAATATTCAACATCCTTAAAGAAAATAATTTGCAACCCAGAATTTCATAACCAAACTAAGCTTCACAAGTGAAGGAGAAATAAAATCCTTTACAGACAAGCAAATGCTGAGAGATTTTGTCACCACCAGGCCTGCCTTACAAGAGTTCCTGAAGGAAGCACTAAGTATGGAAAGGAAAAACCGGTACAAGCTGCTGCAAAAACATACCAAATTGTAAAGACCATCGACACTATGAAGAAACTACATCAACTAACAGGCACAATAACCAGCTAGTATCATAATGACAGGATCAAATTCACGTATAACAATATTAACCTTAAATGTAAACAGGCTAAATGCCCCAATTAAAAGACACAGACTGGCATATTGGCTAAAGAGTCAAGACCCATCAGCATGCTGTATTCAGGAGACCCATCTCACATGCAAAGACACACATAGGCTCAAAATAAAGGGATGGAGGAATATTTACCAAGCAAATGGAAAGCAAGAAAAAAAAAGCAGGTGTTGCAATCCTAGTCTCTGATAAAGCAGACTTTAAACCAACAAAGAACAAAAGACAATGAAGGGCATTACATAATGGTAAAGGGATCAATGCAACAAGAGACCTAACTATCCTAAATATACATGCACTCAATACAGGAGCACCCAGATTCATAAACCAAGTTCTTAGAGGCCTACAAAGAGACTCAGACTCCCACACAATAATAGTGAGAGACTCTAACATCCCAATCTCAATATTAGACAGATCAACAAGACAGAAAATTAAAGATATTAGGGACTTCAACTCAGCTCTGCACCAAGCAGACCTAATAGACATCTACAGAACTCTCCACCCCAAATCAACAGAATATACATTCTTCTCAGCACCACATTGCACTTATTCTAAAACTGACCACGTAATTGGAAGTAAAACACTCCTCAGCAAATGCAAAAGAACAGAAATCATAAAAAATGGTCTCTCAGACCACAGTGCAGTCAAATTAAGAAATTAACTCAAAACCGCACAACTACATAGAAACTGAACAACCTGCTCCTGAATGACTACTGGGTAAACAATGAAATGAAGGCAGAAATAAAGATGTCCTTTGAAACCAATGAGAACAAAGACACAAGGTACTAGAATCTATGGGAAACATTTAAAACAGTGTTTAGAGGGAAATTTATAGCACTAAATGCCCACAAGAGAAGGCAGGAATGATCTAAAATTGACACCCTAACATCAAAATTAGAAGAACTAGAGAAACAAGAGCAAACAAATTCAAAAGCTAGTAGAATACAAGAAATAACTAAGATCAGAGCAGAACTGAAGGAGCTAGAGACACTAAAAACCCTTCAAAAAAATCAGTGAATGCAGGAGCTGGTTTTTTGAAAGGATCAACAAAATAGACCACTAGCCAGGCTAATAAAGAAGAAAAGAGAGAAGAATCAAATAGATGCAATAAAAAATGATATAGGGGATATCACCACTGATCCCACAGAAATACAAACTGCCATCAGAGAATACTATAAACACCTCTACACAAATAAGCTAGAAAATCTAGAAGAAATGGATAAATTCCTGGACACATACACCCTCTCAAGACTAAACCAGGAAGAAGTTGAATCCCTGAATAGACCAATAACAAGTTCTGGAATTGAGGCAGTAATAATAGCGTACCAACCAAAAAAAGTCCAGGACCAGATAGATTCATAGCCAGATTCTACCAGAGGTACAAAGAGGAGCTGGTACCATTCCTTCTGAAACTATTCCAAACAATAGAAAAAGAGGGAATGCTCCCTAACTCATTTTATGAGGTCAGCATCATCCTGTTACAAAAACCTAGCAGAGACGCAACAGAAAAAGAAAATTTCAGGCCAATATCCCTGACGAACATTGATGAGAAAATCCTCAATAAAATACTGGCAAACCGAATCCAGCAGCACATCAAAAAGCTTATCCACCATGATCAAGCCGGCTTCATCCCTGGGATGCAAGGCTGGTTCAACATACGCAAATCGATAAACGTAATCCATCACGTAAACAGAACCAATGACAAAAACCACATGATTATCTCAATAGATGCAGAAAAGGCCTTCAACAAAACTCAATAGTGCTTCATGCTAAAAACTCTCAATAAACTAGGTATTGATGGGACGTATCTTAAAATAATAAGAGCTATTCATGACAAACCCACAGCCAATATCATACTGAATGGGCAAAAACTGGAACCATTCCCTTTGAAAATCGGCACAAGAGAAGGATGTCCTCCCTCACCACTCCTATTTAACGTAGTATTGGAAGTTCTGGCAAGGGGATTCAGGCAAGAGAAAGAAAGAAAGGGTATTCAAATAGGAAAAGAGGAAGTCAAATTATCTCTGTTTGTAGATGACATGATTGTGTATTTAGAAAGCCTCATCATCTCAACCCAAAATCTCCTTATAAGCAGATAAGCAACTTCAGCGAAGTCTCAGGATACAAAATCAATGTGCACAAATCACAAGCATTCCTATACACCCATAACAGACAGAGAGCCAAATCATGAGTGAACTCCCATTCACAATTGCTACAAAGAGAATAAAATACCTAGGAATGCAACTTACAAGGGATGTGAAGGACCTCTTCAAGGAGAACTACAAACCACTGCTCAAGGAAATAAGAGACGACTTAAACAAATGGAAAATCGTTCCACGCTCATGGATAGGAAGAATCAATATCATGAAAATGGCCATACTGCCCAAAGTAATTTACAGATTCAATGCTATCCTCGTCAAGCTACCACTGACTTTCTTCACTGAATTGGAAAAAACTACTTTAAACTTCAAAGGGAACCAAGAGAGTCCACATAGCCTAGACAATCCTAAGCAAAAAGAACAAAGCTGGAGGCATCACGCTCCTGACTTCAAACTATACTACAAGGCTACAGTAACCAAACAGCATGGTACTGGTACCAAAACAGATACATAGACCAATGGAACAGAACAGAGGCCTCAGAAATAACACCACACATCTACAACCATCTGATCTTTGATAAACCTGACAAAAACAAGCAATGGGGAAAGGATTCCCTATTTAATGGTGATGGGAAAACTGGCTAGCCATACGCAGAAAACTGAAACTGGACCCCAAGTGAGTTTCCTCACTTGTCATTACTACAGCCTCAAAGGGTCATTAAATTAATGAAATAACATACCTAGCAAGGAACATGGTAGGAAGTATATTTTGCTACTCACATGCCCGTTTCTTCCTCCCATTCCTCTTCCTTGGTGAAATCATGTTGGTCATGGTGTGTTAACCAATCTCCCAGACCAGGAAGAGGCAAACTAACTGATGAAGGTGTGGGTTCTGGAAGATAGAGCCCATGTCTTAGTTTAACTCTGATCCTTAATACTTCTATAGTTTTGGTACCTGCAAATGTCTGTGGAAAGAAAGAATGCGTGAATGTACAGAAGGAAAGGTGTACAGACAGAAAGATAAAGGGGAAAATGTTACTGAAAGAATATGAAATAGCTTACCTCCAAAAGGTATTCAACTCAAAACGTTTTATTTTTATTTCATTTTAGTTTTTGAGACAGGGTCTCTATCACCCAGGCTGGAGTGCACTGGTGCCATCATGGCTTGCTGCAGCCTGGACCTCCCAGGCTCAGGTGATCCTCCCACCTCAACCTCCCAAATAGCTGGGAGTGCAGGTGAGCACCACCACGCCTGGCTAATTTTTAGTATTTTCTGTAGAGATGGGGTTTCGCCATGTTGCCCAGGCTAGTGTTGAACTCAAACTCCTGGACTCAAGTGATCCACCTACCTCAGCCTCCCAAAGTGCTGGGATTACAGGCATCAGCCACCGTGCCTGGCCCAAACAATTTTATAATTTGCTAGGACATTTTAGTAAATTCTTTTGTTTGTGTGAAGTAAATTATCTGCACATATCACATAAGAAAACTGGAGTAAGGTGAAATGATTTAATTTCTCAAAGCCTTCCCTAGTTAGTGGATATATTCAGAAAAGAATTCAGTCATTCCTGGTGACATATTGTGTGGTCCCAATCATTTTTAACATGTGTACCAAGCACTATATAATTAAGTCTATCTTACCAGTTTAACTTCACTCTATGTATTTTAAATATTGAAATGCTTAAAGGAAAAAGAAAGGGGTGACATTTCAGCTAGTAATGTTATTGTTGTGTTATAATTGACAATATGGCCCATTATGTTTTCTTACGGATAAGAGGTTATGAATTATTAGTCTCAAGAATAACAGTGTCCCTCTCCAAAACCTAAATATTCATAGCAACCCTTGGGGTTGACATATACAGGCAACTGACTTCTTTTTTATATTTATTTTCATTGTTATAAAATATATATAGCATAAAATTTACCATTTTAACCATTTTTAAGCATATAGTTCAGGAGCATTAAGTGCATTCACAATGCAGACTTCTGATTCTTAATTGAATATTCCAAGGAGATGGTTATGGCTCTTTTCCTTTCCACCTAACTCCCATTTATGATCTACAAAATGTGTGATATGACAAAATTGTTTTACAGTTTTGCAAAGGGCATTTCAATTAAATATCACACACATACACAGTCCACCCTCCATGTCCATATGTTCTGCATTCACAGATTCAACCAACTACAGGTCAAAAATATTAAATAAAAACATCAAAAATAATATGATCATAAGAATAATACAAATTTAAAAAACAGTAGAGTATAACAATATTTATCAGTTACATAAAATTATATCGAGCATTGTAAGTACTAGAGATGATTTAAGTTATACCAGTGGCTATGAGTAAGTAAGTTATATGGAAATAGTACACCATTTTTTATAAGGGGTCTGGGCATCAGTGGATTTTGGTGTGCTCAGAAGGAGGGTCTTGGAACCAATCCCCCATGGATACCAAGGGGTACATGTACTGACTTCATATAATATACAGTTGACTACGTATAACATATATAATGGATTAATATGAAGATATAAAATTCACCATGTTTGATCAATATTTTATATTCACTGCTTTTCCTTCCTTATCAAAACTGCACTTTGGAAATTGATAGAGTAACAGTATTGAACTAAGTACTCAGAAGATTGAGATCTTATAATAAGTGTACATCTCTGCCCCTTCAGCAATTCATTTAACTTCTCTGAACCTTAGTTTCCTCATCTATAAAACAGAAATAATCAAGTTGTACAACCCATCACACAAGCATATTGGAAAGATTAAATTGGTACTTTGAAAATCGTAAACACTACGCAAATGTAATATACTCATATTATAAAGAAATGGCTCTTGTTGTTATTTGGTTTTAAAAATCTCAATAAATTTTTTGCAAAGATAGGTCAGTGTAATTGGCTCTTATATTTTTCCAGTAAGAAAATACTCATCCTGAAAGCATGAAGGATGTATAATAAGTCACTGGACAGATAAGAGAAAAATTAAAATAAAATCAAAATGCCTTTTCTTTATGATAGAAAATATGGTATCTATCAAATGAAATAATTTTATTTTCCCTGTAGCTTCTCTAAAAATGTGGAAAATTAAAATTTAACCATCAGCAAAATGTATATTATATATTGTAAATGAGAGTTACACTTTTCAATAACACATATTTTAATCATAGCTTAAAACAAACTGTTTAGTATTTTAGAAATACTAAACCTGTGATGTCTGACCTCAGTTGTGAAGTCTGGAATAAAATGTTGATTCCACTGTCAGTTTAACAATCTAGAGAGCCTTTTGTGTAAGTGTGTCTTCTGGCAGCTACAGAGATGTGCCGTTCCCTGTTGGGCTGACTGACTTTCCCAGACAATCGTCTTACCTCTCCCCCTTTCACAGGTGAGCAGAGCCTCACAGTGGAGAGGATTTCTCCGCCTTCTCCCGTTCCACTTCCCTTTATCTCTCATAGGTATAATCCTGGGTACATCTCATACTTCCAACTCAGTCTTGGCATTTGATTCTTGGAGGCTTAAATCAACACAAGTATCTCTTTTCCCCTGCCATATGAGCTTGTGGTGAACAAAACTTGAGACACATTTCACATGGCTTGGTTTTACGACATACATTAAACTGTATTCCTGAGAAGATTTTTTAAGGCAATCATTTATATTTCAAATAATTTTTGCCCATTGCTAATGAGATGGTTTGGCCCTAGTGTATGCATACTAAGAAAAACTCTCATGGTTCATTCTTTCCTACCCAACTCATATGGCTTATGCTTAATCTTTTTCATAACATCTATATCTAAGATGGTAAGTGAATTTCTGATTCACTCAGGTCTTCTCTCTCTGACCTCTTGAATTTTAAAGTATTTAGTTAGCTGCACAAACACTGCCTTCACATCTGCTCCAGGTGCACCATAGATGTCAGTAGGATGAACCATATATAAAAATACATTTTGAAACAAGGTAAGCATACTTATTCATTATCTCTGACCGTATCCTTTAACTCTAAAGGTCACTGACTGGTGGTTGCTAGCATTAGCTTTTCAGATAATAAGCAGACCTATTCATTATCTTCAGTCATATCCTTTAACTCTAAAGGTCACTGAGTTTGGTGGTTGCTAGCATTAGCTGTTCAGATGTACAGTCTGAAAGGATAGCATAAATTAAAAGTTGATCTCTTCCATAGTCTATTACATGTGTAAACCTCAAAATGCCAGATAACTTCTTGAATAACTGCCCTGTTCCACCTTCTGAACAGATCACATTCCAGTTGTCGTCTTAGGGCAGGTTTTTAAACCATGTAGGGTAGAGCTTAGGAGGTTATAATGCTCATCTGAATGCGTGAATCACTGACTATTTCATTCCCTGAAGGACTTAGTCATGGACTTGGGCACATCAGTAAAAAGTAATATTTGGCAAAATATCTCTAGGATGAATTGACTACAGACAGTCCCAGACTTACCGGAGTTCAACTTCATGATTTTTCACCTTTATGATGGTGTGAAAGCAATATGTGTTCAGTAGAAACTGTACTTCAAAGTTTGAATGTTGATTCAAATTTTGTATAATAACTTTAATATAAAATAGGTTTTGTGCTAGATGCTTTTGCCCAACTGTAAGCTAAGGAAAGTGTTCTGAGTATGGTTAAGGTCAGCTAGGCTAAGTTATGATGTTCAGTAGTTAGGTGTATTAAGTGCATTTTCAACTTACTTACAATGGATTTATCATGACGTAACCCCATCATAAGTAAAGGGGTATGTGTAGATTAAAGTTAACCATGAAATAGACCTAAAGCCACATAGTAGATATTTATCTTTCTGTAAAATAATAGCTCTTGACAATTATAGAATGTCCAGTGTATTTCAAACTATATATTCTCTATACCCCATCTCTTTAATTCTTGCAATAGCTCTGGAAGGTAGGTAATATTATTTTCCCTATTCTGTATCTGAGGATCCCAAGGATATAGAGGTGAAATGATTTGCCTCAAGTCCCATTTCAAACAAGTGACAGAGCCTGAATTTGAACCAACATCCACTTGATTCAGAGCAATATGTTTATAAGCACTGTATAACACAGCTTCATTTCATATCTGCATTCACTGCTGACTGAATATATTGTCCATACCTTTTCAGTTCATTGCTCTGTTCCCAGCTGCAGGACATTTACTGCTTGTGGGAAATAGGTGACTCCATGAACTGTTCCTGTATCCAGCAATATAAGAAACTTTAAAGACTTAAAATTACTTGTTCTTTTTAACGAATTAGAAACAAGTTATTAGTATTGCTCACTCTAATCCTAAAATGAACCTACAAGATGAGAAATGTTAATATCAAACTAATTATTAGGAAATGAAAAAGAAAATGAATAAAGAATGCATAAAATGTGGTAGAAGGTATTAACAAAGGGGGCAGGCAGTGGTTCATTCAGAATTGGAGAGAGTGTTTATTTCCATATTAGGAACAAAGCTTGCATCCAGTCCTTCTTGCTTGTAGTCAACAAGCTTCCCACTTCCAACCTCTATGACAGTATACATGTTGGCACCATCTATAAATACCCAAATCCCTAAGCTTTAAATACTATTCAATTTTCAAATTGAATTTTCTTTTATGTACAAACGTGTTGCAGACTTGGATTTCCAGACATTAAATAATTGTACATGGAAACAATTATATATTAGGATTTTCTGCCACCAAGTGGTAATAATACTTCCTTGCACCATTGGATAGGTTTACTCTTCTCTGTATCATTAAGTTTTTTATGAAATATTTACTGAATTTCTATGATGTATTAGAAACTGACTAGAATTTTTTTCTGAAAATAAAATATGTTATATATGCATCCAAAACTTGGTATTTAATACTTAGAAAAAAACTAGACCCATAAAAATGCTTCATGTGAGTTTATATTTAGTTTTATGCCATTTAACTATACCAGTGATTCTCACCCAGGGGTGATTGTGCCCTCCACTCCTAATCTGGTGCCTTTGATAATACCTACAGATATGTTTGGTTGGCACAATAGGGGGTGGTGGGAGCTGTGACTGGCATCTAGTCTGTAGATTAGAGGCCAGGGGTGCTGCTAAGCATTCCATAATGCACAGGAGACCACCTACACCAAAGAATTATCTAGCCCAAAATGTCAATGGTGAGTTAATGAATAGATGGTAAATAAATCAGAGACATGATGGTTATGAGCCTGCCCTTACCTGCATGCTTTATCATAATGGGCTTAGTGGGAGCTTCACACTGGTCTTCACCTTTTATGATGTTCTTAAGGCATAAATCATAGTTTCAAAGCCAGGGTTCCCATTATATTATTTAAGATGTTATGTGGAAGTTTTTATGCATTTCACAAATTCATAAATTAGTGGGGCTTGAATGATAGAAACTAGGTAGACCACTTCCTTCATTGTCAGACAAGGTTATAGAAAGTTGAAGCATCTTGCCTCTGTTCCATGGCTAGCTTGTGGCAAAGCCAGATGGTATTTATCCTTGAGGTTCCCTTCAAGTGCTCGTTTTGGGAACCTAAACTGCCTCTCTTTGGTTAATTTGATGAATTATGTAATTTATCAGAGTGGTTTTAAAATTCAGTATAAGTAAAATTATATGGACACTAAAATTTTTAGAGTGAGTAAAAGAAAAAGGAAATAATAGATACATGAAAAATGATGCTATTTTCAAATTTATATATTGTTTATTATTAATCTTATCAATCTTGCCATATTTTTCATAATTGAGCTGTTACCATAACTCAGCTATACCATAATTGCTTATGTTCATTTATACACAGAGCCTAGCACAGCACCTTACATTTTGAGGACCCTCAATATATACTTGAATATATAGATGAATGTCTGAGTAGCTGTTTTAATTCAGTATGTGGCTATTTAAAGTATCAAAGCAAAGCACTGAAGTGAATGCAAGGATTTTAATTCAGAAAATGCATTAAAGAGGTTTTAAATCATCCTCTTAGCATGTTAATAAGGTATGCTTTATTGCAGATTGCTTTAATTTTTTGTTATTTGCCTATTTGGGTTAATGTATTTTAATTTGAAAAGTGCTGCCCAAATGGGATAGTATACAGTACCTAAAATTCAAACATTAATTAGAGCTTTTTTTGAAACTGAATTCTGCTCCACCACAGTCTTACCCTGGTGTTTCTGCAGGATCCACATCAGACCCTGCTTCAGGTGTGGATGTCTTAGTTAATCAGGTGGCACTGTTGATCCCCCATCAATGGACTTCTGAGATCACCACCATTATTTCCTCAATTTGTTTGACTCTTTCTCTACCATGCATTCATCTGTGAGAAGGTTAACGCGTGATTCTCATGACAACGTGATTGGCAGCCACAAAGTCTAAGAGACTCCTCAGACAACCTCTAACAAACAGCCATTAACAAACTGAACACACCTAAAATGTCACTGATTTGTCTTGGAAGACAGAATACTAAGCAAGATAAATGGCACTATACATATAGATAATTTGTGTATGTAAGACTATTAGTTCATTAGATAACTAATCTCACTACTTTATTTAAAAGAAAATGTAAGTAGGAATCCATTTCTAAATCTTTTCAAATTACAGGTTGGGCACAATAAACAACCAAGTATAAGGAGCTCAGAAGATTTCCATCTAAATAGTTTCAATAATCCTCCAAGACAATATCAGGTAAGCATGGATTTTTAAAGGAATAAAACTAGTTACTTGTAATATTTAGGTTCTTGAACTATGTGATTCTTTAAAGTATCAGGATATTTTTCTCAATATCAAATAATGCATTAATTCAATAAATATTTATTAATTACCATGTACCAGGCATTTTGTAAGTGACAGAGATATATAAGTTAAAAAAAATAAAGTATTGGAATCACAGATCTGAAAGTCTCCATTAAAAAAGAGAGTGTTCATTGAAAAGGCAAACCTTACAAAAAACATAAAGACGACAGTAAAATTCATGTCAGATTCCACCAGTGAGAAACAAAGTCTGCTTGCTTTTGGTGAAAATTCTGCCAGATGATTATATGCCTATATGTGCATAATTTTACA
This sequence comes from Homo sapiens, assembly GCF_000001405.40. Taxonomy (NCBI): domain Eukaryota; kingdom Metazoa; phylum Chordata; class Mammalia; order Primates; family Hominidae; genus Homo; species Homo sapiens. Next base: position 101,454,639 of record NC_000011.10, on the reverse strand, counting down.
TATATTTTAATATTATTATAAAATGCATATATAATACTATATAAATCAGCTAATACTTATATAATGAGTAATAGTTTTTAGCTTGTGATTTTCTCTCCACAAAATATATATTCCTATTAATTTCAGTGAATGTATCATATTCCTTCATACAAATATATAATTTACTAAAAATAATTCCTTACTGATGAACATTTAAAGTTTCATTTTTGTCTATTATATAACTAGTTCTATGAACATACTTGTTAATGTACTAAATCATATCTTTAGAATAGATTCTTGAAGGTAGAGTTTTACTATCTACCATTTAACCTTGGCTTAGGTGTAAAATTTTATTTAGTTCTATATCCATCAAGACTTTCTGAGCACCCACTAAGACTCCTTCTTTTTATGAAAAATATATAATAAAAGCAATGTTTGCATGATAGAAGCCCAGGTACTTGAAAAATATATTACATTGAAACTAGCATTCCTAAATTAATAGAAAGTTTAAAATAAAAATTGGTTCCATTTTTTGGTGGGTCAGACGTGGGGCTTAAATGAGCAGACATTAGCTTAATTTCCCATTTCCACGAGCAGTAGTGTACATCTTTTACCTACCCCACTGAAAGACTGTCTTACTCTAATACTTTTCAAATAAAATACAAGCAATGGACATAAAGGATTTCATACTTGCTCTAAACATTCTTTTCTAAGAACTCACTTTTGAGTCATTAGCCTAGGTGATGTGAAAACTGCTTTAAAAAGGAAAGCAAAATGTAGAGATCGCCTGCATCCTGGCTGAATCATCTTAGTCCTTGACAGCCATCACTTCCAAAGGGCTCACTACAGGGAGGAAGACTCTGAAACTTGTTCCAAATGAGAGATTTGTCATGAACCTGAAACTGACATAGATTTCTCCTTTCTCTGTTTTCTAGAAAATAATGAAAAGGCTCATTAAAAGATATGTACTGCAGGCCCAGATAGATAAGGAGAGTGATGAAGTGAACGAAGGTGAGTTGAACGCAGAAGCAAATCAGCCCCTGAATGTGAGTCAGGACGGGGGCCTAGCGCAGAGTGCCTGGAGAGCTGCAGAGATGCGTACAGGGAGAGTGAACTTCAAGGGGAAAAGTAGAACAGGATCTCACCAACCGCCGTTCTGTTAAAGAGTGGGGAACAGGCTATGTCTCCACAGGCGGGGACAGGTGCCACTTGCTAGATAAAAAGCTCTCATTCTTATGGTGGACTTGGAGGGAGGAGGAAGTGGGTGGGAAAGGCAAGGAAGGGGCTGCTGCCTCAACCCCTGAATCATTCACCACCTTTTTGTTTTAACTTACTTTAGGAGGGCTTTTGTTATCATTCTGCTATAATCTCTTCATTCACAAAAACACTTAGCTAAGAAAACAAAAACCTGCTCAATTAGGAAGTTATTTCCTTTCAAAGGATTCAAAATAAAATTGTGTGTGAAATTAGAGCTGATTTCCTCCTGTCCCACAGTCACTAGTTTTTCCGCATTGCGTATTTATAGTTGACTTCTTATCACTCTTGCTTTCAAAGGGGAACTGAAGGAAATTAAGCAGGACATCTCAAGTCTCCGCTATGAACTCCTTGAAGAAAAATCTCAGAATACAGAAGACCTAGCAGAACTTATTAGAGAACTTGGAGAGAAATTATCCATGGAACCAAATCAAGAGGAAACCAATAGATAATGCGAAGACTTCCTTAGAAATTCATATTTATTTGTCCACTTGAAGCCATATTATTTTCTGATTTATTTTCTTAAGTGCCAATGGGCCCACCTTTTAAACAAGAAAACGTTAAATAACTTGGGCCATCCTATCATCTGGAGCCCTAGTATCTAATTTTTTTGGTGATTAAACTCCATTGTTCAGGGTAAAGGCTGTAGATAATGAGGAAAATTATGCCCAGTTGTTTGGTGCTTGTTTTATAAACTGCTTTCTTGGATATAACTAACTCTTGTGATGATGTCATTGCCATGTAGTGTCTGCCTGAAAATGGGTCCCAGCGGACAGGGGCTGACCCACGTTACTCCCCATGCGGTTTTTCCTCTGAAGTTTATTTCAGGTTCCTTCTTGCCTGCTCTGTGGATCCCCTGCTGGGGACTCCCAGCTCTGAAATTTGGGAAAAAGTAGCCCATGGGCCTTTAGAATGCTTTAATCCTTTCTTTAGAATGCTGTTTAAACACCATTTACCCTACTTATCCCTCAATGCACATGATTGATACCGTTCATACAAAATGGTCTTACATCTATGTAAAATTTTCTGATTCATCTATTTGAAAACATTACACTTAACAATGAAAAAAGTTTTTCCTCCACTGAACCCTGGAAACATGGTCCAGTTTTGTGTGTGTGCGTGTGTGTAAATGTGTACACACAGACATAAAGTACTTGCCCTAGTTTGTGGCTAATGTGGACACACAAAAGCTCTTTATGTTATAAATTTTTATTGTCACTAAAAAATTTTACTGTCTAAATAAGTACCTTTTATTGGAGAAAAATCAAAACCCCAAACAAACACTGTGGTTGTTTGGTTCCATTATAGCACAATTTTGTGCCATTTCTGGGAGCATTTACAGATGAATCCCCACACTTAGCCATTGAATGTAAAGGGGAAAAATAAGGTGAGAATTTGTAAATACTTATCTGTTATTTTCAATATGTTCTATCCTTCTACCCAAATATATAAAACAGGAATTTGCATTCATGTGCATTTACCAAGAGGTTGTTGTTGTTACTTACTGATCATGTGAAGTGGTGTCTTAAACAACTAAAAGCGATGAAGGTTCATATGTTTACTCAAAGACCATTGGCATTCAGAGGATGCTGGACATTAACTGGAACTGCTACTTCCAATTCAATAATGGGAGATTTCAAATGCAAATCTTTAACTTCATCTTAAAGATGAAATGGTTGCAGAAAATCTGTTTAGCTCCAACTTTGGCTTAATTTAAATCAAAGAACATTTATGTAACCAGATCAGAAAATACAGCTGAAAATTTATATTCAGTGATTTTGTATTTGTGGATACTACTTATGGAAAAGTTACTTGGTGATACATAAAGATCGATTTTCAAATATTTTGTGACAGTATTTGAATCAGCAGTTGTAAAAAATCAACCTCATACTGAATGCACTATCAGCAAATTAAAATAATCTAACATCCACAAAAAAGTGTGTGTTGTGCCATGCGAGAGATGGACCTTCATCCCAAGGATGCTCTATGACAGCACATGGTCTTGACTCCAGAAGACTCAAGAAAAGATATTCAGATTCCTCAGTGTCTTTTAAGTTGGATTGACTTGACAAGATATAAGTTTTGGGAAACTCAACAGGCATGACTGTGGGTTCCTCAGCAAAAGGCACTACCCTCCTGGTGGCTCTTATGGTTCAAACTAATGTCCTGAAGTCAGATTTTCATCAAAGTGCAACTGAATTGACATCTCTTCGAATTTCATCTTCCAACTTAGAATAATTGGCATTTCTTCTAAGTTGGAAGATGAAAAAGGAAATTAAACGCATTTTAAGAAAGCTTTTAAAATTCTGATAAGAGCTTCATTACAGGCACATCGCCAAAAGATGGTCATAAGCATGGGAAAAGTCTCAAGACCACTGGCTTTAAATCCTACCTTCACGTCGCAGTCGGCTTCATCTTTGAAACTAAGATGATAAGTTGAAACGTTTTTATCCCAGTTGCTCTCCTGTCCTATTTCTCCCCTCTGAGTGGATGCTTTCTGGAGGTTCATGCACCCGTGAGTAGGATGAAGCAGCGCTGCTTTTCACTGTGACCACACAGCTGCTCCCTGAGGGCTGAGCCCTGCCCACTCTTCACCATCTCACCACAGATCGACCACCAAGGAACAGAAAAAAGTCCCTGTTTTTGTCCATCAATGCCTGGGTTTCCTCTCTGCTGCTCTTATTACTTGAAACTGAGAAATAGCACAAACTCAATATGATTTTATGAGGCATATCAAAGAAATTACCAGAATCTGCTGTCTGCTTAAAACTACCAGGGATTGAAAGGAGAAGAAAATGAGTGTTTGAACTCAAGGTACTTGCAACCAAATGGGGTAATGGGCCTTAATACAAGTATGAGAAATGTTGAATATTTTCTATGAATTATCAAATTTAATCTAACTTAATGCTTACAATGACTGTGTGAGGTAAATTCTATCATTATTCTCACTTTGGAAAGGAGACAACTGAAGGAGTTAGAGGCTAGGTGACTTACACATGGAGTGTCAAAGCCAGAAATGAACACTATGCCTGCCTCACAGTTATTGTAGGTCTTGATGAGGCATATGGAAGTGTGGTCGTCTCATTGCGTAGCTTATATTTAAGTTTCTAGGTGAGGAAGAATATGTGGTACCTGAACACCCTAGCTCCCATTATATGTCCAGTCTAGGGAAAAATAAGCATTAGGCAAAGAAGGCTATGGGTTAAGAGAGGATTTGGTTTCAAAAGGATTGTAGATATTGGGGAGGAGAAGTATCTCTTTCTCACTCATCCTACGTTCATGGCTGAGGCCTCTATAACCAAAGACAGGTTAACAAAAGAAAAGTTTACAAATTTATTTACTGTGTTTTATGTAACACGTGAGCCTTCAGAAAGACTCAAACACTTAAACTTATGTATTTTTATGTTAAGTTTGACAAAGAGTGGAATTGAACAAGGGGGTATTATGTAATGGTACTGAAGTGGTGGGAACTTAGCAAGGCCTATTCAGATTCTTCTCTTACTATCTGGTTCTGTAACAAGAGTCTTTTATTCTTTTAATCACTCATGGTCTATCTCTAACATTCCCTTTAAGGGTCTGAGTAAAGTTGAGAATCTGAAAAAACACTGATGTGATTAAATATAGTGTACAGAAATCTATTTACAGTCAATAAGCCAATAAGGCCTGGGGCTTTAAGAGATGTGAAGCCTGTGTGTGTGTGTGTGTGTGTGTGTGTGTGTGTGTGTGTGTGTGTTCTCTCTGTGACCCCATGTCTTCAGAGATAAGGAGGTTCCTGTCCTCCATGTATAGGAAGGACACTTCTGGAATGAGGGTCTCATGACCTGCTTCAGTGGAAGATCAGAAAATTCTTTCTAGGGAAAGAATTTCTCACCTGCTTCAGGAGAGAAGGGTGAAGGGAAGGTGAGAATAACCTTCCTGCTTCTGCTGTTTCTTGAATTCCTTCAGCTCAAAATATTCAATATGCTGGGGTGCCATATTTTCAAGTAGCATGTCCTGAACCCTGTGATAGTTATAAAAAAGAATAAAAGATTGAGATGTATATTTCTTGGCAGGGACAGTATGAGCAAAACCAAGAGCTGGCCATGAGTGTGGGACACTTAGGGAGTTCTTTGGAGAGCAAATAGTAAATTCAATGGCTGTTGAGTCAGTGAGGAGAATGGATTGACTCAGGAGCAAATGGTTTCACTTTAATTGGACAGTCTATCCCACCCTTCCAGGACTGTTTCAGTATGAAAGAATTTTATTGTCATGTGAAGAGTGAAAACAAACTGAATTTTCAATTAAAATGGAGAGACTATATGTCAGTATTTGCCTGCCAGCCAGTCCCCTAACGAAATCACTGTCAGGATCGATTACCAGCTTCAGACCAAGGAAGAGCCCCAGACACAGATGATGTTTCTCCAGGTGGCACGTTCTAAGCATGCCCCACATCAGTTCTGATTTGAACACATAAATATCATCTCCCTCTTGGCTCCGAAACCCTCCTTCATCACTGTGTGCCAAGCAAGGTTTGTGAGCGTCATGCCAGTCATCTTGGCAGCTCTGGTGAATGGTGCTGAATATGAATTCCTACACTTCAGAGTCTCTACCCTTTGATGTAGACAGCGCATGTTTCCAAGTTAATCCAAGGTTGTGCAGGAGTGCAGCCCAGAACCCTAAAATGGATGGAAACTGAAACTTCAGCTGTTATCTGTTGTTATACAAAACATGGACTGCTAGTCCAAGTCTTTACTTCCATATGTGGCTAGCTGAGGTGAGCGACACAGCAGAGACTCTCTACAAGACCGGGTAATTAAAGTAAATTCATTTTTCTTTTCATGAATCTTAGAATGATTGCTTGAATTTTCTTCCTTACTCTGTATTCATAACTACAGCTATAAAAGTTTCCAGAAGCACTTTTCAAAAACACTTTCCTGGGATGGATTTAATGATAAGACCTATCAAAAATATTTCATTTTAAATTAGAGATTTTTGTATAGCTGTGTAAATAGCTAGAGACACTGACCAACTGTATGATCGTTTCTTTTTTTTGTTTTTAATATTAGTGCCATTTGATGGATAATCAATTTATCCAATATAAGTGGATCATAGAAATAGTGGCTCATATTTTTCAAAATCTCATGAAAATTACATATCAAAAGGCACCTTATTCAATGGTAAAGGTAATTATATCTACTAAGGAGATCATATATTCATAACGACTGTAACACTTCCTAACTAAGTATAATGTTACCTGGAACGCTGAAGAAAAAACAGGAGAAAGATTGGTATTCTAGTCTATTTGCACTGCTAAAATAAAATACCGTATTGGATAGCTTATAAACAGCAGAAATTTATTTCTCACTCTTCTGCAGGCTGAGAAATACAAGATCAAGGTGCTGGCAGATTCAGTGTCTGGTGAGGGCCCACTTTCTGGTTTTTGATAGTGTCCACTTTCTGTGTCTCCCATGAAGGAAGGGGCAAGTGAGGCCTCTAGGGCCTCTTTCATAAGGGCACTAATCCCATTCATGAGAGCTCTGGCCCCATGACATAATCACCTCCCAAAGGCCCCATCTTCAAATGCCCTCACATTGGCGGTTAGGATTTCCACATGTAAACTCGGAGAGGACACGAGTATTCAGATCATAACAACTGGTTTGTAGAGAATCAAATGAATTTTTAACCTTTCTTCTTTTTCTAATGTCCACCCTGGAAGTCACAAGGCTTTCATCATTGCACAGTGATAAACTGATGGAGTAGTGTATCAAAAGTTGACAGAGAGCTATATCTTCTGGCAAATGCATAGAAAGCACACTTTTTTTTCCTAAATAATAAAAGAAAACCTTGATGCTGACATTCAGGAAGTGAGTCTGGAATTTCACGTCCCTGCATTTTTGTCCTAATTATTGTCTATGAAAAGATACTGTTATACCACCATAGGAAGAATTTTTTCAAAATAAAGTAAGTTTACTTATTATCATGTCTCAGGCTAAAAGAACTGTGGCAATGCTCTGCGTTTGCTTTAACCTTTTTAGTAGTCTGTGATTCAGCTGTGTGACATTTACCCTTCACTCTTCTTCAGAAAATGGACTTTCACCAGAATGATTGGAAAAGGTCAAATTGTAAAGTGTCTTCTTATATTCTGGAAAATGTTAACATATCCTGTTGTTGCTACTGTTTGTTAACATTGAGAAAAATGTATACATACACACACACACACACACATATATATAAAGAGAGAGTCTGCCATGATATACAATCAATAGCTAAAGAACACATATATATGTAATTGTATATATGCTCAAAGACATTTTTCAAAACACAGCTATCTATAATTCTATCAAAAATTATAAATATGGATCTTTTTCTTTTCCCACATATCCTTTTACATTTTTTTCTTCATTTCAATGATTTTACTCCCTTTCTAGTCTCTCTGTATTATTTATCTCTTTGAATTCTTTTCATCCCAATGGTTCAGAGTATAGCATCTGCAGCCAGAAGTATTGGGTAATCCCAGCTCTGACAATAGCTGTATACTCTTCACCAAGTTTCTTAACCTCTTTGGACCTCATTATCCCAATTCTACAGGTGAAAAACAAAACACTAATATCTCCTACATTGAGTTTTTGTGAGGATTAAATGAGTTAATACATTTTAGGCTGATGATAAGCATTCAGTTAATACTAGCAATCATAGAGAAAGCATGTGGCTCCAAAATTTCTTTTTCCACTCCGTCTTAAACAACTCTCACTTAAACCTCACAAATCTATTGAAATTTAGGTTCTAACTCATGTTTCTCTGATCACTTGGTACATTACGTCTAGGGCATTGTGCTAGGAAGGATTCTGAGGCCCAGTCAGAATTGGTAGGAAAGAATGACATAGAGACATTGAATAATGCTTGCCATGGACATGGGAAGTTGGCCCTCATGCCACATATTTGCCATTTTTGAAAAAGATGAGTCACATTTGAGCAATATGTGGGAAAAATTCAAAGCATTTTTATTACTTGTGAGCATGATATTTGTATCATTTTATAACAGTATCATTCATAAGATGGCTTAGGGCAACTCCCATATTAGGTCCAGCTCACAAAACTTTTATTTGAAACCTATGAAATTCATTGCAGTGCTCTGGGTGCTATTGCCAGTAGCAGTACTAGAAACAGAATACAAGTAGTCTATTTATAAGCAAAAGACCTAATTAATACAAGCTACTTCCATGAGGCCCATCTTAATTTATTCATCCTAGATAGCTATACAGCCCTTGAGAATGAAACCTGGACTAATTTGTTTTGGGTTAATTTACCTGCCACAGCTTGTGGCTTCATCTCATTTTTTAGAGGGCATACCAAATCTATGTAAGAAAACCTTGACATTGTCCAGTCATTGGGTGGCTCCTGAGTGATTTGCATCTCCCTTTTGCAGGGTGATGACTTTTGACTCATTCACTCATACTTTTGTTTAATAAGAAAGCCATCTTTTGGCTGAAGTAGAAGTAAACAATAAATGAATCACATGCCAGCTTTTTCTGCTATTCCATTTACAGGTCTAGCCTATCAGGCTGCTTCAGAGCCATGATCCAGTTGTCTTTCATGACCTACTAATAGGATATAATTAACCCATAGCTTGTGTCATTAGTTCTTTTGACATTTAGCCTCACTAAGAAGCAGGACACAAAGAGCCTGTCTCAGTTTGATCACTTCTGCCTGATGCTGTCCACTCTGAGACCTAATTACTTTTTCTTGCAAATCCCCAAAACATTTAGGTTTGAACTTAGGGTAGGTGTCTCTCTCCTAAACCAATGACATCTCACTAATGATTTAAGAGCCCAGGGAGGGTTTATAAAGAAAACCTGTGTGAGGAACAGTTATGGCCCCTTATAGCCTTTGAATTGCTATCAATTAGGACAAGCCAGAAGTCCTCCAATATTGTGGTTGGTAAAAGGCATTTAATATGTCACAGGATCAGCAGTTATTTTTTAAAATAAACTTTTTCCAATAAGAAGTCTGGCCTGAGGCTGACATTATGAGGACATAACTTTTCCAGCAATTCATTTATTCTTAGTGTTATACTCTAGACATTAATTGTAACCTATCTGCTCCTGACTGCATCCAGTGAGATAATCTAAATCATTCCCAATTCCTTCCTCTTGAAGCAGGCACCAGGCCTGTTAGCCTTCTAGTATTTTCCAGTATTTCATGAGAATTGCAAAAATATCCATAAGAAATGCATTATCAGAAAATCAAAATAATGCAGTACTCCATGTGTCTTGACTTGTGTTTTGCAAGAGAAGTATCTAATGCCATTTTCATCCAATGACTTTTATGCATCTCCATGCTTGGAAGGGCTCCTGGGACTTTGTGGCTGCCCAGCAACATGTGATTTATTCAATCTGTAAACCAAAAATAAATTCTAAGCTCCACCCAGCCATCTGAATGGGCCCCTCCTCTCAGCCAAGGATATTCCAAAGTTATCCTGAAAAACTCATTAAGACCAGGATGGGAAGGAGGAGCTAGACACGCTTTATTACCCTCCTCTCTTTTGGAATTACTGGTAGAACAGACTCTTTAAATCTGATAAGAAATATTCACAATCGATTCTCTCTGAAGCCTGCTACCTGGAGGCTTCATCTACATAAAACCTTGGTTTCCACAACCTCTTATAACCCAGACATTCCTTTCTATTGATAATAACCAACTGTCAATCAGAAAAATGTTTACATCTACGGATGACCTGGAAGCTCCTGATTCGAGTTGTCCTGCCTTTCCGAACAGAACCAATATACATCTTACATGTATTGATTGATGTCTCATGTGTCCCTAAAATTGGCAAAACCAAGCTGTGTCCTGACTGTTAGCGGTGGTGAATCCTTAGGAATCTGCAGTAACCTCAATTCTTGCTACTTCAGAAGAAAGAATTCGACCAAGGGGACATAAAGCAGAGTGAGAGACCAAGGCAAGTTTTAGAGCAGGAGTGAAAGCTTATCAAAAAGCTTTAGCACAGAAATGAAAGGAAGTAAAGTACACTTACTTGGAAGAGGGCCAAGTGGGCGACTTGAGAGATCAAGGGCACAATTCCGCCTTCCGACTCATTGGCATGCTTACAGGATCTTGTGTTATTTCTGCCCTGATTCTTCCCTTGGGGTGGGCTGTCCACATGCACAGCAGCCTGCTAGCACTTGGGAGGGAACACATGTGCAGTGTGTTTACTGGAGGTGTATGCATGCTCACTTGAGGCGTTCTTCCCTTACCAGTCAAATGTCCCTAGAAGGTGAGACACCAGTTAAATTCCGTATGTTTTTGCCTCTTAATGTGCATGCTTGAGCCCATTCCCCCAACTCCTGAGATCTTGTCAGGAAGCTGCTGATTACCAGTTTCAGGTGTTTCTGTTTATAGGAAGACTGCCTTTCCCTGGTGCTGGCTGCAACCAATTATTTTAGAGACAGTTTAATAACTGCCCAGCACCTGATGGTTGCCTGACATTCCTGGTTGAGGGGGACCTTCACCTGCCCTGCTCATGTCTGTGTGACTACCTGCTGTAACATAACCACCTTGGGCACATGTGGTCAGGACCTCCTGAGACTGTGTCATGGGCATGTCCTCAACCTTAGTAAAATAAACTTTCTAAATTGATTGAGACTGGTTCACAGTCATTTCACAAATAATTTTGGGATCACAAATCATTTCACTTAAAATTCAAATAATAACTAAAACAGTTTATGCTCTCAAAGAGTTCTGAGCCAGACATACAGCCTATTAAATGCTGTGAAAGCCCCCAGGAGAAGCATCTAGGTATGTATTTGGAAGGGGGTGGGTGGGCTGGAATTTCAGGTCAAAGATGCTTCTGTTTGGAAGTAGCATACATTTTGGGGAAGCCTGCACTGAGACTGAAGCATTGTTACTTCCATTCCTTGGGACAACGATGTCAGAAGGAGACCCTAGAACAAGATTCACGTGCAATCAATTCACGAAGAAACGCTCCCAAGAAAAAACTGAAAGTGGTAGGGAAGGCAGGACAAGGAAGGAGAAAACCAAGCAATTGTGCAATTCAGGCAAAATCCTGCTAAGGGTAACTTCAAACAGATCCTGCACAGGAATTCTCTGAGCTGGACTTTCATTTTCCATTTTCTACCAGTCATTGGCTAAGGGCTGCCTCAGGAGGACGTATACTCTCAGGCACTTTCAGCAAAGGCTCCGGTAGCCCAAGTGTAGGCTTCCAGAGAAAGCAGCAGGTGCAGGTATTTAGAAGCAAAACCACACAGTCTTCATGGACGGACACACTGAAAAGGGATCTTGGAGGAATGCTAACAGCATCCACTCCACACCCAATGCACAGCACCAGGAACAGTATTCCTTGTAGTCACAGATTGCATCAGAATTCTAAAACGTTGTTTGGTGGCAAATTTTTTGGTACTTTGTAATTTTGGAATTTTCTTTTGGAACTTTGAGATTTTGAGAAATTGTATGGTTTTTTTTTTTTTTTTTTTTTTTTTTTTTTGAGTCTGTAGAGGAAATGCATTGTATCCTCTTGAAATCAAGGAATTTTTGGGTTACATGGGGTTAAACCAGGTGACATCTTTGTCCGCTGGGGACATGGCTGCTTTTATAGGTGGCTGCTGACTCCATTAAACTAAATTACATCATTTGGTTACAGAGATATCCCAGGCCCACCTCCCCATCTTATGAGGCAGCTAGGCCCTTCAAATTGCCCACTAGTTGTCCTTCCTTTAAGTGAAGTTATAATATGCTTCTTTGAAATGAAATTTTAATGAGGGTTATACATGAAACAGTTATTAATATTAACCTGACAGAATTTATCAGGACCTCTAAAGAATGAGACCCAGAATCAATAACTTTCAATGAGGGTCTAAGAAAATATCCAGAATATGGGGTCATTTTGTTAGGCTGTGTTGTAACTGAGAATACCATAGCAGTATCCTTGGCCTGAGGGGCAGCAGGAATGTATTCGATAGCTATGGGAAATGTAAGGGCCAAGGGCAGCCTCGAGAATAGGCAGCCAGCAGCATGAATGACTAATTTTCCCTTAGCTGGCCTTGTTCACAGTACTCACATTCCTACTGCCACAAAAAAATGACCCTGCACAAACTTTAGAGATTCATAACCCAAGGAATTAGTTCACAGTCACTTTCAGGCATTCTAGCGCATATTGGGTACTCAAAAATATTTACTGAATGAATACATTTGTTGAATGAATCCTTTGTTTGGTGCGACTTGCAACCCCAGAGGGGCTGGTAGCCACAGCCTGGAAGAGAAAAGGTGGAATAGGCCTTAGGTAGAGAAAAACTCCCAAGGGACCATTTCAAGACTTTCTGGCTGAATGTTGTGACATAGATGTCTCAGTAGCCTTCTCCAGGCTTAGTCAGCTTTGAGACTTAGTGTGGGACATGATCTCCAGTGATAGGGGAGCTATCTCTGGCTGGCTGGCACAGGGATCTCCTTACAGACTGCCAGAAAGAACACACCAACCTGGCTTGACTTGGGTTCTCTTTGTTTCCTGTACAGCTGACTGCTGGCCAAAATACACAGTATTCCAGATTGAGAGGTCACACTGACACAGTTCAGGCAGGCTGGTGACAAGGCCTCTGAAGAAGTAGGCGGGAAGCACCCACCCCCTGCCACTGCTGCTGATGTCATGTGGCAAAGTGGTTCAAGGAAATGGACACAGCTCCAGAGTCATAGCTGGAGCAAAACCTACCAGCTGCCACTTATCACCTCCCAGATGAACTTGGGCAAATGTTGAGCCTTTCTGAGACCCACTGTCCTCAGCTGTTTAAGAATAACCTATTTGATGAGATTGAGTGATGGTTAAACAAGAAAATGTATATGAAGTGCTTTTTCTTTGAGGGTCTTAAAATTGAGCATCCCTGTCAGGAACTGGGCTAATACCTTGCCTTATACATCTGCATCAGGTCTGCCCTAGAGGCCCAACTCAATTTTGAGATGAGATTTGTGCTGTAAAATAATCCCAGGACAAGCCTTCGGTTATGCATCTGGGCTATTAAAGACAAAGCTGAGACATGAACAGACCAGTCTTGGGGAGATGGGGGGCAGGCAGATAGCAGACCAGTCTTGGGGAAATGGGGGGCAGATGGATAGCAGAGTGGGAAATAGGGAGCTCTGGCCCAAAGCCACGACAAGACAAACACACCTGTTCTTGTCTATAACTCTTGGTTAATCTAGGTGCTAAATTTTGCCTCCAAACTTCACACTGGTCTTTTCTTCTATATGTGGCTGCTGTCCCTGGTGGGGACACGGCTTCAACTGGGCTTTATTTTCTGACACTTCCATGGTCTTGATGGTAGGGGCTTAGTCATTGGTGCCCTAGTCTTATGCCTATTCCTCAAAGTCGGCTGGGTTACGATCCCGTAAACTGCCAGGGGTCTATTGCTGAATCTTAAACACTCCTGAAGCATTCCTAGTCCCCAATGGACTGGAGCCCCTTCCTTGATACTTCTGTGAGAGCCCCATGTGCTCAGGACTGAAGACTTCCTGGAGCATGTGTGCCCCATCAGAGATGTGGTACTGAGAATTGCAAGTCCAAGATTCATTTGTTGAAAAACAAATACGCTCTGAGTGCCTAACATGTGCAGCAGCTGTTCTGAGTGATGAAGACAACAGGGAAAACCTCTGCCTCCCCATGGAATTTGTATTCAGGAAGGCAAAGACAGACTATAAGCAAAATAATTAGAGGTAAAGGAGTTGCGGTTTTAAATCGGGTGGTCAGGAAAGGCCACCCGATAAAAGATCTAAAGGAGCTAGAGGAGGGAACAAGCAGATACGTAGGAAGAACATTCTAGGCTGGGTGAACCTGAGTACAAAGACTCGGATGCATGGGCATGTCTTGGTGGGGGTTGTGGAACAGCGAGGAGGAGAGGGGCGTTGGAGGGAAGGAGGGGGACAGCAGGAGGAGATGAGGTCAGAGAGGCCACAAGAAGGGCCAGAGCATGGACGGCCATGAGAGCCACAGGGAGACTGTGGCTTTTACGCTGAGTGGAAAAGGAAGACCGAGCAGGATTTTGAAGACAGCGAAAGCAGCATTGTTCTCTGGCTGGCTGTCTGCGGGGCCTGTTCCTACCCTCACTTCTAGAGCTAAGACCTTCCTTTCTTCATCTCACTTTGCCATCATCTCCTGAACGGCAGTTTCTTGTGATATTGGGAGCATCAGAACCGGCTGGGTCGGGTCAAAACCCACATTGTGACATGCCGTGCAGACTTTCACTCTGACAAATGGCCGGAGCTGAACTGGAACACACTATCCAGTTGACACTATCTCCAACACCAGCCTACCCTCCCCACAAGCCTTCCTCCTTCCTGCTAGCTTGTAGCTGAATCTCTCGCCTCCTCCTTTCTCCCACTCTTTCCCCATAATTTCCTTCACGTGGGCTCTTTTGCGCCTAGAAAAACTGATGCTAACCTCAGGGTTTTCTAAATACCTATTAGAAGCCAGTGTTGACAGTGTACCAGGCTACCTGGTGTTTCCCTGGAAGCTTCCACTCCTTCATCCTCCCACCTATTTATGTAAAGAAACGGCAATAAAATTAGCATAGGGCTTGCCTCAGGAAATTATAGGCCCAAATGAACACTGATTTCAAAAAGGAGTTTCTAAAATCTCTTCATTTTTCTTTTTGAAATTGACTAACCTGAGCCGGCGTTTCAGCGCAAACCAACTGTGGTTTGTGACTGAATCAGGCCACAGCCAGTTTAAGCCATAGTGCCCACTTCACTCTCTAGCACTACTCTGTGGTGGAGAAGGGGTGATGCGTGAAATTTTTTTTTTTAACTTTTATTAAGTTCAAGGGTACATGTGTTGGTTTGTTACATAGGTAAAGTTGGGTCATGGAGGTTGTTGTATGGATTATTTCATCACCCAGGTATTAAGCCTAGTATCCATTAATTATTTTTACTGACCCTCTCCCTCCTCCCACCCTCCACCCTCAAATCGGCTCCCCTCTATATGTCCCTGTGTTCCATCACTTAGCTCCCACTTATAAGTGAGAACATGCGGTATTTGGTGTGTTGTTTTCTGCATTAGTTGCTAAGGATAATGGCTTCCAGCTCCATCTATGTCCCTGCAAAAGACATTCTCTTTCTTTTTTATGGCTGCATAGTATTCCATGGTGTATATGTACCACATTTTCTTTATCCAGTCTATCATTGACTGGCATTTGGGTTGATTCTATGTCTTTGCTATTGTGAATACAGCTGCAATGAACATATGTGTGCATGTGTCTTTATAACAGAAAAATTTATATTCCTTTGGGTATATATCCAATAATGGGATTGCAGGGTCAAATGGTTTTTCTGTCTTTAGGTCTTTTATAAATGGCCACATTGTCTTCCACAATGGTCGAACTAATTTATACTCCCACCAACAGAAGGTAAGTGTTCCTTTTTCTCCACAACCTCACCAGCATCTGTTATTTTTTTGACTTTTTAATAATTAGCCATTCTGACTGGTGTGAGATGGCATCTCATTGTGGTTTTGATTTGCATTTCCCTACTAATCAGTAACATTGAGCTTTTTTTCATATGTTTGTTGGCCACATGCATGTCTTCCTTTGAGAGGGTTCCTGTTTATGTCCTTTGCCCACGTTTTAGTGGGGTTGTTTTTTTCTTGTAAACTTAAGTTCCTTATAAATGCTGGATATTAGACCTTTGTCAGATGCACAGTTTGCAAAAGTTTTCTCCCATTCTGTAGGTTGTCTGTTTACTCTGTTGATAGTTTATTTTGCTGTGCTGAAGTTCTTTAGCTTAATTAGATCCCATTTATCAATTTTTGCTTTCGTTGCAATTGCTTTTGGCATGTTCATCATGAAATCTTTGCCCATGCCTACACCCAGAATGGTATTGCCTAGGTTGTCTTCCTGGGTTTTTTATAGTTTTGGGTTTTACATTTAAGTCTTTAATGCATCTTGAATTGATTTTCATGTATGGTGTAAGGAAGGGGTCCAGTTTCAGGCTTATGCATATAGCTAGCCAGTTGGCCGTCTCCAAGGCAAGGAGCAGCCAGCAGGGAGCAGCTTGTGCTCCAGCTCTGGAGCAGCCTGCCAGGAGGCCTGGAGCACTGTGACACAGACTGGTTTTATGAGTAACTGGTAGCCTCTAATAACCCTGCTCATAACTATGGCATTGGAGATGGGGCCCTGAAGACCATTCATAGAGCCAATGCAATTATGGCCTTGACTTGCACATGGGCCATACACAAGTCATTCCTTCATGTCATCTCCCCCAGCAGTGAGTGAGATGCTGCAATATTTGAGTTTTGCAAATAAATATATTCAAATATAACATAAATATATCTAAAAATAGATTTTTAATAAATAACATTATTTTTAATTTTTACTATGTAAAAGTCCTAATTCTTGTAGAAGATTTAGTAATATTAATCAATGACAACTGTCATCTATTAAACAGACATAAATGGCAGATTCTGTGCTAGGTCTTCAATCTACTTCATCTCATTGAATATGACAACCCTATGTGTAGATATTGTTCTATCAGAGATGACAACATTCAAGTTCAGTCAGATCAAATAACTGGCTCAAAGTTAGATAGCTAATATGTGGTAGAATCAAGATTTAAGTAAGAACTTTTTGGAAATAACAGTAAAGTGCAAGAAGTAGGTATTGGAGTTAAAATGCCTTAATTCGCCTGACTGTGTTTGACGTTTGTGGATGGAGGATGATTTACACACATTTAATGGTGTTGCATCCGTATGTTATAGCATTGCAAAAATGGAAGGACTTATTTCCCACTCTGAGAAGAAAAACAACTCACTCCACACACTATCACAGCTCACTAGGAAAGCCAGTCACTCAGAGGAGCTGCGACGGGCAGAGGGCTACAGAAGCTCAGGTCATGGAGAGAGAGCCCATTTTGCACTGCCATGTCCAGAGTTCACACACACAAAAAGACTGATTTTTTTTTTTTTTTTTTGGTTACAAAGACACAAAAACATAAAGCTAGCATACAAAGAGTGGTCTGTTCTGGTGAGACTCTCGGTTTTGTTGCTGGTTTATTCTGAATTCTCTTATATTTCCTCATCACATAGGTTAAAACAAACACTAGCTCTTTAGCAAGAAAACCTTGGAGCATAAGCACTGCAACTGATCAAAGATGGATACAGAAGGTTCTGATAAATGTATAGCATTTCTTTATTTTTCCTTGCAGAGCATTTGACTCAGTACCTTGTGGAGAAGACAAAAAGATTTGATAATAATCACTGTACCCCTTTTTTCATATATATGGATCCCATCTGACTATTAAAATTGTACTTCATAGTGAAAAAAAAGTAGATGAATGCTTAAACAATGCTTCTTTAATATATCTTATTTTTCTCTGGGTGCACGTCATGTTCTATCTTAACACATTTGCTAATTTAATTTTCACAGTAGTCCCCATCTTGCATCTTAGAGAAGAGAAGTAGCAATCATTGTTCTTGCTGAAGACCAGGATTCTAAACCCAGCGCTTTTAAGACCAAGGCCAGTACTTTATGTATGCAAGCATGTAGAGTAATTGCAAAAGAAGAGGCTCTCTCAAGAGGAAGAGTGTTGAAGTAATTTTCAAAGTCAGGTCAAGTTGCTCCTGTCTATCAGCAGTGAAGGTAGGTAAAGAACAATTTGTCTTTCAATTTGCCAATGAAGGATAGAAGCAAAAAGCATCTTGACCTAGGTAAGCCAGCAGAGGGTGCCATTGTCCCTTCCTGTAGATGTAATCATGCAAGCCCAAGGGGCTCACCTTTCTTGCCTAAAGGAAAAGGTCCAGGCGAGAGGTCCCAAACTTCTCAGGTCATAATGCTCCTGCATCTTCTTTCCACAAAATTTAGATCAGTAAAAAAATTTTCCTATAAGCAAACAGGGAGCTGAGCTTTATGGATACAGGTAACTTAGTATCTTTGAAACCGGCTTTAAGTAATTTTTTTGAACTCACTAGAAAATGTTTTTTCAATGACTAAATGAGACCTGGGAGGACACACAATAGTCCCTGCTGTCTGGCTTTGAATAACTTTAATTTTCTTTTTTAGGAAGAGAGGATTAGTCTGTGAAGAAGCAGCTTTGCCCAGCCCTACCAGAAGAATCAGAGTTTAAACTGCCATAGAGTGATTTCTAACCCCGTCCCCAAACCACCACCACCACCACCATCATCCTAAATTCTCATCCAGCCACCTTGCTGGACCTATTAAACAGTGGACAACACAAGGACTTCTGTCCACAGGAAGCACTTAATAAACAGTGGTTGAATGTGCGAGTGCAGCCCCTGCTTAAATACCCCCAACAGCAACAAAGTGATGTGCACATTCCCCAGCTACCCATCCTGCCACGGTTTTGAGCTGCCCTGCTTGTATGTGTCAGGAGTGAGCATGCTGAAAATCAAGCAAAGAAGATGTTTACATGTGTCTTTTGCTTGCCAGTGGTTACAGACACAGCCTTACTCTCACCATAAACGCTTCAAAAGTACCTGCTGAATTGAGTAAGTAGGAGCTGGCTCTAATTATGAGTAATAAATGAAACTGAGCCAGGAAAATTGAGTATGAAACAGTTTAAGGGGAAGACATTAATGATAAAGTCTGCTCATGTGTGTAACTGCCTCCCACCAGCAGCAGTGGCTGTCCCCTGCCTTAATTAACTTAGCAAAAGAAATAGTTCAGCCTAGAGCTCTTCATGCGGGGATGCAATGAGAGGATGAAGGAGGCAGGGGAAAGCACAGCAAAGATGCCCTAATGGGTTTTCTACATCTAGGTTGATTGACTGTTGAGAAAAGAAAGAACAGCTTGTACTATTCTGGGTAGCATGAGCACTGTAATTTGTGACAGCTATAGGTCATGTATCTATTTTTCTGTCTGACAAGGACGAGGAGCAGCTGGTGGCTGGTACAAACTCAGATTGGCTTGGTCAGGCTGTGAACTATGATAGAGCCTTGGTTTTCAGCCTGAGCTATAATGGAGGAAGGGTATGTGGTTAATGTTTGCATGTCTGTGCAAATTTAACTGTAGTTAACAGATTTGTGGCTGCAGGTGGAAAATGAAGCTTAATGATTCCAATAACTCGTCCTTAATTTCCTTCTGATTCTGAAAACAAGGTAGATTTTATACCTTTCATATCTCTCCCCACTCCCACTGTGGCCACCTTCAATTAAGTCCAAAAACATTATTTTAGTTCTTGTTAAATACTTGGCACCATGCTGGGCACCGAGCAAGTGAGAAGAATGTGGCATGCTCCCTGTCCTTCCAAGAATCATTTAATACAGAAGATAGATAAGTAATCAAATAGGGTGGTAATTGTGATAACAGATCTATGCACAAATGCTACAAAGATGCAGTACAGATAAGGGAGTGATTTCCTCTATTGCTACAGAATAAGGAGAATCATAGAAAACATCTCAATTCATAGAAATGAGGAGACCATATTAAAGAATGCAACTTTCCAATGCATAATTCAAATTCTTCCCTCCTGTAAGGTGATTTAAAAAGTGTTGAAGGGTAAAAAGACTACCTCATCCTTATAGAGAGACTTTCTTCTCTGCCTATCCAAACCTCCCATGCCAAGTGATAGACCTTTGCTACTGTGACCAGATCCCTAGCCGGTGCCCTGCTCATGACCCCCACCCCTTCCTAGGTCATGGCTTCCAACTACAGTAATATATTTTTTGTCTTACAAAATATTCTGGGCTTTTTATTTTATTTCCTTTGGACATTTAAAAAAAAAAGATCCTGCAAAAAGCATTCAGCTGGAGCAGGAGTGTCCAACTTCTGGCTTCCCTGGGCCACATTGGAAGAAGAAATGTCTTGGGCTCCACACAGAATACACTAACACTAACAGTAGCTGATGAGCTAAAAAAATTGCAAAAAAAAATCTCATGTTTTAAGAAAGTTTACAAATTTGCATTGGGCTGCAAAGGCATCCTGGGCCACATGTGGCCAGTGGGCTGTGGGTTGGACAAGCTTGAGCTAGACTGTGCTTGTCTCTGCAAGCCTGAAGTGTCAGTGTTTCCCTTAGGAAAAGAGCATTATCAAAGCTCCATGTAGTTAAACCAAGCCAAACGCATGTGTTGAAACTGTGAACTTCAGAAAGTCAAATACACAGAGTTTCCCGACATCTTCTTGTTCCTAACATGCTCATTAATTCTGTCCTCATTTCCCCTTATCCCTTCTTAACCACACCTTCCATCACTCCTCCCTTTATGGACCTTCTCCCTGTTATGCCACATGCCACAACAAACAGGCCTCCCTCGTAGACACTGTCATCCTTCTCCAGGAAAAAAATTACTAAGTGGAAAGAGGGAGTTGCAATGTCCTATCCCTATAGGAATAGCAATGTGGTTCACTTTTGGGGAACCAATGCAGAATGAACAACAAATGAATAGAAAACTAGTCTTGTATATTTGGAAAGAGCTCATATTCTTGGAATAAATCTATGCCCTCAGATCTTCAGTGGAAGGGAGTAATAAATATATAAATAAAAATAAATATTGAAGTAAATCCTCAGTGGTAAAGAAAATGCATGGGAACTTTTAAAGAAATTGCATGTAATAACTGAATATTCCACAGTGCAACAGCAGTTCTCTTTATATTCCCAGGCTCATTGAGTTAGCCCTGGAGTATTTAAACATTCAATTATGTCCAACCATCAGACTGAGCCTCAAGATTGTAAGAAAACCACCAATAAGGGAATGTCCCCTGAATCCTAGATCCCTAGGATTTGCTGTATTAGCCAAGCACTTAAATCTTTTCAATTTGACTTAGGCTGTATTTCCTGCTTGGGTTTGTCAGGTGATCTACATGGAAAGGAGTCCCTAACTCCAGAGAGTAATTGACAAAAATGTTCATTCTAAAGCAATTCAGGTTATGTTTAGACCATAGCACCGAATGTATATGTATCCTGGAGTCTTCTCAAATTTGGATTTTGATGTGCGATAGATTTGAATATAAACTACAATTTTGGAGGCCTTCGAACAGAAGTACAGTCAGGACCCATGGCTTATGGTGTGTCACATAAACAGGAACAGTTTGTTTAGCAAAAGCTTGGAAGTTTTAGTGTTTTCAAAACAGATATTCAGGGACATAATCCAATATCCTCTATTGCCAAATGAATTCCAACTGTGACCTGTTTTTCTCAGCCATGATGAGCTTTGTGTTTTTGATGGAACCCAATTGAATCCGGGAAGAAAAGGAACTAAAATAATTAACTGCACATCTCAGAGTCTGGGTCTGGCAGTGTTTAAAGTTGAAGGCAGGGACTAGCATTAAACACCTTTATGTTGCCATAGAAGCATCCAGGACGTTAAAATCAAATCATTTGCAGTCTCAATGGCTCTTGCTGCAGGAAGCTCCTTGGAGGGGCAACAGGGATCAGTCTTATTTCAGCAGAGACTCCTTATCAGGGGAAGGCACCCCACACCCTTCTCACATGCAGCCCTGAATTTTGTGCATGCCAGTCCCTGAGGCATCAGCTGTGAAGTTACTGCAAAAATAAGAATGGACTCTATGAATTTTGTGGTAAATAATTTTGGAAGTTATTACATACTTTATCTCCCTCTTGAAGATTCACCACACTCTTGATCACCTTAAAGACCCTGAGAAGTCTTAAAGTCAAAATGTTTTATGTGTTCCTATACATATGTATTTTTAAACACAGACTTCTCTAAATTTATTTGACTGAAGCCATTTTTGCAGGACAATTATTAACATCTCAAGGAATCGATGTTCTATGACACACGTTTTGGGAAAGACATATCAAAGTAACGCGCACTTCACACAGCAAATGAACGTTTGCAAGTAGGTGCACAAACTACTCACAGGTGAGGAGGGATGCAGAAGAATATTTGTAAAAATTCACAATATAGGAGCCTCAGGGAAGGCAGCCAATATCAACCAGGTGAGTCTTGTTCAAAAGTGAGGGTGTGTTTGGTGAAGGTGAAAGTGAAAGTGGCGAAGTAAAAGTAATTTCACTCAAATGGAAGGAAATTGGCACAAGGTGGGCTCTCACTTCCAGGTATTTCTATCAAACCCCAAGGCAGCTCTTCCTGTCAAATTACAAAATCTCTGGGCTGGGTGGAGCCTGAAACCTAATCAGAACCACACAAGGATTCATCTGGGATGGGTCCTATGTGGGAATAGATCTTATGGCTCCCTAATGGGTAACAGATAACATTATTAAGTATGAAAGTAAAGGGAGGGATTGAGACACATTGCGCACAGACAGACCACACAGGACTGTGATCAGCAAGCTTCCTTTTGTTTCCATAATTATCAGCTTAAAACTGACTTGGAATGAGAACTCTGAGGATAGAATCAGAGCCCTCTGGCCTCAGAAGTCTAAATTGGAGCTCATGCTCTTCAATCTCTGCTGTATGAGTGTTGTAATTTATATTCTCCTGTGAAGGGGAGTAGCCTTGGGAAATAGAATTCTAAGTCTGAGGGTGTAAGGATAGCTTGGGGACAAACAACTCATTGCTTGTTTACTGGAGATTTTGGGGGAAAAATCCAGGGAAAATAATTTCTCAAGAAAAACAAGTTTTTATGGAGTTTCTACCTCTTTCTGGCTTTTCCCCTCATAGACTAATACCAGAATGTTCCCCTATGTTAATTTGGATTCCTCTTAAAAGCAGACACCAAGATGAGATGTTACATACAAGAGATTTATTGGGGGAAATACCCCAATAGGATAAAGAAGAGGGAAATTCAGGCTGGGCACGGTGGCTCACGCCTGTAATCCCAGCACTTTGGGAGGCCAAGGCAGGCGGATCACGAGGTCAGGAGATCGAGACCATCCTGGCTAACACGGTGAAACACCATCTCTACTAAAAATACAAAAAAATTAGCTGGGCATGGTGGTGGGCACCTGTAGTCCCAGCTACTCGGGAGGCTGAGGCAGGAGAATGGCGTGAACCCGGGAGGCGGAGCTTGCAGTGAGCCGAGATTGTGCCACTGCACTCCAGCCTGGGCGACAGAGCGAGACTCCGTCTCAAAAAAACCAAACAAACCAAAAAAAAAAAAAAAAAAAAGAAGAGGGAAATTCAAAGAGTGGGCGGAGTCAGACAGCTGTGAAAGAGGGGAAAAGAAGGATGACTCAGTGGAAGGCAATTCAACCTGCAGCAAACTGCAGTGTGTTTCTAAGAAAGTGTCAGCCAGGCCAACGGCAAACACATCAGCTGAGGGTGCCTGTTGAAATACTCCAGGCAAAATTGCATTTCTCACAGGAAGGAGCCTGCAATTTACCTCCACAATGCTCCAGGCTTCTAATAGCCACCCTAGAGGTGAGTTTACCCTATCCCCAGGGGTCCTCACAAGAATGTTAAATTCCGTGTCGAGAAAGTTCCCCCAAGTCAATGAATTTTTGCTTGTCCACTCTTACATTCCAGTACCCTCCATCAAATATCACTAAAATTCCAATACAAGTATAAGCTAGCTAAAATTCATAGTTTCTCTAGTATATAATTTCTTCCTTCCCTTATCTGGCCCAGCACATCTTCAGCTGGAATCATAGTTATCAGTGTGGAATGCAGGAGAGGAAGTAGAGGCAGCTCTTGAGTGGGATTCTTCTTGATTCACTGCTTTATCTTCTACCAAGAGGGTAGCGTAGTTCTTACTAGGGAAGGGTTGTTAACTGCTGAAAGCTCTGAGAATGGTCAGCATGGGGAGGAGTGTGCAGAGTCAATATCCTCAGGAAATCCATCCAGTTGCCCCCATCTCATTTTTTAGGGTCCCAAGTTTTCTCAGCCATTTTCAATCTTTCTCAGCATTTAAACATCTTTGGGGCTTCCAAAGGAGAAATTAAGGGGGATTAAGTAATAAGAGTTCCAAGCTGCAGCACAGTTCTAACAAGGTTTTAGCCATATGGAAATTCTCAAGTAAAGTCACCAAAACAAGAGTCCTGTGTTTTACAGGAATAGGCCTGCATCTGTGAGGCCAGTATCCCCACTATGCTCATTTGTTAGCTGGAAGGAATTCATGGGAGGCATGCTTTTGGCACAAACAAATGAGCAGGGAAGAGCTAGAAGAAGAGCAGCTGAGGCTACCAATCAGTTATGCTCCCCGAAGCAAGAGATCTGATTGGCACATTTTTATGGCCATCCCATCCTTCCAGGTACTGTGTTGCTGCCCTGAAGACCTGTCTGACATTGAAATGACATTCTGGGAAAGTCTGTCTACAGCTTGAAGAGGCCAATTCTATATACAGCAAACTATCCCTCTGGCTGATTCCTGCTGATACTCTCCAAATGAAAGATGGGTGAGAGCCAAGAGGCAGAAGGAGAATGTAGATTAAAGTGGAGAAAAAAGAAGAAAACAAAAACTGAAGCGTGGAGCAGTGCCTCTTTTATGTCAAAATAAAACTCAAAAATGAAGTAGCAGCCAGAAGATGAAAAAGAATAACAACCACTACACAATTCAAGAAATATGAGGGGAAGAAAGGTTGCTTCTCTGCAAGACTGTGTGCTGAGCTCAAAGAGAAAAAGAAACCCTGAGACTGCTCTTGCCCTCATTCTTCCCTAGCAATAGCTGCTGATTTGTTGACTCTGCCATGTGACCTTTGCAACCACTTAGCTGCCTTTTGTTAACATGTCAAACACTGAAGTTTCTTCTTTAATCACCACCAGCAGATGATTCAGTGAAAATTTAAAATGGATTCACTGATGGCATCAAAATGGCAGAGTAGGAGCAATCTGGCTTCACTCTCCCTCATAGAAAAGCAAAAACAACTATCTAGTGCCAAGATTATCACCCGGAATATTCCAAAACTTAAAACTGAGGCTGCGACAATCCCTAGAGCCTCAGAGAAGTGAAAAACCAGGAGCAGAAGGTAGGGGAAATGAATTTCTTTAACCTTGATGCCCCTCCAGCAAGCTGCCAGGCACCACATGGAAAACTGCCCCTAGACTTCTTTCTACACTGAAAAAGTGTAGCCTCTACAATGGAAAAACTGAGATCAAGGCAGACAGCTGGCTTCTCCACCATCCTGGGTTCCTTAGAAGGAAAAACATTCCTGCCTTAACCCAAGGGAATCATTGCAAGTGCCTGTAGGGTAAAAACTCCTTAGGTCAGCCAGAGACAAAAAGTGGAGGTGAGGCTAGCAGCAGTCAGCATGCAAAATCTGGTGGCTGCTCTTCATTTCTACCTAGGGAGGCATAAATCAGAAAGGCTCTTCAGCAGGATCATGCTATAGGAGGCATTATCCATGACTGCTTTGGGCACAAACCTTCGCCAGCCTTCCCAGACAGCCATGTATCCACTTTGGATCCCACCCCCAGGCCCATCCAAAAATAGGCACTATGCAAAACTCAGAACCTGTGAAAGAGCTAGAGCAAAGATTAGCTTAGGGCACCATCTAGTGCTGAGAAGGAGTCAGCAATCTTGAGATAAGGCACCTTAACAGTCTGCCTAGGACCTTTAGACATATATACTCTAGAAAGATCAACACAAAGCAAGACAGACAGAGAAGCCTGGAATAAATACCTAATACTTCAGTGCAAAGACATAAAAATACATCCAAAATAAGCAAGAGCAAACAGGAAACTGTGGCCTCAAAAATTAACAAAATAAGAAACCAATGACTGACCCTAATAGGATGGCAATGTGTAACCTCTCAGATCAAGAATTTAAAATAGTAGTTTTGGGGAAACCCAGTGAATTTCAGAATAACACAGAAAAGCAATTCAGATATTTATCAGATAACTTTAACAAAGATATTGAAAAAAAAACTTAAAAATCAAACAGAAAGCCTAAAGCTGAAAAATGTGATTAATGAACTCAAAAATACAATAGAAGGTCTCAACAACACAATTGATCAAGCAGAAGGAAGAATCAGCAAGCTCAAAGATAAACTAATTGAAAATAGAGGAGAAAAAATTAAAAAGAATGAAAAGAAACAAAGCTTACAGGTCCTAAGGGACAACATCAAAAGAGCAAATATAAGGGTCACTGAAGTTCAAGAGAGACTTGAAAATGACAAAGAGGTAGAAACTTATTCAAGTAAATACTAACAGAAAATGTTCCAAACACGGAGAAAGATATAAATATCCAAGTATAGGAAGGTTCAATATCACCAAATAGATACAATATAAATATGACTATCCCAAGACATATTGTAACTAAACTCTCAAAGGTCAGTGACAAAGACAGGATTCCGAAAGCAGCATGAGAAAAGAAGCAAATGACTTATAAATGTCACCCAAAGTTCACTCTGGCAGTAAACTTCTGAGTAGAAACCTTACAAGCCAAGAGAGGGTAGGATGATATATTCTGAGTGCGGAAGGAAAAAAAAAAATTGCCACCCATGAATACTATACCTGGCAAAATTATCCTTCAGAAATGAAGGATAGATAAAGACTTTCTCAGACAAACAAAAGCATAGGGAATTCATCACTGCCAGACCTGTCTTGCAAGAAATGCTAAAGGGAGTTATTCAAACTGAAAGAAGAGGTGTAACAAGAAAACATCTGAAAGTTTAAAACTCACTGGTAAAATTAAGCATACAGACAAATTCAGAATACAATAATATGGTAATTGTGGTATATAAACCACTTATATCCTTAATATGAAGAATAAAAGACAAAATATTTAAAAATAATTGTAACTACAAATGTTTGTTAAGTGATAGGCAATATAAAAATATGCAAATTGTGACATCAAAAATTCAAAATTTTGGAGGGGCAGAAATAAATTTAAAGCGTTGAGTTTTATTTTGATTATTTCTTTTTTGACAGGACTAAAGTTAAGTTGCTATCAGGTTAAAAATAACTGGTTATAACTATAAGATGTCTTTTGTAAGCCTCTTGGTAACCACAAAGCACAAACCTATAATGGATACACTAAAAATAAAAAGCAAGGAATCAAAACACATTGCTGAAGAAAATCACCTAACCACAAAAGAAAACAGCAAGAGAGGAAAAAAAGAAGAAATAATCTACAAAATGACTAGAATGTGAGTAACAAAATGACTAGAATGTGAGTAACAAAATAGCAGTAGTAAGTCCTTACCTATCAATAATTATCTGGAATGTAATGGATTGAATTCTCCAATTAAAAGACAGAGTCACTGAATGGATTTTTGAAAAATCAGGAAAACAGAAAAACAAGACCTGATGATATGTCGTATACAGGAGACTCATTTCATTGTTAAACACAAATACACACTGAAAGTAAAGGAATATTAAAAAAAAATCCATGCAAGCAGAAACCAAAAGCAACCAGGACAGCCATACTTACATATAAATTAGACTTTATATCAAAAATGGCAAAAAGAGGTCAAGAAGGTCATTATACAATGACAAAGAGATCAATACAACAAGAAGATATAATAGTTTTAAATATTTATGCACTCAACACTAGAGTATCCAAATATATAAGGCAAATATTATTAGATCTAAGGTGAGAGACA
The DNA here is from genome assembly GCF_000001405.40 of Homo sapiens. Lineage (NCBI taxonomy): Eukaryota > Metazoa > Chordata > Mammalia > Primates > Hominidae > Homo > Homo sapiens. The sequence goes on along the minus strand of NC_000011.10, from coordinate 101,427,030 downwards.
GGTTGTAATATAATAATAGTAGGAAACTACAACACCCCACTTTCAACAGTAGATAGATCATTTAGACAAAAAATCAACAAATAAACATCAGTCTTCTGGCCAGGCACAATGGCTCATGCCTGTAATCCCACCAGCATTACCCTGATTCCAAAGCCAAACCATAACACAACAACAACAACAAAGTACAAACCAATATCCCTGATGAACATAGATGCAAACATTCTTAACAAGATGCTTGCCAGTGGAATCTATCCCAAGTATACAAGAATGATCCCACATAAGCAAATCAATAAACGTGATACACTACATTAACAAAAAGAGAGGAAAAAAACTCACATGATCATTTCAATAGATGCAGAAAAAGCATTTGACAAAATTCAACATTCCTTCATGACAAGGATGCTCAACAAATTAGATATAGAAAGTATGTGCCTCGATAGAATAAAGGCCATATGTGATAAACTCACAGCTAACACATTAAACAGGGAAAAGCTAAAAGTTTACCTCTAAGATCAGGAGCAAGACAGGGTGCCCACTTTCACCACTCTGTTCAATATAGTACTGGAAGTCCTAACCAGAGCAATGAGGGAAGAAAAAGAAATAAAGGGAATCCAAATTGAAAAGGAGGATGTTAACTTGTCCCTGTCTTTAGATGACATTATCTTATATATAGAAAACCCTAAAACTCCACCAGAAAAAACAATAACAACAACAACAACTGTTAGAACTATTAAATGAATTTACTGAAGTTACAGGATACAAAATCTACATGTAAAAATCAGTAGCATTTTTATTTGTGAATAGCAGACTATCTGAAAAAAAATTTTCATTTACAGTAACTACAAAATTAAAGGTAACTAGGAATAAACTAAATCAAGGAATTGAAATAACACCACATGGAAAACTATAAAACACTGATAAAAGTAATTGAAGAAAGCACAAATAAGTAAAAAGACATCCTGTGTTCATGAATTGGAAGAATTAATATTGTTAAAATGGCCATATTACCAAATGGTATCTACAGATTTAATGCAATACCTACAAAAATTCCAATGACATTGTTCACAAAAATAAAAAGAAATCTAAAATTCATATGGAACTACAAAAGACCTAAAACAGCCAAAACAATCAACAGCAAAATGAGCAAAGCTAAAGGAATCACACTATGTGATTTCAACATATACTACAAAGCTACAGTTAACAAAAGAGCGTGGTACTTGTAAAAAAAAAAAAAAAAGACACACTGATCAATGAAACAAAATGGAGAGCCCAGAAATAAATTATTGCACCTATAGCCAACAGACTTTTGACAAAGGTGCCAAGAACACACATTGGGGAAATGATAGTATCTTCAATAAATGGTGCTGGAAACATTAAATACCCATATGGAGAAGAATGAGACTACATCTCTACTTCTTACCATATACAAAAATCAACTCAAAATGGATTAAATACTTAAATGAAATTACGAGAAGCAAACATAGGGGAAACATTTTATGGAATTGGGCTGGGGAAGCATTTTTAAAATAAGACCTCAAGAAAATTAGAAAAATGAGATTACATCAAACTAAAAAGCTTTTGCATAGCAAAAGAAACAATCTACAGAATGAAGAGACAATTGCCAGAATTGGAGAGATATTTGCAAGCTATGCATACATCTGATAAGGGGTTAATAACCAGAATATATAAGAAAGTTAACAACAACAACAAAACTAACAAAACAAAATAACCCCCCCCCACAAATAACTTGATTAAAACATGAGCAATATTTTAATAGACATTTCTCAAAGGAAGACATTCAAATGGCCAAAACGTACATGAAAAAATGCTTAGCATCACCAACCATTCATAAATTTGAAATGCAAATTAAAAGCACAATGACAGACCATCTCCCTCCAGTTAGAATGCCTATTATCAAAAAGTCAAATGAAAACAAGCATTGGAAAAGGTGACTAGAAAAGGAAGTACTTAACACACTGTTGGTGGATTGTAAATTACTATAGCCACTATAGAAAACAGTATGGAGATTCTTTTAAAAATTAAAAATCAAACTGCCTAATAATCCAGCAATCCCATTACTGGGTACATATCCAAATGAAATGAAATCAATATGATGAAGAGATATTTGTACTCTCATGTTTATTTCACCCTTTTTATAAATGCCAAGACATGGAATCAAGCCAAGCGTCCAATAACAGATGAATGAATTTAAAAATGTGTCATATATACATAATTAAATAATATTCAACAATAAAAAAGAATGAAATTCTGTGACAATGTGGATGGATCTGGAGGACATCATGTTAAGTAAAATAAGTCAGACACAGAAAGAAAAATACTGCCTGATTTCACTCTTTTTGAAATCCTTTTTTTTTTTTTTTTTTTAAAGGCAGTTGATATTATAGAAGCAGAGACTAAAACAGTGTTTACCAGAGACTGAAGATAAGGAGAGTTTGGTCAATGGGTACAAAGTTACAATTAGATAGCAGACATAAATTCTGGTGTTCCATTGCACAGGAGGGTGACAATGGTTAACAATAAGGTATTTTATATTACAAAATAGCTAGAGGCTTTTGAACATTCTCACCATAAAAATAATAAACGTATGAGGTGTTGGATATGCTAAACACCTTGATTTGACCATTATACAACATATATATGTATTGAAACATCAAATTGTACTCCATAAATATATATACATTATGAAGTATAATTTAAAAATATAAAAGGAAAATTTAATGTTGATTTTTTAAATGCAATACTCTTGGCTATCAAGATGGCTGACAAGAAGCACCAAGAACTCACCTCTTCCACAAAAAAATGACTAAAATAACATAATAGATAATCACATATCAAATAGAGCAACTGAAGAAGAACACTGGAATTTAGCGAGGAAATGGCAAAGACACTATGAAGCACAGAAATTCACAGTGGAAGCATGGAGAGGGAAGTGAAGCAGTTGGCCAGGATTAGCTCAGAGCTAGGAGGGACTCCATGTTGTGAGGAAAATGTAAACAAGAAATCCCAAGAAGTCTACATTCCCACCACAGAGGCCCACAATCCTGACTACAAAAGAGCTCTGCAGCCCTTACAGGTCCTGAGCATTGTGCAAAGAGCTTCCTGGAGTCCACACATCTGCATTGTTTCGGAGAGGAAATAAAAAATTGGTCCCCAAACCCCCTTGGAACCAGGCCGCTGCAGTATGGTGTTATTTTGAGGTTGGAGCCACCGCCACACTACATCTTGCCCTAAGGCCAATAGCCCATCCCCCCACATCCATAGAGGGCTGCAGCACTGTGACATCACCTGGACCCAGTGGTCTATGTTCCCAGTCACATCCCCAAAATAGAGCTCATGCAGTACTCTCCACCCTGAAGAACAGGTGGTCAAGTATATCAGAGAGTCTACACCCAGGAAACAGAGAAGCAAAGCAAGTATTCCCTAGAACCTGAGTGCCACCAGCCTGGGGTTTGCACACTAACAGCAACCCCTTCCCCTCCAGTGGATCCACCATCTGTGCCTGGCCAAGGTCTGCTGCCACCACCAGCACCATGAGTATTGTTTGGAGCCTGAAGACCAGCTCACTTGGGGCCAACTGCTGTCATCACTGATGCCCGTGTACTCTACCTAGGGGCCCAAGGAACAGCCTACCCAGGATCCCCCACTGTCACTGCTTGTAAACCCTCCCCTTCCAGTGATGGGTTTATCAATATCCCCTTGTAAAACTGCCCCATGACCTCCACAAACAACTGCAGCCTAGGCCACTGAGAAACTCAGACACGACTGACGTTGATTACAGTCAAAGAAATCATATAGAGACTATACTACTGCTACCCAGAACCAAAGACAAAGCATCCTACTCAATTGACACTATAAATATGTCTACAGGAGGAAGTCTTTTCCCACAAAAGATACTTCATAAAATTAGAAGTGGCTGTTACAACAGATGTGCAGATATCAATATAGGGACAAAAGAAACATGAAAAAGCAGGGAAACGTAACACCTCCAAAAGAGGACAAAAATTCTCCATGCTCAGATCCCAAAGAAAAGGAAATTATGAGATACCTGACAGGAAATTTAAAGTAATTCTTTGAAGAAAACTCAGTGAGATATAAGAAAACATAGATAGACAATACAAAGAAATCAGGAAAACAATTCATGAGCTGAATGAGAAATTCAAGAAAGAGAAAGACACTACAAAAAAGGACCAAACAGATATCTTGGAACTGAATAATTCAATGAATGATATGAAAATACTACTCAGAGCTTCAATAATAGACTAGATCAAGCAGCAGAAAGAATTTCTAAACTTAAAGCCAGGGTTTTTGAAATACAGACAAAAAAAGTCAAGAGAAGAAAAAAGAATGAAGTAAGCCTTCTTGACATATGGGATACCATTAATTAAACAAACGTTTGAATTTCAGGATTTCCAGAAGGAGAGGAGACAAGAAAAGGCATATAAAATTTATCCAGTGAGATTATAACTGAAAATATCCAAAGTCTTAGGAGAGCTATAGACATCCAGATCCAGTAAGCTCAAATACCCTGACTTAGATTCAACTCAAAAATATCCGCTCTCTCAAAAGTCAGAGGCAAAGAGAGAATTCTATAAACAGCGAGGGACTGTTCCACAAACAGTCAAGCCACACATAAGGGAATCCCTATCAGGCTAACAGCAGATTTCTCAGCAGAAACTTTATAGGCCAGGAGAGAATGAAATGATACATTCAAAGTGCTGAAAAAAAATTTAAAAAACCCTGCTAGCCTACAATAGTGTATATATTCAGCCAAGCTATCTTTCAAAAATGAAGAAACAATAAATTCTTTCTCAGACAAGCAAAAACTGAGATATTTCATCACCACTAGACCAGCCCTCCAAGAAATACTTAAGGGAGTTCTACATCTGGGAAAAACAATATCTGTCATTATGAAAACACATGAAGATATAAAACTCACCAATAGAGCAGATACACAAAAGAGAAAGCATCATTACTACAGAAAACCATCAAACCACAAAGATAAACAATGAGAGGAAGAAGTAACAAAGGGTATACAAAACAATCAGAAAACAATAAAACGACAGGAGTAAGTCTTCATCTATCAATAACAACTTTGATTGTAAATGGTTTAAATTCCCCATTTACAAGATATAGTCTGGCAGAATGGAGTAAAAAAAAACTATACCCAACTATATGCTGCCTACAGAAAACTCACTTCACCTGTAAAGACACACACAGACTGAAAGTGAAGCGATGTAAAAAGATATTACATTCTAATGGAAACAAAACATGTATGGTAATACCTGTAATTATATCAGACAAAATAGAACTGAAATAAAAAAACATAAAAATATTCAAAGAAAGTCATTATATAATGATAAAGGGGTCAATTCAGCAAGAAGAAATAACACTTATATCTATGCAACCAACACTGAAGCATCCAGATATAAAAAGCAAATATTTTCAGAGTTAAAGAGAGAGACAGACCCCAATACAATAATAGTTGGAGACTTCCACACTGGGCTTTCAGCATTGTACAGACTATCTTGACAGAAAATCAACTAAGAAACATTGGACTTAAACTGGACTTTAGACTAAATGGACCTACCATTTGCAGAACATTTTTTCCAACAGCTGTAAAATACACATTCTTCTCATAAGCACATGAAACATTTTCCAGAATAAATGATATGTTAGCCCACAAAACAGATATCAATAGCTTTTCAAAAATCAAAATCGTATCAAGTATCTTCTTACACCACAATGGAACAAAACTAGAAATCAGTAAGAGAAACTTTGAAAACTGTAAAAATACATAAAAATTAAACAACATACTTTTGAATGACCAATGGGTCTTTTAAAAAATTAAGAGATAAATCAAAAGAATTTCTTAAAACAAGTGAAAATAAAAACACAATTGATATGGTTTGGATTTGTGCCCCTGCCCAAATCTCACGTTAAATTATAATTCCCCAATTTTGGAGTTGGGCCTAGGGGGAAGTGATTGGATCATGGGGATGGTTTCTCATGGTTTAGCACCATCACTCTAGTGCCGTTCTCATGATAGAGTTCTTACAAGATCCGGTTGTTTAAAAGTGTGTTGTACCTCCCACCTCTCTCCCCTTCCTCCTGCTCCAGCCATGTAAAATGTGCCTGCTTCCTTTTGCTTCCACCATGATTTTAAGTTTTCTGAAACCTCCCCAGAAGCTGAAGCCAGTACAGCCTGCATAACCATGAGTCAATTAAAACTCTTTTCTTTATAAATTACCCAGTTTCGGTTATTTCTTTATAGCAGTGCAAGAATGGACTAATACAACAATGTACCAAAACCTATGGGAAACAGCAAAAGCAGTACTAAGAGGGAAGTTTATGGCAATACATGTCTATATCAAAAAAGTAAAAAGATTTTAAATAAACAACCTAACAATGTACATCAAAAAAGTAGAAAAGCAAGAACTAAGACAAAAATTAATAAAAGGAAAGAAACCAGAAAGATCACGGCAGAACTAAATGAAATAGAGACATAAAAATAACACAAACAAAAAATTGGTTTTTTTAAAAAAGATAAACACAATGGAGAAACCATTAGGAAGACTAAGAAAAGAAGGAAGAAGACACAATCAATAAAATCACAAACAACAAAGGGGATATTATAACTGATACCACAGAAATACAAAGAATTATTAGAGGCGATTATGAACAACTACACATCAACGAATGGGAAGACCTAGAAGAAATAGATGAATTCCTGAACACATATAAGCAACCAAGATTGAACCAAGTAGAAATAGAAAACCTGAACAGACCAATAATGGTAACAAAATTATAAGTAATAAAAAGTCTCCCAACAATAAAAAGCCCAAGACAGATGGCTTTACTGCTAAATTTTACCAAACATTGACAGAAGAAATATCACCAATTCTTTTTAAATGATTCCAAATAATTAAAGAGGAGGAAATTCTAATTTATTCTATATGACCAGCATTACCCCAATACTAAAACCAGACAATGATACAACAATAAAAGAAAACTAAAGACCATTATCCGTGCTGAAAATAGATGCAAAAATCCCCAACAAAATACTAGCAAACTCAATTGAAAAGCACAATGAAAAGATAATACAATACAATCTAGTGGGATTCATTGAAGGGATCAAAGGATGTTTCAGCATATGTAAATTGATAGAGGTGACACATCACATCAACAGAATGAAGGACAAAAACCATATGATCATTTCAATAGATGCAGAAAAAGCATTTGATAACATTCAACATCCCTTCATGATAAAAATTCTCAATAAATTAGGTATAAAAAGAACATACTTCATCACCACAAAGTCCCTATATGACAAACCCACAGCTAACATCATACTGAATGAGGAAAAGCTGAAAGTTTTGCCTGTAAGAACTAGAGCAAGACAAGGATGTCTACTTTCACCACTCTTTTTTTTTTTTTTTTTTTTTTTGAGACGGAGTCTCGCTCTGTCGCCCAGGCCGGACTGCGGACTGCAGTGGCGCAATCTCGGCTCACTGCAAGCTCCGCCTCCCGGGTTCACGCCATTCTCCTGCCTCAGCCTCCCGAGTAGCTGGGACTACAGGCGCCCGCCACCGCGCCCGGCTAATTTTTTGTATTTTTAGTAGAGACGGGGTTTCACCTTGTTAGCCAGGATGGTCTCGATCTCCTGACCTCATGATCCACCCGCCTCGGCCTCCCAAAGTGCTGGGATTACAGGCGTGAGCCACCGCGCCCGGCTACTTTCACCACTCTTATTCAATGTGGTACTGAAAGTCTTAGGCAGAACAATTAGGCAAGGGAAAGAAAGAAATGGCATCCACACTGGAAAAGGGAAAGTCAAATTGTCCCTCTTTGCAAATGACAGATGATCTGCTATAGAGAAAAATCTAACAACTTCACCAAAAGACTCTTAGAAGCGATAAGCAATTTCAGTAAAGTTGCAAGATATGAAGTTAACATTAAAAAACAGTAGCGTTTCTCTACTAACAATCAACTAGCTGAAAAAATTTAAAATAAAAACACTTAAAATAGCTACAAAAATACAATACTTGGGAATACATTTAACCAAGGAGGTTAAAAATCTCTACAATGAAAATTATAAAATATTAGTGAAAAGAACTCAACAGAACACAAAAAGGACATCACATGTTAATGGATTAGAACAATATTACAAAAATGACCACACGGCCGGGCGCGGTGGCTCACGCCTGTAATCCCAGCACTTTGGGAGGCCAAGGCAGGCGGATCACGAGGTCAGGAGATCGAGACCATCCTGGCTAACACGGTGAAACCCCGTCTCTACGAAAAAATACAAAAAAATTAGCCGGGCGTTGTGGCGGGCGCCTGTGGTCCCAGCTGCTCGGGAGGCTGAGGCAGGAGAATGGCGCGAGCCCGGGGGGTGGAGCTTGCAGTGAGCCGAGATCGTGCCACTGCACTCCAGCCTGGGCAACAGAGCGAGACTCCGTCTCAAAAAAAAAAAAAAAAAAAAAAAAAAAAGACCACACTACTCAAAGCAATCTACAGATTTAATGTAATCCCTATGAAGATACCAATGACATTCTTCACAGAAATAGAAAAATAAAACCTAAAATCCACATGGAACCACAAAAGACTTCAAATAGCAAAAGCAATACTGAGGAAAAAACACAAAGCTGAAGGCATCATACTACCTTACTTCAAAGTATATATTCCAAAGCTATAGTAACCTAATCAGTATGATACTGGCATAAAACCAGACACATAGACCCATAGAAAAGAGTATAGAACCCAGAAATAAATCCAAATATTTACAGTCAACTGATTTTTCCACAAAGGCATTACCAACATGTAATGGGGAAAGGACTCTTCAGTAAATGTTCACCAAGAACATGCACTGGGGAAAGTCTCTTCAATAAATGGTGCTGGGAAAACTTGGTATCCATATGCAGAAGACTGAATCTAGACCATCTATCTCTCAACATATACAAAAATTAACTCAAAAGGAATTAAAGACTTAAATGTAAGACCCAAAACTCTAAAACCATTAGAAGATAACACAGAATAAACTCTTCAGGACATTTTCTATACTTTGGATTTTGGACCCTCCAAACCTCATGTTGAAATTTGATCCCCAATGTTGGAAGTGGGGCCTAATGGGAGGCATTTGGGTCAGGAAAGACGATTCCTCATGAATGACTTGGCACTGTCCTTGAAATGAGTGAGTTCTTGCTGTAATAATTTCTGAGAGCTGGTTGTTAAAAAGAACCTGGAACCTGGCTGGGCGCGGTGGCTCACGCCTGTAATCCCAGCACTTTGGGAGGCTGAGGCGGGCGGATCACAAGTCAGGAGATCGAGACCATCCTGGCTAACACGGTGAAACCCCGTCTCTACTAAAAAAAAATACAAAAAAAAAAAAAAAAAAATTAGCTGGGCGTGGCAGTGGGCGCCTGTAGTCCCACCTACTCGGGAGGCTGAGGCAGGAGAATGGCGTGAACCCAGGAGGCGGAGCTTACAGTGAGCCAAGATGGCACCACTGCACTCCAGCCTGGGCGACAGAGTGAGACTCCGACTCAAAATAAATAAATAAATAAATAAATAAATAAATAAATAAATAAATAGCGAGCCTGGGACCTCTATCTGTCTCTCTCTTGCCATCTGACCTTTATGAACCAGCTTTCTTTCACCTTCTGCCATGAGTGGGAGACTTAATCCTTCACCAGAAGCAGATGCTGGTGCCATGCTTATACAGCCTGCAGAACTGTAGACAAACAAACCTCTTTTCTTTTTAAATTACCCAACTTCAGGTTTTCCTTTATAGCAACACAAAAAGACTAAGAAAATGTTGGTCTTGGTAACGATTTTATGGGTAAGACCTTGAAGTACAGGCAACAAAAACAAAAACAGAAAAATGAGACTGTATTATACTAAAAAAGCTTCTGTACAGCAAAGGAAACAATCAACAGAGTGAAGAGACAATCTGTAGAATATAAGAAAATATTTGCAAACTATTTATTTGACAAGGGAGTAATATACAGAGTATAAAAAGAAACAATAAAAAAAACCAATAATCCAATTAAAGAATGGGCAAAGGATCTGAATAGACATTTTTCAAAAAAAAAAAAGATATGTAAATGGCCAACAAGTATGAGAAAAAATGCTCAGCATCACTAATCATCAGGGAACTCCAAATCAAAACCACAATGAAATATCATCTCACCCCAGTTAGAATGGCTATTACTAAAAAGATAAAAAGTAAATGCTGGTGAGAACATAAAAGGAACTCTTATACACCGTGGGTGGGAATGTAAACTAGTTCAGCCATTACAGAAAACAGTATGAAGTTTTCTCAAAAAACTAAAAGTAGAACATACAATCTAGCAATTCCATTACTGGGTATATATCCAAGGAAAGGACATCAGTATATTGAAGAGATATCTGCACCCGTACGTCTATCGCAGCACTATTCACAATAGCCAAGATATGAAATCAACTTAAATGTCCATCAGTGGATGAACAGATAAGGAAAATGTAGTGTGTGTATGTGTGTGTGTACCCACACAATGGAATCTTATTCAGCCATTAAAAAGAATAAAATTCTGTCTTTCAAGGCAACATGGATGAGACTGGAGGACATTATGTGAAGTGAAATTAGGCACAGAAAAATGAGTACTGCATGTTCTCAGTCACATGTGGCAGCAAAAAGAAGTTGAGCTCATGGAAGTAGAAAGTAGAATTGTCATGATTAGTAGCTGGGAAGGGTAGGAGGGAGAGGAAGTTAGCGAGAGTTAGTTAACAGATACAAAATTACAGTTAAGTAGAAGGACTAAGTTCTAGTGCTCTGCAGCACTGTAGAGTGAATATGTTTTTTTTTTTTTTTAAAAAAACTTTCATTTTAGGTTCAGGGGTACATGAAAAGGTTTATTATATAGGTAAACTCGTGTCATGGGTGTTTGTTGTACAGATTATTTCATTGCCCAGGTATTACCCAGTACTCAGTAGTTATATTTTCTGCTCCACTCCCTCCTCCCATCCTCCAGCTTTAAGTAGACTCCAGTGTCTGTTGTTCTCTTCTTTGTGTTGTTCATGAGTTCTCACCGTATAGTTCCCACTCATAAGTGAGAACATGTGGTATTTGGTTTTCTGTTCCTATATTAGTTTGCTAAGGATAATGGCCTCCAGCTCCATCCATGTTCCTGAAAAAGACATAATCTCATTTTTTATGGTTGCATAGTATTCCATGGTATGTATGTGCCATGTTTTATTTATCCAATCTGTCATTCATGGGCATTTAGGTTGATTTCATGTCTTTGCTATTGTGAATGGTGCTGCAATGAACATTCATGTGCATGTGTCTTTACGGTAGAATGATTTATATTCCTCTGGGTATATACCCAGTAATGGGATTGCTGGGTCAAATGGTAGTTCTGTTTTTAGTTCATTGAGGAATTTCCATACTGCTTTCCACAATGAACTAATTTACCCTCCTGCCAACAGTGGATAAGTGTTCCTTTTTCTCCACAGATGAGCAGCATCTATTATTTTTGACTTTTTAATAATAAAGATTCTGATTAGTGTGAGATGGTATCTCATTGTGGTTTTGATTTGCATTTCTCTAGTGATCAGTGATATTGAGCTTTTTTTCATATGCTTGTTGGCCACATGTATGTCTTCTTTCGAAAAGTGTTGTTCATGTCCTTTACCCACTTTTTAATGGGGTTGCTTTTCTCTTGTAAATTTAAGTTCCTTATAGATGCTGGCTATTAGACCTTTGTGAGATGCACAGTTAACAAATGTTTTCTGGATGAATATAGTGAACAACTTATTGCATATTTTCATGAAGGTAAAAATGAGGATTTTGAATTTTCCCAACACAAAGAAATTATAATTATACCTTAATGCTAATAACCTTGATTTGATCATTACAAATTGTATACAAGTATCAAAATATCACTCTGTATCTCATAAATGTGTACAACTATTATGTGTCAACTAAAAACAAAAGAAAAAAGTAATATGGAATAAATTCCCAATTAATATATTATCTATTTTTTTTTTATCAACTAAAACCTTATTATAAAAATGAGGGATGTTTTTCTTCTCCTGTCCCAAAAGGGTAGTTAGAACTTTGTGTTCTACAACTTTTGGCTCCTCTCATACCCAAAAAAGGGTAACCAGTTTTTATTTTCAAA